>NC_000004.12:51107679-51418956 GCF_000001405.40 Homo sapiens | reverse complement strand
CAGTATATAATACCTACTTTGGGTACTTTGATATTTTATGTACAGTATATAAATCATATTTTGGGTACTTTGAATATATTATGTACAGTATATAATACATACTTTGGGTACTTTGAATATATTATGTACAGTATATAATACATACTTTGGGTAATTTGGTGGACATTTGCAGCGCTTTGAGGCCTATGTTGAAAAAGGAAATATGTTCTCATAAAAAACAGAAACATCTGTCTTGGTTTTATATGAAGATATTCCGGTTTCCAACGAAATCTTCAAAGCTATCCAAATATCCACCTGCAGATTCTACAAAAGGAGTGTTTCCAAAATGCTGTATCAAAACAAAGTTTCAACTCTGTTAGTTGAGGACACACATCACAAATAAGTTTCTGAGGATGCTTCTGTCTACGTTTTTATTTGAAGGTATTTCCTTTCTCACCATAGGCCTGAAAGCGCTTGAAATGTCCACTTCCAGATACTACAGAATGAGTGTTTCAAACCTGCTCTATCAAAGTGAATGTTCAATTCTGTGACTTCAATGCAAACATCACAAAGAAGTTCCTGAGAATGCTTCTCTCTAGATATTATATGTCATCCCGTTTCCAACGAAATCCTCAAAGCTATCCAAATATCCACTTGCAGATTCTACAAAAAGAGTGTTTCAAAACTCCTCTGTCAAAAGGATGGTTCAACACTGTTACATGAGTACACACAACACAAAGAAGTTTCTGAGAATGCTTCTTTCTGGTTTCTATGAGAAGATATTTCCTTTTTCACCATAGGACTCAAAGCGCTCGAAATGTCCTCTTCCAGGTAGTGCAGAAAGAGTGTTTCAAACCTGCTCTATGAAAGGAAGTGTACAACTCCATGAGCTGAATGCAAACATCACTGAGAAGTTTCTGAGAATGCTTCTGTTTGATTTTATATGAAGAAATTCCCGTTTCCAACGAAATCTTCAAAGCTATCCACATATCCACCTGCAGATTCTTCAAAAGGAGTGTTTCCAAAATGCTGTATCAAAACCAAGGTTCAACTCTGTTAGTTGAGGACACACATCACAAATAAGTTTCTGAGAATGCTTCTGTCTAGATTTTCTATGAAGATATCCCCTTTCCAACGAATCCCTCTAAGCTATCCAAATATCCACCTGCAGATTCTACAAAAAGAGTGTTTCCAAAATGCTGTATCAAAACAAAGTTTCAACTCTGTTAGTTGAGAACACACATCACAAATAAGTTTCTGAGGATGCTTCTCTCTAGTTTTTATTTGAAGATATTTCCTTTCTCCCCATAGGCCTGAAAGCGCTTGAATTGTCCGCTTCCAGATCCTACAGAATGAGTGTTTCAAACCTGCTCTATCAAAGTGAATGTTCAATTCTGTGACTTCAATACAAACATCACAAAGTAGTTCCTGAGAATGCTTCTCTCTAGATTTTATATGTAATCCCGCTTCCAACGAAGTCCTCAAAGCCATCCGAATATCCACTTTGTGATTCCACAAAAAGATTGTCTTAAAACTGCTCTGTAAAAACAAAAGTTCAAGTCTGTTAGTTGAATACACACATCACAAACAAGTTTCTGAGAATGATTCTGTCTAGTTTTTATGGGAAGATATTTCCTTTTTCACCATAGGCCTCACAGCGCTTGAAATGTCCACTTCCAGATAGTGCAGAAAGAGTGTTTCAAACGTGCTCTATAAAAGAGAATATTCAACTCTGTGACTTGAATGGAAACATCACAAAGCAGTTTCTGAGAATGCCTCCGTCTAGATTTTATATGAAGATATTCCCGTTTCCAACGAAATCTTCAAATCTATCTAAATATCAACTTGCAGATTCTACTAAAGGAATGTTTCCAAAATGCTGTATGCAAGCAATGGTTCAACTCTGCTAATTGAGGACATACAGCACAAAGAAGTTTCTGAGAATGCTTCTGTCTAGATTTTATATGAAGATATCCCGTTTCCAACGAAATCCTCAAAGCTATCCAAATATCCACTTGCAGATTCTACAAAAAGATTGTTTCAAAACTGCTGTGTCAAAAGGAAGGTTCAACTCTGTTACTTGAGTACACACATCAAAAAGAAGTTTCTGAGAATGCTTGTTTCTGGTTTTTATGAGAAGATATTTCCTTTTTCACCATAGGCCTCAAAGCGCTGCAAATGTCCACTTCCAAATATTACAAAAAGAGTTTCAAACCTGCTCTATGAAAGGAAGTTTTCAACTCTATGAGTGGAATGCAAACATCACAGAGAAGTTTCTGAGAATGCATCTGTCTTGAGTTTATATGCAGAAATTCCCGTTTCCAACGAAATCTTAAAATCTATCCAAATATCCACCTGCAGATCTTACAAAAGGAGTGTTTCCAAAATGCTGTATCAAAACAAAGGTTCAACTGTGTTCGTTTAGGACACACATCACAAATAAGTTTCTGAGAATCCTTCTGTCTAGTTTTTATTTGAAGATATTTCCTTTCTCCCCATAGGCCTGAAAGCGCTGGAAATGTCCACTTCCAGATACTACAGAAAGAGTGTTTCAAACCTGCACTATGAAAAGGAATGTTCAATTCTGTGACTTGAATGCAAACATCAGAAAGAAGTTCCTGAGAATGCTTCTCTCTAGATTTTATACGTCATCCCGTTTCCAATGAAATCCACAAAGCTATCCAATTAACCACTTTCAGATTCCACAAAAGAGTGTTTTAAAACTGCTCTGTAAAAAGAAATGTTCAACGCTCTTAGTTGAATACACACATCTCAAACAAGTTTCTGAGAAGGCTTCTGTCTAGTTTTTATGGGAAGATATTTCCTTTTAACCATAGGCCTCAAAGAGCTCGAAATATCCACTTCCAGGTAGTGCCGAAAGAGTGTTTCAAACCTACTCTATAAAAGGGAATATTCAACTCTGTGACTTGAATGCAAACATCACAAAGCAGTTTCTGAGAATGCTTCCGTCTAGATTTTCTATGAAGATATTCCCGTTTCCAACGAAATCTTCAAAGCTATCTAAATATCAACTTGCAGATTCTACTAAAGGAATGTCTCCAAAATGCTGTATCCAAACAAAGGTTCAGCTCTGTGAATTGAGGACATACAGCACAAAGAAGTTTCTGAGAATGCTCCTGTCTGGATTTTATAGGAAGATAACCCGTTCCCAACGAAATCCTCAAAGCTATCCAAATATCCACTTGCAGATTCTACCAAAAGAGTGTTTCAAAACTACTCTGTCAAAAGGAAGGTTCAACACTGTTACTTGAGTACACACAACACAAAGAAGTTTCTGAGAATGCTTCTTTCTGGTTTTTATGAGAAGATATTTCCTTTTTCACCATAGGCCTCAAAGCGCTCGAAATGTCCGCTTCCAGGTAGTGCAGAAAGAGTGTTTCAAACCTGCTCTATGAAAGGAAGTGTTCAACTCTACTGAGTTGAATGCAAACATCACAGAGATGTTTCCGAGAATGCTTCTGTCTTGATTTTATATGAAGATATTCCGGTTTCCAACGAAATCTTCAAAGCTATCCAAATATCCACCTGCAGATTCTACAAAAGGAGTGTTTCCAAAATGCTGTATCAAAACAAAGGTTCAACTCTGTTAGTTGAGGACACACATCACAAATAAGTTTCTGAGAATGCTTCTGTCTAGTTTTTATTTGAAGGTATTTCCTTTCTCTCCATAGGCCTGAAAGCGCTTGAAATGCCCACTTCCAGATACTAGAGAAAGAGTGTTTCAAACCTGCTCTATGAAAGGGAATGTTCAATTCTGTGACTTGAATGCAAACATCACAAAGAAGTTCCTGAGAATGCTTCTCTCTAGATATTATATGTCATCCCGTTTCCAACGAAATCCTCAAAGCTATCCAAATATCCACTTGCAGATTCTACAAAAAGAGTGTTTCAAAACTCCTCTGTCAAAAGGATGGTTCAACACTGTTACATGAGTACACACAACACAAAGAAGTTTCTGAGAATGCTTCTTTCTGGTTTCTATGAGAAGATATTTCCTTTTTCACCATAGGACTCAAAGCGCTCGAAATGTCCTCTTCCAGGTAGTGCAGAAAGAGTGTTTCAAACCTGCTCTATGAAAGGAAGTGTACAACTCCATGAGCTGAATGCAAACATCACTGAGAAGTTTCTGAGAATGCTTCTGTTTGATTTTATATGAAGAAATTCCCGTTTCCAATGAAATCTTCAGAGCTATCCACATATCCACCTGCAGATTCTACAAAAGGAGTGTTTCCAAAATGCTGTATCAAAACCAAGGTTCAACTCTGTTAGTTGAGGACACACATCACAAATAAGTTTCTGAGAATGCTTCTGTCTAGATTCTATATGAAGATATCCCCTTTCCAACGAATCCCTCTAAGCTATCCAAATATCCACCTGCAGATTCTACAAAAAGAGTGTTTCCAAAATGCTGTATCAAAACAAAGTTTCAACTCTGTTAGTTGAGGACACACATCACAAATAAGTTTGAGGATGCTTCTGTCTAGTTTTTATTCGAAGATATTTCCTTTCTCACCATAGGCCTGAAAGCGCTTGAAATGTCCACTTCCAGATACTACAGAATGAGTGTTTCAAACCTGCTCTATCAAAGTGAATGTTCAATTCTGTGACTTCAATGCAAACATCACAAAGAAGTTCCTGAGAATGCTTCTCTCTAGATTTTATATGTAATCCCGCTTCCAACGAAATCCTCAGAGCCATCCGAATATCCACTTTCTGATTCCACAAAAAGAGTGTTTTAAAACGGCTCTGTAAAAACAAAAGTTCAACTCTGTTAGTTGAATACACACATCACAAACAAGTTTCTGAGAATGCTTCTGTCTAGTTTTTATGGGAAGATATTTCCTTTTTCACCATAGGCCTCAAAGCGCTCGAAATGTCCACTTCCAGATAGCGCAGAAAGAGTGTTTCAAACGTGCTCTATAAAAGGGAATATTCAACTCTGTGACTTGAATGGAAACATCACAAAGCAGTTTTCTGAGAATGCTTCCGTCTAGATTTTATATGAAGATATTCCCGTTTCCAAAGAAATCTTCAAATCTATCTAAATATCAACTTGCAGATTCTACTAAAGGAATGTTTCCAAAATGCTGTATCCAAGCAATGGTTCAACTCTGTTAATTGAGGACATACAGCACAAAGAAGTTTCTGAGAATGCTTCTGTCTGGATTTTATATGAACATATCCCGTTTCCAACGAAATCCTCAAAGCTATCCAAATATCCACTTGCAGATTCTACAAAAAGATTGTTTCAAAACTGCTGTGTCAAAAGGAAGGTTCAACTCTGTTACTTGAGTACACACATCAAAAAGCAGTTTCTCAGAATGCTTGTTTCTGGTTTTTATGAGAAGAATTTCCTTTTTCACCATAGGCCTCAAAGCGCTGCAAATGTCCACTTCCAAATATTACAAAAAGAGTGTTTCAAACCTGCTCTATGAAAGGAAGTTTTCAACTCTATGAGTGGAATGCAAACATCACAGAGAAGTTTCTGAGAATGCATCTGTCTTGAGTTTCTATGCAGAAATTCCCGTTTCCAACGAAATCTTAAAATCTATCCAAATATCCACCTGCAGATCCTACAAAAGGAGTGTTTCCAAAATGCTGTATCAAAACAAAGGTTCAACTGTGTTCGTTTAGGACACACATCACAAATAAGTTTCTGAGAATCCTTCTGTCTAGTTTTTATTTGAAGATATTTCCTTTCTCCCCATAGGCCTGAAAGCGCTTGAAATGTCCACTTCCAGATACTACAGAAAGAGTGTTTCAAACCTGCACTATGAAAAGGAATGTTCAATTCTGTGACTTGAATGCAAACATCAGAAAGAAGTTCCTGAGAATGCTTCTCTCTAGATTTTATACGTCATCCCGTTTCCAACGAAATCCACAAAGCTATCCAATTATCCACTTTCAGATTCCACAAAAAGAGTGTTTTAAAACTGCTCTGTAAAAAGAAATGTTCAACGCTCTTAGTTGAATACACACATCTCAAACAAGTTTCTGAGAAGGCTTCCGTCTAGTTTTTATGGGAAGATATTTCCTTTTTCACCATAGGCCTCAAAGCGCTCGAAATCTCCACTTCCAGGGAGTGCAGAAAGAGTGTTTCAAACCTGCTCTGTAAAAGAATATTTAACTCTGTGACTTGAATTTAAACATCACAAAGCAGTTTCTGACAATGCTTCCGTCTAGATTTTTTATGAAGATATTCCCGTTTCCAACGAAATCTTCAAAGCTATCTAAATATCAACTTGCAGATTCTACTAAAGGAATGTTTCCAAAATGCTGTATCCAAACAAAGGTTCAACTCTGTGAATTGAGGACATACAGCACAAAGAAGTTTCTGAGAATGCTTCTGTCTAGATTTAATATGAAGATAACCCGTTTCCAACGAAATCCTCAAAGCTATCCAAATATCCACTTGCAGATTCTACAAAAAGACTGTTTCAAAACTGCTCTGTCAAAAGGATGGTTCAACACTGTTACATGAGTACACACAACACAAAGAAGTTTCTGAGAACGCTTCTTTCTGGTTTTTATGAGAAGATATTTCCTTTTTCACCATAGGCCTCAAAGCGCTCGAAATGTCCACTTCCTGGAAGTGCAGAAAGAGTGTTTCAAACCTGCTCTATGAAGGGAAGTGTTCAACTCCATGAGCTGAATGCAAACATCACAGAGAAGTTTCTGAGAATGCTTCTGTTTGATTTTATATGAAGAAATTCCCGTTTCCAACGAAATCTTCAGAGCTATCCACATATCCACCTGCAGATTCTACAAAAGGAGTGTTTCCAAAATGCTGTATCAAAACCAAGGTTCAACTCTGTTAGTTGAGGACACACATCACAAATAAGTTTCTGAGAATGCTTCTGTCTAGATTCTATATGAAGATATCCCCTTTCCAACGAATCCCTCTAAGCTATCCAAATATCCACCTGCAGATTCTACAAAAAGAGTGTTTCCAAAATGCTGTATCAAAACAAAGTTTCAACTCTGTTAGTTGAGGACACACATCACAAATAAGTTTGAGGATGCTTCTGTCTAGTTTTTATTTGAAGATATTTCCTTTCTCCCCATAGGCCTGAAAGCGCTTGAATTGTCCGCTTCCAGATACTACAGAATGATTGTTTCAAACCTGCTCTATCAAAGTGAATGTTCAATGCTGTGACTTGAATGCAAACATCAGAAAGAAGTTCCTGAGAATGCTTCTCTCTAGATTTTATACGTAATCCCGCTTCCAACGAAATCCTCAGAGCCATCCGAATATCCACTTTCTGATTCCACAAAAAGAGTGTTTTAAAACGGCTCTGTAAAAACAAAAGTTCAACTCTGTTAGTTGAATACACACATCACAAACAAGTTTCTGAGAATGCTTCTGTCTAGTTTTTATGGGAAGATATTTCCTTTTTCACCATAGGCCTCAAAGCGCTCGAAATGTCCACTTCCAGATAGTGCAGAAAGAGTGTTTCAAACGTGCTCTATAAAAGAGAATATTCAACTCCGTGACTTGAATGGGAACGTCACAAAGCAGTTTCTGAGAATGCTTCCGTCTAGATTTTATATGAAGATATTCCCGTTTCCAACGAAATCTTCAAAGCTATCTACATATCAACTTGCAGATTCTACTCAAGGAATGTTTCCAAAATGCTGTATCCAAGCCATGGTTCAACTCTGTTAATTGAGGACATACAGCACAAAGAAGTTTCTGAGAATGCTTCTGTCTAGATTTTATATGAAGATATCCCGTTTCCAACGAAATCCTCAAAGCTATCCAAATATCCACTTGCAGATTCTACAAAAAGATTGTTTCAAAACTGCTGTGTCAAAAGGAAGGTTCAACTCTGTTACTTGAGTACACACATCAAAAAGAAGTTTCTGAGAATGCTTGTTTCTGGTTTTTATGAGAAGATATTTCCTTTTTCACCATAGGCCTCAAAGCGCTGCAAATGTCCACTTCCAAATATTACAAAAAGAGTGTTTCAAACCTGCTCTATGAAAGGAAGTTTTCAACTCTATGAGTGGAATGCAAACATCACAGAGAAGTTTCTGAGAATGCATCTGTCTTGAGCTTCTATGAAGAAATTCCCGTTTCCAACGAAATCTTAAAATCTATCCAAATATCCACCTGCAGATCCTACAAAAGGAGTGTTTCCAAAATGCTGTATCAAAACAAAGGTTCAACTGTGTTCGTTTAGGACACACATCACAAATAAGTTTCTGAGAATCCTTCTGTCTAGTTTTTATTTGAAGATATTTCCTTTCTCCCCGTAGGCCTGAAAGCGCTTGAAATGTCCACTTCCAGATACTACAGAAAGAGTGTGTTTCAAACCTGCACTCTGAAAAGGAATGTTCAATTCTGTGACTTGAATGCAAACATCAGAAAGAAGTTCCTGAGAATGCTTCTCTCTAGATTTTATACGTCATCCCGTTTCCAACGAAATCCACAAAGCTATCCAATTATCCACTTTCAGATTCCACAGAAAGAGTGTTTTAAAATTGCTCTGTAACAGAAATGTTCAACTCTGGTAGTTGAATACACACATCACAAACAAGTTTCTGAGACGGCTTCTGTCTAGTTTTTATGGGAAGATATTTCCTTTTAACCATAGGCCTCAAAGAGCTCGAAATATCCACTTCCAGGTAGTGCCGAAAGAGTGTTTCAAACCTACTCTATAAAAGGGAATATTCAACTCTGTGACTTGAATGCAAACATCACAAAGCAGTTTCTGAGAATGCTTCCGTCTAGATTTTATATGAAGATATTCCCGTTTCCAACGAAATCTTCAAAGCTATCTAAATATCAACTTGCAGATTCTACTAAAGGAATGTTTCCAAAATGCTGTATCCAAGCAATGGTTCAACTCTGTTAATTGAGGACATACAGCACAAAGAAGTTTCTGAGAATGCTTCTGTCTAGATTTTATATGAAGATATCCCGTTTCCAACGAAATCCTCAAAGCTATCCAAATATCCACTTGCAGATTCTACAAAAAGATTGTTTCAAAACTGCTGTGTCAAGAGGAAGGTTCAACTCTGTTACTTGAGTACACACATCAAAAAGAAGTTTCTGAGAATGCTTGTTTCTGGTTTTTATGAGAAGATATTTCCTTTTTCACCATAGGCCTCAAAGCGCTGCAAATGTCCACTTCCAAATATTACAAAAAGAGTGTTTCAAACCTGCTCTATGAAAGGAAGTTTTCAACTCTATGAGTGGAATGCAAACATCACAGAGAAGTTTCGGAGAATGCATCTGTCTTGAGCTTCTATGAAGAAATTCCCGTTTCCAACGAAATCTTAAAATCTATCCAAATATCCACCTGCAGATCCTACAAAAGGAGTGTTTCCAAAATGCTGTATCAAAACAAAGGTTCAACTGTGTTCGTTTAGGACACACATCACAAATAAGTTTCTGAGAATCCTTCTGTCTAGTTTTTATTTGAAGATATTTCCTTTCTCCCCATAGGCCTGAAAGCGCTTGAAATGTCCACTTCCAGATACTACAGAAAGAGCGTTTCAAACCTGCACTATGAAAAGGAATGTTCAATTCTGTGACTTGAATGCAAACATCAGAAAGAAGTTCCTGAGAATGCTTCTCTCTAGATTTTATACGTCATCCCGTTTCCAACGAAATCCACAAAGCTATCCAATTATCCACTTTCAGATTTCACAGAAAGAGTGTTTTAAAATTGCTCTGTAACAGAAATGTTGAACTCTGTTAGTTGAATACACACATCACAAACAAGTTTCTGAGACGGCTTCTGTCTAGTTTTTATTTGAAGATATTTCCTTTTAAGCATAGGCCTCAAAGAGCTCGAAATATCCACTTCCAGGTAGTGCCGAAAGAGTGTTTCAAACCTACTCTATAAAAGGGAATATTCAACTCTGTGACTTGAATGCAAACATCACAAAGCAGTTTATGAGAATGCTTCCGTCTAGATTTTCTATGAAGATATTCCCGTTTCCAATGAAATCTTCAAAGCTATCTAAATATCAACTTGCAGATTCTACTAAAGGAATGTTTCCAAAATGCTGTATCCAAACAAAGGTTCAGCTCAGTGAATTGAGGACATACAGCACAAAGAAGTTTCTGTGAATGCTCCTGTCTGGATTTTATATGAAGATAACCCGTTTCCAACGAAATCCTCAAAGCTATCCAAATATCCACTTGCAGATTCTACCAAAAGAGTGTTTCAAAACTGCTCTGTCAAAAGGAAGGTTCAACACTGTTACTTGAGTACACACAACACAAAGAAGTTTCTGAGAATGCTTCTTTCTGGTTTTTATGAGAAGATATTTCCTTTTTCACCATAGGCCTCAAAGCGCTCGAAATGTCCGCTTCCAGGTAGTGCAGAAAGAGTGTTTCAAACCTGCTCTATGAAAGGAAGTGTTCAACTCTACTGAGTTGAATGCAAACATCACAGAGATGTTTCCGAGAATGCTTCTGTCTTGATTTTTTATGAAGATATTCCGGTTTCCAACGAAATCTTCAAAGCTATCCAAATATCCACCTGCAGATTCTACAAAAGGAGTGTTTCCAAAATGCTGTATCAAAACAAAGGTTCAACTCTGTTAGTTGAGGACACACATCACAAATAAGTTTCTGAGGATGCTTCTGTCTAGTTTTTATTTGAAGGTATTTCCTTTCTCTCCATAGGCCTGAAAGCGCTTGAAATGTCCACTTCCAGATACTAGAGAAAGAGTGTTTCATACCTGCTCTATGAAAGGGAATGTTCAATTCTGTGACTTGCATGCAAACATCACAAAGAAGTTCCTCAGAATGCTTCTCTCTAGATATTATATGTCATCCCGTTTCCAACGAAATCCTCAAAGCTATCCAAATATCCACTTTCAGATTCCACAAAAAGAGTGTTTTAAAACTGCTCTGTAAAAAGAAATGTTCAACTCTCCTAGTTGTATACACACATCTCAAACAAGTTTCTGAGAAGGCTTCCGTCTAGTTTTTATGGGAAGATATTTCCTTTTTCACCATAGGCCTCAAAGCGCTCGAAATGTCCACTTCCAAGAAGTCCGGAAAGAGTGTTTCAAACCTGCTCTATAAAAGCAAATATTCAACTCTGTGACTTGAATGCAAACATCACAAAGCAGTTTCTGAGAATGCTTCCGTCTAGATTTTCTATGAAGATATTCCCGTTTCCAACGAAATCTTCAAAGCTATCTAAATATCAACTTGCAGATTCTACTAAAGGAATGTCTCCAAAATGCTGTATCCAAACAAAGGTTCAGCTCTGTGAATTGAGGACATACAGCACAAAGAAGTTTCTGAGAATGCTCCTGTCTGGATTTTATAGGAAGATAACCCGTTTCCAACGAAATCCTCAAAGCTATCCAAATATCCACTTGCAGATTCTACCAAAAGAGTGTTTCAAAACTGCTCTGTCAAAAGGAAGGTTCAACACTGTTACTTGAGTACACACAACACAAAGAAGTTTCTGAGAATGCTTCTTTCTGGTTTTTATGAGAAGATATTTCCTTTTTCACCATAGGCCTCAAAGCGCTCGAAATGTCCGCTTCCAGGTAGTGCAGAAAGAGTGTTTCAAACCTGCTCTATGAAAGGAAGTGTTCAACTCTACTGAGTTGAATGCAAACATCACAGAGATGTTTCCGAGAATGCTTCTGTCTTGATTTTATATGAAGATATTCCGGTTTCCAACGAAATCTTCAAAGCTATCCAAATATCCACCTGCAGATTCTACAAAAGGAGTGTTTCCAAAATGCTGTATCAAAACAAAGGTTCAACTCTGTTAGTTGAGGACACACATCACAAATAAGTTTCTGAGAATGCTTCTGTCTAGTTTTTATTTGAAGGTATTTCCTTTCTCTCCATAGGCCTGAAAGCGCTTGAAATGCCCACTTCCAGATACTAGAGAAAGAGTGTTTCAAACCTGCTCTATGAAAGGGAATGTTCAATTCTGTGACTTGAATGCAAACATCACAAAGAAGTTCCTGAGAATGCTTCTCTCTAGATATTATATGTCATCCCGTTTCCAACGAAATCCTCAAAGCTATCCAAATATCCACTTGCAGATTCTACAAAAAGAGTGTTTCAAAACTCCTCTGTCAAAAGGATGGTTCAACACTGTTACATGAGTACACACAACACAAAGAAGTTTCTGAGAATGCTTCTTTCTGGTTTTTATGAGAAGATATTTCCTTTTTCACCATAGGCCTCAAAGCGCTCGAAATGTCCACTTCCAGGTAGTGCAGAAAGAGTGTTTCAAACCTGCTCTATGAAAGGAAGTGTTCAACTCCATGAGCTGAATGCAAACATCACAGAGAAGTTTCTGAGAATGCTTCTGTTTGATTTTATATGAAGAAATTCCCGTTTCCAACGAAATCTTCAAAGCTATCCACATATCCACCTGCAGATTCTTCAAAAGGAGTGTTTCCAAAATGCTGTATCAAAACCAAGGTTCAACTCTGTTAGTTGAGGACACACATCACAAATAAGTTTCTGAGAATGCTTCTGTCTAGATTTTATATGAAGATATCCCCTTTCCAAAGAATCCTTCTAAGCTATCCAAATGTCCACCCGCAGATTCTACAAAAAGAGTGTCTCCAAAATGCTGTATGAAATCAAAGTTTCCACTCTGTTAGTTGAGGACACACATCACAAATAAGTTTCTGAGGATGCTTCTGTCTAGTTTTTATTCGAAGATATTTCCTTTCTCACCATAGGCCTGAAAGCGCTTGAAATGTCCACTTCCAGATCCTACAGAATGAGTGTTTCAAACCTGCTCTATCAAAGTGAATGTTCAATTCTGTGACTTCAATGCAAACATCACAAAGAAGTTCCTGAGAATGCTTCTCTCTAGATTTTATATGTAATCCCGCTTCCAACGAAATCCTCAGAGCCATCCGACTATCTACTTTCTGATTCCACAAAAAGAGTGTTTTAAAACTGCTCTGTAAAAACAAAAGTTCAACTCTGTTAGTTGAATACACACATCACAAACAAGTTTCTGAGAATGCTTCTGTCTAGTTTTCATGGGAAGATATTTCCTTTTTCACCATAGGCCTCAAAGCGCTCGAAATGTCCACTTCCAGATAGTGCAGAAAGAGTGTTTCAAACGTGCTCTATAAAAGAGAATATTCAACTCTGTGACTTGAATGGAAACATCACAAAGCAGTTTCTGAGAATGATTCTGTCTAGTTTTCATGGGAAGATATTTCCTTTTTCACCATAGGCCTCAAAGCGCTCGAAATGTGCACTTCCAGATAGTGCAGAAAGAGTGTTTCAAACGTGCTCTATAAAAGAGAATATTCAACTCTGTGACTTGAATGGAAACATCACAAAGCAGTTTCTGAGAATGCTTCCGTCTAGATTTTATATGAAGATATTCCCGTTTCCAACGAAATCTTCAAATCTATCTAAGTATCAACTTGCAGATTCTACTAAAGGAATGTTTCCAAAATGCTGTATCCAAGCAATGGTTCAACTCTGTTAATTGAGGACATACAGTAAAAAGAAGTTTCTGAGAATGCTTCTGTCTAGATTTTATATAAAGATATCCCGTTTGCAATGAAATCCTCAAAGCTATCCAAATATCCACTTGCAGATTCTACAAAAAGATTGTTTCAAAACTGCTGTGTCAAAAGGAAGGTTCAACTCTGTTACTTGAGTACACACATCAAAAAGAAGTTTCTGAGAATGCTTGTTTCTGGTTTTTATGAGAAGATATTTCCTTTTTCACCATAGGCCTCAAAGCGCTGCAAATGTCCACTTCCAAATATTGCAAAAAGAGTGTTTCAAACGTGCTCTATGAAAGGAAGTTTTCAACTCTATGAGTGGAATGCAAACATCACAGAGAAGTTTCTGAGAATGCATCTGTCTTGAGCTTCTATGAAGAAATTCCCGTTTCCAACGAAATCTTAAAATCTATCCAAATATCCACCTGCAGATCCTACAAAAGGAGTGTTTCCAAAATGCTGTATCAAAACAAAGGTTCAACTGTGTTCGTTTAGGACACACATCACAAATAAGTTTACTGAGAATCCTTCTGTCTAGTTTTTATTTGAAGATATTTCCTTTCTCCCCGTAGGCCTGAAAGCGCTTGAAATGTCCACTTCCAGATACTACAGAAAGAGTGTTTCAAACCTGCACTCTGAAAAGGAATGTTCAATTCTGTGACTTGAATGCAAACATCAGAAAGAAGTTCCTGAGAATGCTTCTCTCTAGATTTTATACGTCATCCCGTTTCCAACGAAATCCACAAAGCTATCCAATTATCCACTTTCAGATTCCACAAAAAGAGTGTTTTAAAATTGCTCTGTAACACAAATGTTCCACTCTGGTAGTTGAATACACACATCACAAACAAGTTTCTGAGACGGCTTCTGTCTAGTTTTTATGGGAAGATATTTCCTTTTAACCATAGGCCTCAAAGAGCTCGAAATATCCACTTCCAGGTAGTGCCGAAAGAGTGTTTCAAACCTACTCTATAAAAGGGAATATTCAACTCTGTGACTTGAATGCAAACATCACAAAGCAGTTTCTGAGAATGCTTCCGTCTAGATTTTCTATGAAGATATTCCCGTTTCCAACGAAATCTTCAAAGCTATCTAAATATCAACTTGCAGATTCTACTAAAGGAATGTCTCCAAAATGCTGTATCCAAACAAAGGTTCAGCTCTGTGAATTGAGGACATACAGCACAAAGAAGTTTCTGAGAATGCTCCTGTCTGGATTTTATAGGAAGATAACCCGTTTCCAACGAAATCCTCAAAGCTATCCAAATATCCACTTGCAGATTCTACCAAAAGAGTGTTTCAAAACTGCTCTGTCAAAAGGAAGGTTCAACACTGTTACTTGAGTACACACAACACAAAGAAGTTTCTGAGAATGCTTTCTTTCTGGTTTTTAGGAGAAGATATTTCCTTTTTCACCATAGGCCTCAAAGCGCTCGAAATGTCCGCTTCCAGGTAGTGCAGAAAGAGTGTCTCAAACCTGCTCTATGAAAGGAAGTGTTCAACTCTACTGAGTTGAATGCAAACATCACAGAGATGTTTCCGAGAATGCTTCTGTCTTGATTTTATAGGAAGATATTCCGGTTTCCAACGAAATCTTCAAAGCTATCCACATATCCACCTGCAGATTCTACAAAAGGAGTGTTTCCAAAATGCTGTATCAAAACAAAGGTTCAACTCTGTTAGTTGAGGACACACATCACAAATAAGTTTCTGAGAATGCTTCTGTCTAGTTTTTATTTGAAGGTATTTCCTTTCTCTCCATAGGCCTGAAAGCGCTTGAAATGCCCACTTCCAGATACTAGAGAAAGAGTGTTTCAAACCTGCTCTATGAAAGGGAATGTTCAATTCTGTGACTTGAATGCAAACATCACAAAGAAGTTCCTGAGAATGCTTCTCTCTAGATATTATATGTCATCCCGTTTCCAACGAAATCCTCAAAGCTATCCAAATATCCACTTGCAGATTCTACAAAAAGAGTGTTTCAAAACTGCTCTGTCAAAAGGATGGTTCAACACTGTTACATGAGTACACACAACACAAAGAAGTTTCTGAGAATGCTTCTTTCTGGTTTCTATGAGAAGATATTTCCTTTTTCACCATAGGACTCAAAGCGCTCGAAATGTCCTCTTCCAGGTAGTGCAGAAAGAGTGTTTCAAATCGGCTCTATGAAAGGAAGTGTTCAACTCCATGAACTGAATGCAAACATCACTGAGAAGTTTCTGAGAATGCTTCTGTTTGATTTTCTATGAAGAAATTCCCGTTTCCAACGAAATCTTCAGAGCTATCCACATATCCACCTGCAGATTCTACAAAAGGAGTGTTTCCAAAATGCTGTATCAAAACCAAAGTTCAACTCTGTTAGTTGAGGACACACATCACAAATAAGTTTCTGAGAATGCTTCTGTCTAGATTTTATATGAAGATATCCCCTTTCCAACGAATCCCTCTAAGCTATCCAAATATCCACCTGCAGATTCTACAAAAAGAGTGTTTCCAAAATGCTGTATCAAAACAAAGTTTCAACTGCTGTTAGTTGAGGACACACATCACAAATAAGTTTGAGGATGCTTCTGTCTAGTTTTTATTCGAAGATATTTCCTTTCTCACCATAGGCCTGAAAGCGCTTGAAATGTCCACTTCCAGATACTACAGAATGAGTGTTTCAAACCTGCTCTATCAAAGTGAATGTTCAATTCTGTGACTTCAATGCAAACATCACAAAGAAGTTCCTGAGAATGCTTCTCTCTAGATTTTATACGTAATCCCGCTTCCAACGAAATCCTCAGAGCCATCCGAATATCCACTTTCTGATTCCACAAAAAGAGTGTTTTAAAACGGCTCTGTAAAAACAAAAGTTCAACTCTGTTAGTTGAATACACACATCACAAACAAGTTTCTGAGAATGCTTCTGTCTAGTTTTTATGGGAAGATATTTCCTTTTTCACCATAGGCCTCAAAGCGCTCGAAATGTCCGCTTCCAGATAGTGCAGAAAGAGTGTTTCAAACGTGCTCTATAAAAGGGAATATTCAACTCTGTGACTTGAATGGAAACATCACAAAGCAGTTTCTGAGAATGCTTCCCTCTAGATTTTATATGGAGATATTCCCTTTTCCAACGAAATCTTCAAATCTATCTAAATATCAACTTGCAGATTCTACTCAAGGAATGTTTCCAAAATGCTGTATCCAAGCAATGGTTCAACTCTGTTAATTGAGGACATACAGCACAAAGAAGTTTCTGAGAATGCTTCTGTCTAGATTTTATATGAAGATATCCCGTTTCCAACGAAATCCTCAAAGCTATCCAAATATCCACTTGCAGATTCTACAAAAAGATTGTTTCAAAACTGCTGTGTCAAAAGGAAGGTTCAACTCTGTTACTTGAGTACACACATCAAAAAGAAGTTTCTGAGAATGCTTGTTTCTGGTTTTTATGAGAAGATATTTCCTTTTTCACCATAGGCCTCAAAGCGCTGCAAATGTCCACTTCCAAATATTACAAAAAGAGTGTTTCAAACCTGCTCTATGAAAGGAAGTTTTCAACTCTGTGAGTGGAATGCAAACATCACAGAGAAGTTTCTGAGATGCATCTGTCTTGAGCTTCTATGAAGAAATTCCCGTTTCCAACGAAATCTTAAAATCTATCCAAATATCCACCTGCAGATCCTACAAAAGGAGTGTTTCCAAAATGCTGTATCAAAACAAAGGTTCAACTGTGTTCGTTTAGGACACACATCACAAATAAGTTTCTGAGAATCCTTCTGTCTAGTTTTTATTTGAAGATATTTCCTTTCTCCCCGTAGGCCTGAAAGCGCTTGAAATGTCCACTTCCAGATACTACAGAAAGAGTGTTTCAAACCTGCACTCTGAAAAGGAATGTTCAATTCTGTGACTTGAATGCAAACATCAGAAAGAAGTTCCTGAGAATGCTTCTCTCTAGATTTTATACGTCATCCCGTTTCCAACGAAATCCACAAAGCTATCCAATTATCCACTTTCAGATTCCACAAAAAGAGTGTTTTAAAATTGCTCTGTAACAGAAATGTTCAACTCTGGTAGTTGAATACACACATCACAAACAAGTTTCTGAGACGGCTTCTGTCTAGTTTTTATGGGAAGATATTTCCTTTTAACCATAGGCCTCAAAGAGCTCGAAATATCCACTTCCAGGTAGTGCCGAAAGAGTGTTTCAAACCTACTCTATAAAAGGGAATATTCAACTCTGTGACTTGAATGCAAACATCACAAAGCAGTTTCTGAGAATGCTTCCGTCTAGATTTTCTATGAAGATATTCCCGTTTCCAACGAAATCTTCAAAGCTATCTAAATATCAACTTGCAGATTCTACTAAAGGAATGTCTCCAAAATGCTGTATCCAAACAAAGGTTCAGCTCTGTGAATTGAGGACATACAGCACAAAGAAGTTTCTGAGAATGCTCCTGTCTGGATTTTATATGAAGATAACCCGTTTCCAACGAAATCCTCAAAGCTATCCAAATATCCACTTGCAGATTCTACCAAAAGAGTGTTTCAAAACTGCTCTGTCAAAAGGAAGGTTCAACACTGTTACTTGAGTACACACAACACAAAGAAGTTTCTGAGAATGCTTCTTTCTGGTTTTTATGAGAAGATATTTCCTTTTTCACCATAGGCCTCAAAGCGCTCGAAATGTCCGCTTCCAGGTAGTGCAGAAAGAGTGTTTCAAACCTGCTCTATGAAAGGAAGTGTTCAACTCTACTGAGTTGAATGCAAACATCACAGAGATGTTTCCGAGAATGCTTCTGTCTTGATTTTATATGAAGATATTCCGGTTTCCAACGAAATCTTCAAAGCTATCCAAATATCCACCTGCAGATTCTACAAAAGGAGTGTTTCCAAAATGCTGTATCAAAACAAAGGTTCAACTCTGTTAGTTGAGGACACACATCACAAATAAGTTTCTGAGAATGCTTCTGTCTAGTTTTTATTTGAAGGTATTTCCTTTCTCTCCATAGGCCTGAAAGCGCTTGAAATGCCCACTTCCAGATACTAGAGAAAGAGTGTTTCAAACCTGCTCTATGAAAGGGAATGTTCAATTCTGTGACTTGAATGCAAACATCACAAAGAAGTTCCTGAGAATGCTTCTCTCTAGATATTATATGTCATCCCGTTTCCAACGAAATCCTCAAAGCTATCCAAATATCCACTTGCAGATTCTACAAAAAGAGTGTTTCAAAACTGCTCTGTCAAAAGGATGGTTCAACACTGTTACATGAGTACACACAACACAAAGAAGTTTCTGAGAATGCTTTCCTTCTGGTTTTTATGAGAAGATATTTCCTTTTTCACCATAGGCCTCAAAGCGTTCGAAATGTCCACTTCCAGGTGGTGCAGAAAGAGTGTTTCAAACCTGCTCTATGAAAGGAAGTGTTCAACTCCATGAGCTGAATGCAAACATCACAGAGAAGTTTCTGAGAATGCTTCTGTTTGATTTTATATGAAGAAATTCCCGTTTCCAACGAAATCTTCAGAGCTATCCACATATCCACCTGCAGATTCTACAAAAGGAGTGTTTCCAAAATGCTGTATCAAAACCAAGGTTCAACTCTGTTAGTTGAGGACACACATCACAAATAAGTTTCTGAGAATGCTTCTGTCTAGATTTTATATGAAGATATCCCCTTTCCAACGAATCCCTCTAAGCTATCCAAATATCCACCTGCAGATTCTACAAAAAGAGTGTTTCCAAAATGCTGTATCAAAACAAAGTTTTAACTCTGTTAGTTGAGGACACACATCACAAATAGGTTTCTGAGGATGCTTCTGTCTAGTTTTTATTCGAAGATATTTCCTTTCTCACCATAGGCCTGAAAGCGCTTGAAATGTCCACTTCCAGATACTACAGAATGAGTGTTTCAAACCTGCTCTATCAAAGTGAATGTTCAATTCTGTGACTTCAATGCAAACATCACAAAGAAGTTCCTGAGAATGCTTCTCTCTAGATTTTATACGTAATCCCGCTTCCAACGAAATCCTCAGAGCCATCCGAATATCCACTTTCTGATTCCACAAAAAGAGTGTTTTAAAACGGCTCTGTAAAAACAAAAGTTCAACTCTGTTAGTTGAATACACACATCACAAACAAGTTTCTGAGAATGCTTCTGTCTAGTTTTTATGGGAAGATATTTCCTTTTTCACCATAGGCCTCAAAGCGCTCGAAATGTCCACTTCCAGATAGTGCAGAAAGAGTGTTTCAAACGTGCTCTATAAAAGAGAATATTCAACTCTGTGACTTGAATGGAAACATCACAAAGCAGTTTCTGAGAATGCCTCCGTCTAGATTTTATATGAAGATATTCCCGTTTCCAACGAATTCTTCAAATCTATCTAAATATCAACTTGCAGATTCTACTAAAGGAATGTTTCCAAAATGCTGTATCCAAGCAATGGTTCAACTCTGTTAATTGAGGACATACAGCACAAAGAAGTTTCTGAGAATGCTTCTGTCTAGATTTTATATGAAGATATCCCGTTTCCAACGAAATCCTCAAAGCTATCCAAATATCCACTTGCAGATTCTACAAAAAGATTGTTTCAAAACTGCTGTGTCAAAAGGAAGGTTCAACTCTGTTACTTGAGTACACACATCAAAAAGCAGTTTCTGAGAATGCTTGTTTCTGGTTTTTATGAGAAGATATTTCCTTTTTTCACCATAGGCCTCAAAGCGCTGCAAATGTCCACTTCCAAATATTACAAAAAGAGTGTTTCAAACCTGCTCTATGAAAGGAAGTTTTCAACTCCTATGAGTGGAATGCAAACATCACAGAGAAGTTTCTGAGAATGCATCTGTCTTGAGTTTATATGAAGAAATTCCCGTTTCCAATGAAATCTTAAAATCTATCCAAATATCCACCTGCAGATTCTACAAAAGGAGTGTTTCCTAAATGCTGTATCAAAACAAAGGTTCAACTGTGTTCGTTTAGGACACACATCACAAATAAGTTTCTGAGAATCCTTCTGTCTAGTTTTTATTTCAAGATATTTCCTTTCTCCCCATAGGCTTGAAAGCGCTTGAAATGTCCACTTCCAGATACTACAGAGTGTTTCAAACCTGCACTATGAAAAGGAATGTTCAATTCTGTGACTTGAATGCAAACATCAGAAAGAAGTTCCTGAGAGTGCTTCTCTCTAGATTTTATACGTAATCCCGTTTCTAACGAAATCCACAAAGCTATCCAATTATCCACTTTTAGATTCCACAAAAAGAGTGTTTTAAAACTGCTCTGTAAATAGAAATGTTCAACGCTCTTAGTTGAATACACACATCTCAAACAAGTTTCTGAGAAGGCTTCCGTCTAGTTTTTATGGGAAGATATTTCCTTTTTCACCATAGGCCTCAAAGCGCTCGAAATCTCCACTTCCAGGGAGTGCAGAAAGAGTGTTTCAAACCTGCTCTATAAAAGAATATTTGACTCTGTGACTTGAAAGCAAACATCACAAAGCAGTTTCTGACAATGCTTCCGTCTAGAGTTTTTATGAAGATATTCCCGTTTCCAACGAAATCTTCAAACCTATCGAAATATCAACTTGCAGATTCTACTAAAGGAATGTTTCCAAAATACTGTATCCAAACAAAGGTTCAACTCTGTGAATTGAGGACATACAGCACAAAGAAGTTTCTGAGAATGCTTCTGTCTAGATTTTATATGAAGATATCCCGTTTCCAACGAAATCCTCAAAGCTATCCAAATATCCACTTGCAGATTCTACAAAAAGATTGTTTCAAAACTGCTGTGTCAAAAGGAAGGTTCAACTCTGTTACTTGAGTACACACATCAAAAAGAAGTTTGCTGAGAATGCTTGTTTCTGGTTTTTATGAGAAGATATTTCCTTTTTCACCATAGGCCTCAAAGCGCTGCAAATGTCCACTTCCAAATATTACAAAAAGAGTGTTTCAAACCTGCTCTATGAAAGGAAGTTTTCAGCTCTATGAGTGGAATGCAAACATCACAGAGAAGTTTCGGAGAATGCATTCTGTCTTGAGTTTAAATGAAGAAATTCCCGTTTCCAACGAAATCTTAAAATCTATCCAAATATCCACCTGCAGATTCTACAAAGGGAGTGTTTCCAAAATGCTGTATCAAAACAAAGGTTCAACTGTGTTCGTTTAAGACACACATCACCAATAAGTTTCTGAGAATCCTTCTGTCTAGTTTTTATTTGAAGATATTTCCTTTCTCCCCGTAGGCCTGAAAGCGCTTGAAATGTCCACTTCCAGATACTACAGAAAGAGTGTTTCAAACCTGCACTCTGAAAAGGAATGTTCAATTCTGTGACTTGAATGCAAACATCAGAAAGAAGTTCCTGAGAATGCTTCTCTCTAGATTTTAAACGTAATCCCGTTTCCAACGAAATCCACAAAGCTATCCAATTATCCACTTTCAGATTCCACCAAAAGACTGTTTTAAAACTGCTCTGTAAAAAGAAATGTTCAACGCTCTTAGTTGAATACACACATCTCAAACAAGTTTCTGAGAAGGCTTCTGTCTAGTTTTTATGGGAAGATATTTCCTTTTAACCATAGGCCTCAAAGAGCTCGAAATATCCACTTCCAGGTAGTGCCGAAAGAGTGTTTCAAACCTACTCTATAAAAGGGAATATTCAACTCTGTGACTTGAATGCAAACATCACAAAGCAGTTTCTGAGAATGCTTCCGTCTAGATTTTCTATGAAGATATTCCCGTTTCCAACGAAATCTTCAAAGCTATCTAAATATCAACTTGCAGATTCTACTAAAGGAATGTCTCCAAAATGCTGTATCCAAACAAAGGTTCAGCTCTGTGAATTGAGGACATACAGCACAAAGAAGTTTCTGAGAATGCTCCTGTCTGGATTTTATAGGAAGATAACCCGTTTCCAACGAAATCCTCAAAGCTCTCCAAATATCCACTTGCAGATTCTACCAAAAGAGTGTTTCAAAACTGCTCTGTCAAAAGGAAGGTTCAACACTGTTACTTGAGTACACACAACACAAAGAAGTTTCTGAGAATGCTTCTTTCTGGTTTTTATGAGAAGATATTTCCTTTTTCACCATAGGCCTCAAAGCGCTCGAAATGTCCGCTTCCAGGTAGTGCAGAAAGAGTGTTTCAAACCTGCTCTATGAAAGGAAGTGTTCAACTCTACTGAGTTGAATGCAAACATCACAGAGATGTTTCCGAGAATGCTTCTGTCTTGATTTTATATGAAGATATTCCGGTTTCCAACGAAATCTTCAAAGCTATCCAAATATCCACCTGCAGATTCTACAAAAGGAGTGTTTCCAAAATGCTGTATCAAAACAAAGGTTCAACTCTGTTAGTTGAGGACACACATCACAAATAAGTTTCTGAGAATGCTTCTGTCTAGTTTTTATTTGAAGGTATTTCCTTTCTCTCCATAGGCCTGAAAGCGCTTGAAATGCCCACTTCCAGATACTAGAGAAAGAGTGTTTCAAACCTGCTCTATGAAAGGGAATGTTCAATTCTGTGACTTGAATGCAAACATCACAAAGAAGTTCCTGAGAATGCTTCTCTCTAGATATTATATGTCATCCCGTTTCCAACGAAATCCTCAAAGCTATCCAAATATCCACTTGCAGATTCTACAAAAAGAGTGTTTCAAAACTGCTCTGTCAAAAGGATGGTTCAACACTGTTACATGAGTACACACAACACAAAGAAGTTTCTGAGAATGCTTCTTTCTGGTTTCTATGAGAAGATATTTCCTTTTTCACCATAGGACTCAAAGCGCTCGAAATGTCCTCTTCCAGGTAGTGCAGAAAGAGTGTTTCAAACCGGCTCTATGAAAGGAAGTGTTCAACTCCATGAACTGAATGCAAACATCACTGAGAAGTTTCTGAGAATGCTTCTGTTTGATTTTATATGAAGAAATTCCCGTTTCCAACGAAATCTTCAGAGCTATCCACATATCCACCTGCAGATTCTACAAAAGGAGTGTTTCCAAAATGCTGTATCAAAACCAAAGTTCAACTCTGTTAGTTGAGGACACACATCACAAATAAGTTTCTGAGAATGCTTCTGTCTAGATTTTATATGAAGATATCCCCTTTCCAACGAATCCCTCTAAGCTATCCAAATATCCACCTGCAGATTCTACAAAAAGAGTGTTTCCAAAATGCTGTATCAAAACAAAGTTTCAACTCTGTTAGTTGAGGACACACATCACAAATAAGTTTGAGGATGCTTCTGTCTAGTTTTAATTTGAAGATATTTCCTTTCTCCCCATAGGCCTGAAAGCGCTTGAAATGTCCACTTCCAGATACTACAGAATGAGTGTTTCAAACCTGCTCTATCAAAGTGAATGTTCAATTCTGTGACTTCAATGCAAACATCACAAAGTAGTTCCTGAGAATGCTTCTCTCTAGATTTTATACGTAATCCCGCTTCCAACGAAATCCTCAGAGCCATCCGAATATCCACTTTCTGATTCCACAAAAAGAGTGTTTTAAAACGGCTCTGTAAAAACAAAAGTTCAACTCTGTTAGTTGAATACACACATCACAAACAAGTTTCTGAGAATGCTTCTGTCTAGTTTTTATGGGAAGATATTTCCTTTTTCACCATAGGCCTCAAAGCGCTCGAAATGTCCGCTTCCAGATAGTGCAGAAAGAGTGTTTCAAACGTGCTCTATAAAAGGGAATATTCAACTCTGTGACTTGAATGGAAACATCACAAAGCAGTTTCTGAGAATGCTTCCCTCTAGATTTTATATGGAGATATTCCCTTTTCCAACGAAATCTTCAAATCTATCTAAATATCAACTTGCAGATTCTACTCAAGGAATGTTTCCAAAATGCTGTATCCAGGCAATGGTTCAACTCTGTTAATTGAGGACATACAGCACAAAGAAGTTTCTGAGAATGCTTCTGTCTAGATTTTATATGAAGATATCCCGTTTCCAACGAAATCCTCAAAGCTATCCAAATATCCACTTGCAGATTCTACAAAAAGATTGTTTCAAAACTGCTGTGTCAAAAGGAAGGTTCAACTCTGTTACTTGAGTACACACATCAAAAAGAAGTTTCTGAGAATGCTTGTTTCTGGTTTTTATGAGAAGATATTTCCTTTTTTCACCATAGGCCTCAAAGCGCTGCAAATGTCCACTTCCAAATATTACAAAAAGAGTGTTTCAAACCTGCTCTATGAAAGGAAGTTTTCAACTCTATGAGTGGAATGCAAACATCACAGAGAAGTTTCTGAGAATGCATCTGTCTTGAGTTTCTATGCAGAAATTCCCGTTTCCAACGAAATCTTAAAATCTATCCAAATATCCACCTGCAGATCCTACAAAAGGAGTGTTTCCAAAATGCTGTATCAAAACAAAGGTTCAACTGTGTTCGTTTAGGACACACATCACAAATAAGTTTCTGAGAATCCTTCTGTCTAGTTTTTATTTGAAGATATTTCCTTTCTCCCCGTAGGCCTGAAAGCGCTTGAAATGTCCACTTCCAGATACTACAGAAAGAGTGTTTCAAACCTGCACTCTGAAAAGGAATGTTCAATTACTGTGACTTGAATGCAAACATCAGAAAGAAGTTCCTGAGAATGCTTCTCTCTAGATTTTATACGTCATCCCGTTTCCAACGAAATCCACAAAGCTATCCAATTATCCACTTTCAGATTCCACAGAAAGAGTGTTTTAAAATTGCTCTGTAACAGAAATGTTCAACTCTGGTAGTTGAATACACACATCACAAACAAGTTTCTGAGACGGCTTCTGTCTAGTTTTTATGGGAAGATATTTCCTTTTAACCATAGGCCTCAAAGAGCTCGAAATATCCACTTCCAGGTAGTGCCGAAAGAGTGTTTCAAACCTACTCTATAAAAGGGAATATTCAACTCTGTGACTTGAATGCAAACATCACAAAGCAGTTTCTGAGAATGCTTCCGTCTAGATTTTCTATGAAGATATTCCCGTTTCCAACGAAATCTTCAAAGCTATCTAAATATCAACTTGCAGATTCTACTAAAGGAATGTCTCCAAAATGCTGTATCCAAACAAAGGTTCAGCTCTGTGAATTGAGGACATACAGCACAAAGAAGTTTCTGAGAATGCTCCTGTCTGGATTTTATAGGAAGATAACCCGTTTCCAACGAAATCCTCAAAGCTATCCAAATATCCACTTGCAGATTCTACCAAAAGAGTGTTTCAAAACTACTCTGTCAAAAGGAAGGTTCAACACTGTTACTTGAGTACACACAACACAAAGAAGTTTCTGAGAATGCTTCTTTCTGGTTTTTATGAGAAGATATTTCCTTTTTCACCATAGGCCTCAAAGCGCTCGAAATGTCCGCTTCCAGGTAGTGCAGAAAGAGTGTTTCAAACCTGCTCTATGAAAGGAAGTGTTCAACTCCATGAGCTGAATGCAAACATCACAGAGAAGTTTCTGAGAATGCTTCTGTCTTGATTTTATATGAAGATATTCCGGTTTCCAACGAAATCTTCAAAGCTATCCAAATATCCACCTGCAGATTCTACAAAAGG
This sequence comes from Homo sapiens, assembly GCF_000001405.40. NCBI lineage: Eukaryota > Metazoa > Chordata > Mammalia > Primates > Hominidae > Homo > Homo sapiens. The sequence goes on along the minus strand of NC_000004.12, from coordinate 51,392,958 downwards.
AGTGTTTCCAAAATGCTGTATCAAAACAAAGGTTCAACTCTGTTAGTTGAGGACACACATCACAAATAAGTTTCTGAGAATGCTTCTGTCTAGTTTTTATTTGAAGGTATTTCCTTTCTCTCCATAGGCCTGAAAGCGCTTGAAATGCCCACTTCCAGATACTAGAGAAAGAGTGTTTCAAACCTGCTCTATGAAAGGGAATGTTCAATTCTGTGACTTGAATGCAAACATCACAAAGAAGTTCCTGAGAATGCTTCTGTCTAGATTTAATATGAAGATAACCCGTTTCCAACGAAATCCTCAAAGCTATCCAAATATCCACTGGCAGATTCTACAAAAAGAGTGTTTCAAAACTGCTCTGTCAAAAGGATGGTTCAACACTGTTACATGAGTACACACAACACAAAGAAGTTTCTGAGAACGCTTCTTTCTGGTTTCTATGAGAAGATATTTCCTTTTTCACCATAGGACTCAAAGCGCTCGAAATGTCCTCTTCCAGGTAGTGCAGAAAGAGTGTTTCAAACCTGCTCTATGAAAGGAAGTGTACAACTCCATGAGCTGAATGCAAACATCACTGAGAAGTTTCTGAGAATGCTTCTGTTTGATTTTATATGAAGAAATTCCCGTTTCCAACGAAATCTTCAGAGCTATCCACATATCCACCTGCAGATTCTACAAAAGGAGAGTTTCCAAAATGCTGTATCAAAACCAAGGTTCAACTCTGTTAGTTGAGGACACACATCACAAATAAGTTTCTGAGAATGCTTCTGTCTAGATTTTATATGAAGATATCCCCTTTCCAACGAATCCCTCTAAGCTATCCAAATATCCACCTGCAGATTCTACAAAAAGAGTGTTTCCAAAATGCTGTATCAAAAGAAAGTTTCAACTCTGTTAGTTGAGGACACACATCACAAATAAGTTTGAGGATGCTTCTGTCTAGTTTTTATTCGAAGATATTTCCTTTCTCACCATAGGCCTGAAAGCGCTTGAAATGTCCACTTCCAGATACTACAGAATGAGTGTTTCAAACCTGCTCTATCAAAGTGAATGTTCAATTCTGTGACTTCAATGCAAACATCACAAAGAAGTTCCTGAGAATGCTTCTCTCTAGATTTTATATGTAATCCCGCTTCCAACGAAATCCTCAGAGCCATCCGAATATCCACTTTCTGATTCCACAAAAAGAGTGTTTTAAAACGGCTCTGTAAAAACAAAAGTTCAACTCTGTTAGTTGAATACACACATCACAAACAAGTTTCTGAGAATGCTTCTGTCTAGTTTTTATGGGAAGATATTTCCTTTTTCACCATAGGCCTCAAAGCGCTCGAAATGTCCACTTCCAGATAGCGCAGAAAGAGTGTTTCAAACGTGCTCTATAAAAGGGAATATTCAACTCTGTGACTTGAATGGAAACATCACAAAGCAGTTTCTGAGAATGCTTCCCTCTAGGATTTTATATGGAGATATTCCCTTTTCCAACGAAATCTTCAAATCTATCTAAATATCAACTTGCAGATTCTACTCAAGGAATGTTTCCAAAATGCTGTATCCAGGCAATGGTTCAACTCTGTTAATTGAGGACATACAGCACAAAGAAGTTTCTGAGAATGCTTCTGTCTAGATTTTATATGAAGATATCCCGTTTCCAACGAAATCCTCAAAGCTATCCAAATATCCACTTGCAGATTCTACAAAAAGATTGTTTCAAAACTGCTGTGTCAAAAGGAAGGTTCAACTCTGTTACTTGAGTACACACATCAAAAAGAAGTTTCTGAGAATGCTTGTTTCTGGTTTTTATGAGAAGATATTTCCTTTTTCACCATAGGCCTCAAAGCGCTGCAAATGTCCACTTCCAAATATTACAAAAAGAGTGTTTCAAACCTGCTCTATGAAAGGAAGTTTTCAACTCTATGAGTGGAATGCAAACATCACAGAGAAGTTTCTGAGAATGCATCTGTCTTGAGCTTCTATGAAGAAATTCCCGTTTCCAACGAAATCTTAAAATCTATCCAAATATCCACCTGCAGATCCTACAAAAGGAGTGTTTCCAAAATGCTGTATCAAAACAAAGGTTCAACTGTGTTCGTTTAGGACACACATCACAAATAAGTTTCTGAGAATCCTTCTGTCTAGTTTTTATTTGAAGATATTTCCTTTCTCCCCGTAGGCCTGAAAGCGCTTGAAATGTCCACTTCCAGATACTACAGAAAGAGTGTTTCAAACCTGCACTCTGAAAAGGAATGTTCAATTCTGTGACTTGAATGCAAACATCAGAAAGAAGTTCCTGAGAATGCTTCTCTCTAGATTTTATACGTCATCCCGTTTCCAACGAAATCCACAAAGCTATCCAATTATCCACTTTCAGATTCCACAAAGAGTGTTTTAAAATTGCTCTGTAACAGAAATGTTCAACTCTGTTAGTTGAATACACACATCACAAACAAGTTTCTGAGACGGCTTCTGTCTAGTTTTTATGGGAAGATATTTCCTTTTAACCATAGGCCTCAAAGAGCTCGAAATATCCACTTCCAGGTAGTGCCGAAAGAGTGTTTCAAACCTACTCTATAAAAGGGAATATTCAACTCCTGTGACTTGAATGCAAACATCACAAAGCAGTTTCTGAGAATGCTTCCGTCTAGATTTTATATGAAGATATTCCCGTTTCCAACGAAATCTTTAAAGCTATCTACATATCAACTTGCAGATTCTACTCAAGGAATGTTTCCAAAATGCTGTATCCAAGCCATGGTTCAACTCTGTGAATTGAGGACATACAGCACAAAGAAGTTTCTGAGAATGCTTCCTGTCTGGATTTTATATGAAGATAACCCGTTTCCAACGAAATCCTCAAAGCTATCCAAATATCCACTTGCAGATTCTACCAAAAGAGTGTTTCAAAACTGCTCTGTCAAAAGGAAGGTTCAACACTGTTACTTGAGTACACACAACACAAAGAAGTTTCTGACAATGCTTCTTTCTGGTTTTTATGAGAAGATATTTCCTTTTTCACCATAGGCCTCAAAGCGCTCGAAATGTCCGCTTCCAGGTAGTGCAGAAAGAGTGTTTCAAACCTGCTCTATGAAAGGAAGTGTTCAACTCTACTGAGTTGAATGCAAACATCACAGAGATGTTTCCGAGAATGCTTCTGTCTTGGTTTTATATGAAGATATTCCGGTTTCCAACGAAATCTTCAAAGCTATCCAAATATCCACCTGCAGATTCTACAAAAGGAGTGTTTCCAAAATGCTGTATCAAAACAAAGGTTCAACTCTGTTAGTTGAGGACACACATCACAAATAAGTTTCTGAGGATGCTTCTGTCTAGTTTTTATTTGAAGGTATTTCCTTTCTCTCCATAGGCCTGAAAGCGCTTGAAATGCCCACTTCCAGATACTAGAGAAAGAGTGTTTCAAACCTGCTCTATGAAAGGGAATGTTCAATTCTGTGACTTGAATGCAAACATCACAAAGAAGTTCCTGAGAATGCTTCTGTCTAGATTTAATATGAAGATAACCCGTTTCCAACGAAATCCTCAAAGCTATCCAAATATCCACTTGCAGATTCTACAAAAAGAGTGTTTCAAAACTCCTCTGTCAAAAGGATGGTTCAACACTGTTACATGAGTACACACAACACAAAGAAGTTTCTGAGAACGCTTCTTTCTGGTTTTTATGAGAAGATATTTCCCTTTTCACCATAGGCCTCAAAGCGCTCCAAATGTCCACTTCCTGGTAGTGCAGAAAGAGTGTTTCAAACCTGCTCTATGAAAGGAAGTGTTCAACTCCATGAGCTGAATGCAAACATCACAGAGAAGTTTCTGAGAATTCTTCTGTTTGATTTTATATGAAGAAATTCCCGTTTTCAACGAAATCTTCAAAGCTATCCACATATCCACCTGCAGATTCTACAAAAGGAGTGTTTCCAAAATGCTGTATCAAAACCAAGGTTCAACTCTGTTAGTTGAGGACACACATCACAAATAAGTTTCTGAGAATGCTTCTGTCTAGATTTTATATGAAGATATCCCCTTTCCAACGAATCCCTCTAAGCTATCCAAATATCCACCTGCAGATTCTACAAAAAGAGTGTTTCCAAAATGCTGTATCAAAACAAAGTTTCAAGTCTGTTAGTTGAGGACACACATCACAAATAAGTTTGAGGATGCTTCTGTCTAGTTTTTATTTGAAGATATTTCCTTTCTCACCATAGGCCTGAAAGCGCTTGAAATGTCCACTTCCAGATCCTACAGAATGAGTGTTTCAAACCTGCTCTATCAAAGTGAATGTTCAATTCTGTGACTTCAATGCAAACATCACAAAGAAGTTCCTGAGAATGCTTCTCTCTAGATTTTATATGTAATCCCGCTTCCAACGAAATCCTCAGAGCCATCCGAATATCCACTTTCTGATTCCACAAAAAGAGTGTTTTAAAACGGCTCTGTAAAAACAAAAGTTCAACTCTGTTAGTTGAATACACACATCACAAACAAGTTTCTGAGAATGCTTCTGTCTAGTTTTTATGGGAAGATATTTCCTTTTTCACCATAGGCCTCAAAGCGCTCGAAATGTCCGCTTCCAGATAGTGCAGAAAGAGTGTTTCAAACGTGCTCTATAAAAGGGAATATTCAACTCTGTGACTTGAATGGAAACATCACAAAGCAGTTTCTGAGAATGCTTCCGTCTAGATTTTATATGAAGATATTCCCGTTTCCAACGAAATCTTCAAATCTATCTAAATATCAACTTGCAGATTCTACTAAAGGAATGTTTCCAAAATGCTGTATCCAAGCAATGGTTCAACTCTGTTAATTGAGGACATACAGCACAAAGAAGTTTCTGAGAATGCTTCTGTCTAGATTTTATATGAAGATATCCCGTTTCCAACGAAATCCTCAAAGCTATCCAAATATCCACTTGCAGATTCTACAAAAAGATTGTTTCAAAACTGCTGTGTCAAGAGGAAGGTTCAACTCTGTTACTTGAGTACACACATCAAAAAGAAGTTTCTGAGAATGCTTGTTTCTGGTTTTTATGAGAAGATATTTCCTTTTTCACCATAGGCCTCAAAGCGCTGCAAATGTCCACTTCCAAATATTACAAAAAGAGTGTTTCAAACCTGCTCTATGAAAGGAAGTTTTCAACTCTATGAGTGGAATGCAAACATCACAGAGAAGTTTCGGAGAATGCATCTGTCTTGAGTTTATATGAAGAAATTCCCGTTTCCAATGAAATCTTAAAATCTATCCAAATATCCACCTGCAGATTCTACAAAAGGAGTGTTTCCAAAATGCTGTATCAAAACAAAGGTTCAACTGTGTTCGTTTAGGACACACATCACAAATAAGTTTCTGAGAATCCTTCTGTCTAGTTTTTATTTCAAGATATTTCCTTTCTCCCCATAGGCTTGAAAGCGCTTGAAATGTCCACTTCCAGATACTACAGAGTGTTTCAAACCTGCACTATGAAAAGGAATGTTCAATTCTGTGACTTGAATGCAAACATCAGAAAGAAGTTCCTGAGAATGCTTCTCTCTAGATTTTAAACGTCATCCCGTTTCCAACGAAATCCACAAAGCTATCCAATTATCCACTTTCAGATTCCACCAAAAGACTGTTTTAAAACTGCTCTGTAAAAAGAAATGTTCAACGCTCTTAGTTGAATACACACATCTCAAACAAGTTTCTGAGAAGGCTTCTGTCTAGTTTTTATGGGAAGATATTTCCTTTTAACCATAGGCCTCAAAGAGCTCGAAATATCCACTTCCAGGTAGTGCCGAAAGAGTGTTTCAAACCTACTCTATAAAAGGGAATATTCAACTCTGTGACTTGAATGCAAACATCACAAAGCAGTTTCTGAGAATGCTTCCGTCTAGATTTTCTATGAAGATATTCCCGTTTCCAACGAAATCTTCAAAGCTATCTAAATATCAACTTGCAGATTCTACTAAAGGAATGTCTCCAAAATGCTGTATCCAAACAAAGGTTCAGCTCTGTGAATTGAGGACATACAGCACAAAGAAGTTTCTGAGAATGCTTCTGTCTAGATTTAATATGAAGATAACCCGTTTCCAACGAAATCCTCAAAGCTATCCAAATATCCACTTGCAGATTCTACAAAAAGAGTGTTTCAAAACTGCTCTGTCAAAAGGATGGTTCAACACTGTTACATGAGTACACACAACACAAAGAAGTTTCTGAGAACGCTTCTTTCTGGTTTTTATGAGAAGATATTTCCTTTTTCACCATAGGCCTCAAAGAGCTCGAAATGTCCGCTTCCAGGTAGGGCAGAAAGAGTGTTTCAAACCTGCTCTATGAAAGGAAGTGTTCAACTCTACTGAGTTGAATGCAAACATCACAGAGATGTTTCCGAGAATGCTTCTGTCTTGATTTTATATGAAGATATTCCGGTTTCCAACGAAATCTTCAAAGCTATCCAAATATCCACCTGCAGATTCTACAAAAGGAGTGTTTCCAAAATGCTGTATCAAAACAAAGGTTCAACTCTGTTAGTTGAGGACACACATCACAAATAAGTTTCTGAGAATGCTTCTGTCTAGTTTTTATTTGAAGGTATTTCCTTTCTCTCCATAGGCCTGAAAGCGCTTGAAATGCCCACTTCCAGATACTAGAGAAAGAGTGTTTCAAACCTGCTCTATGAAAGGGAATGTTCAATTCTGTGACTTGAATGCAAACATCACAAAGAAGTTCCTGAGAATGCTTCTCTCTAGATATTATATGTCATCCCGTTTCCAACGAAATCCTCAAAGCTATCCAAATATCCACTTGCAGATTCTACAAAAAGAGTGTTTCAAAACTCCTCTGTCAAAAGGATGGTTCAACACTGTTACATGAGTACACACAACACAAAGAAGTTTCTGAGAATGCTTCTTTCTGGTTTCTATGAGAAGATATTTCCTTTTTCACCATAGGACTCAAAGCGCTCGAAATGTCCTCTTCCAGGTAGTGCAGAAAGAGTGTTTCAAACCTGCTCTATGAAAGGAAGTGTACAACTCCATGAGCTGAATGCAAACATCACTGAGAAGTTTCTGAGAATGCTTCTGTTTGATTTTATATGAAGAAATTCCCGTTTCCAACGAAATCTTCAAAGCTATCCACATATCCACCTGCAGATTCTACAAAAGGAGTGTTTCCAAAATGCTGTATCAAAACCAAGGTTCAACTCTGTTAGTTGAGGACACACATCACAAATAAGTTTCTGAGAATGCTTCTGTCTAGATTTTATATGAAGATATCCCCTTTCCAACGAATCCCTCTAAGGTATCCAAATATCCACCTGCAGATTCTACAAAGGGAGTGTTTCCAAAATGCTGTATCAAAACAAAGGTTCAACTGTGTTCGTTTAGGACACACATCACCAATAAGTTTCTGAGAATCCTTCTGTCTAGTTTTTATTCGAAGATATTTCCTTTCTCACCATAGGCCTGAAAGCGCTTGAAATGTCCACTTCCAGATACTACAGAATGAGTGTTTCAAACCTGCTCTATCAAAGTGAATGTTCAATTCTGTGACTTCAATGCAAACATCAGAAAGAAGTTCCTGAGAATGCTTCTCTCTAGATTTTATACGTAATCCCGCTTCCAACGAAATCCTCAGAGCCATCCGAATATCCACTTTCTGATTCCACAAAAAGAGTGTTTTAAAACGGCTCTGTAAAAACAAAAGATCAACTCTGTTAGTTGAATACACACATCACAAACAAGTTTCTGAGAATGCTTCTGTCTAGTTTTTATGGGAAGATATTTCCTTTTTCACCATAGGCCTCAAAGCGCTCGAAATGTCCGCTTCCAGATAGTGCAGAAAGAGTGTTTCAAACGTGCTCTATAAAAGGGAATATTCAACTCTGTGACTTGAATGGAAACATCACAAAGCAGTTTCTGAGAATGCTTCCCTCTAGATTTTATATGGAGATATTCCCTTTTCCAACGAAATCTTCAAATCTATCTAAATATCAACTTGCAGATTCTACTCAAGGAATGTTTCCAAAATGCTGTATGCAAGCAATGGTTCAACTCTGTTAATTGAGGTCATACAGCACAAAGAAGTTTCTGAGAATGCTTCTGTCTAGATTTTATATGAAGATATCCCGTTTCCAACGAAATCCTCAAAGCTATCCAAATATCCACTTGCAGATTCTACAAAAAGATTGTTTCAAAACTGCTGTGTCAAAAGGAAGGTTCAACTCTGTTACTTGAGTACACACATCAAAAAGAAGTTTCTGAGAATGCTTGTTTCTGGTTTTTATGAGAAGATATTTCCTTTTTCACCATAGGCCTCAAAGCGCTGCAAATGTCCACTTCCAAATATTACAAAAAGAGTGTTTCAAACCTGCTCTATGAAAGGAAGTTTTCAACTCTATGAGTGGAATGCAAACATCACAGAGAAGTTTCTGAGAATGCATCTGTCTTGAGTTTCTATGCAGAAATTCCCGTTTCCAATGAAATCTTAAAATCTATCCAAATATCCACCTGCAGATTCTACAAAAGGAGTGTTTCCAAAATGCTGTATCAAAACAAAGGTTCAACTGTGTTCGCTTAGGACACACATCACAAATAAGTTTCTGAGAATCCTTCTGTCTAGTTTTTATTTGAAGATATTTCCTTTCTCCCCATAGGCCTGAAAGCGCTTGAAATGTCCACTTCCAGAAACTACAGAAAGAGTGTTTCAAACCTGCACTCTGAAAAGGAATGTCAATTCTGTGACTTGAATGCAAACATCAGAAAGAAGTTCCTGAGAATGCTTCTCTCTAGATTTTATACGTCATCCCGTTTCCAACGAAATCCACAAAGCTACCCAATTATCCACTTTCAGATTCCACAAAAAGAGTGTTTTAAAATTGCTCTGTAACAGAAATGTTCAACTCTGTTAGTTGAATACACACATCACAAACAAGTTTCTGAGACGGCTTCTGTCTAGTTTTTATGGGAAGATATTTCCTTTTAACCATAGGCCTCAAAGAGCTCGAAATATCCACTTCCAGGTAGTGCCGAAAGAGTGTTTCAAACCTACTCTATAAAAGGGAATATTCAACTCTGTGACTTGAATGCAAACATCACAAAGCAGTTTCTGAGAATGCTTCCGTCTAGATTTTCTATGAAGATATTCCCGTTTCCAACGAAATCTTCAAAGCTATCTAAATATCAACTTGCAGATTCTACTAAAGGAATGTCTCCAAAATGCTGTATCCAAACAAAGGTTCAGCTCTGTGAATTGAGGACATACAGCACAAAGAAGTTTCTGAGAATGCTCCTGTCTGGATTTTATATGAAGATAACCCGTTTCCAACGAAATCCTCAAAGCTATCCAAATATCCACTTGCAGATTCTACCAAAAGAGTGTTTCAAACCTGCTCTGTCAAAAGGAAGGTTCAACACTGTTACTTGAGTACACACAACACAAAGAAGTTTTTGAGAATGCTTCTTTCTGGTTTTTATGAGAAGATATTTCCTTTTTCACCATAGGCCTCAAAGCGCTCGAAATGTCCGCTTCCAGGTAGTGCAGAAAGAGTGTTTCAAACCTGCTCTATGAAAGGAAGTGTTCAACTCCATGAGCTGAATGCAAACATCACAGAGAAGTTTCTGAGAATGCTTCTGTCTTGATTTTATATGAAGATATTCCGGTTTCCAACGAAATCTTCAAAGCTATCCAAATATCCACCTGCAGATTCTACAAAAGGAGTGTTTCCAAAATGCTGTATCAAAACAAAGGTTCAACTCTGTTAGTTGAGGACACACATCACAAATAAGTTTCTGAGAATGCTTCTGTCTAGTTTTTATTTGAAGGTATTTCCTTTCTCTCCATAGGCCTGAAAGCGCTTGAAATGCCCACTTCCAGATACTAGAGAAAGAGTGTTTCAAACCTGCTCTATGAAAGGGAATGTTCAATTCTGTGACTTGAATGCAAACATCACAAAGAAGTTCCTGAGAATGCTTCTCTCTAGATATTATATGTCATCCCGTTTCCAACGAAATCCTCAAAGCTATCCAAATATCCACTTGCAGATTCTACAAAAAGAGTGTTTCAAAACTGCTCTGTCAAAAGGATGGTTCAACACTGTTACATGAGTACACACAACACAAAGAAGTTTCTGAGAATGCTTCTTTCTGGTTTCTATGAGAAGATATTTCCATTTTTCACCATAGGACTCAAAGCGCTCGAAATGTCCTCTTCCAGGTAGTGCAGAAAGAGTGTTTCAAACCTGCTCTATGAAAGGAAGTGTACAACTCCATGAGCTGAATGCAAACATCACTGAGAAGTTTCTAAGAATGCTTCTGTTTGATTTTATATGAAGAAATTCCCGTTTCCAACGAAATCTTCAAAGCTATCCACATATACACCTGCAGATTCTACAAAAGGAGTGTTTCCAAACTGCTGTATCAAAACCAAGGTTCAACTCTGTTAGTTGAGGACACACATCACAAATAAGTTTCTGAGAATGCTTCTGTCTAGATTTTATATGAAGATATCCCCTTTCCAACGAATCCCTCTAAGCTATCCAAATATCCACCTGCAGATTCTACAAAAAGAGTGTTTCCAAAATGTGGTAGCAAAACAAAGTTTCAACTCTGTTAGTTGAGGACACACATCACAAATAAGTTTCTGAGGATGCTTCTGTCTAGTTTTTATTAGAAGATATTCCCTTTCTCACCATAGGCCTGAAAGCGCTTGAAATGTCCACTTCCAGATATTACAGAATGAGTGTTTCAAACCTGCTCTATCAAAGTGAATGTTCAATTCTGTGACTTCAATGCAAACATCACAAAGAAGTTCCTGAGAATGCTTCTCTCTAGATTTTATATGTAATCCCGCTTCCAACGAAATCCTCAAAGCCATCCGAATATCCACTTTCTGATTCCACAAAAAGAGTGTTTTAAAACTGCTCTGTAAAAACAAAAGTTCAAGTCTGTTAGTTGAATACACACATCACAAACAAGTTTCTGAGAATGCTTCTGTCTAGTTTTTATGGGAAGATATTTCCTTTTTCACCATAGGCCTCAAAGCGCTCGAAATGTCCACTTCCAGATAGTGCAGAAAGAGTGTTTCAAACGTGCTCTATAAAAGAGAATATTCAACTCTGTGACTTGAATGGAAACATCACAAAGCAGTTTCTGAGAGTGCCTCCGTCTAGATTTTTTATGAAGATATTCCCGTTTCCAACGAAATCTTCAAATCTATCTAAATATCAACTTACAGATTCTACTAAAGGAATGTTTCCAAAATGCTATATCCAAGCAATGGTTCAACTCTGTTAATTGAGGACATACAGCACAAAGAAGTTTCTGAGAATGCTTCTGTCTAGATTTTATATGAAGATATCCCGTTTCCAACGAAATCCTCAAAGCTATCCAAATATCCACTTGCAGATCCTACAAAAAGATTGTTTCAAAACTGCTGTGTCAAAAGGAAGGTTCAACTCTGTTACTTGAGTACACACATCAAAAAGAAGTTTCTGAGAATGCTTGTTTCTGGTTTTTATGAGAAGATATTTCCTTTTTCACCATAGGCCTCAAAGCGCTGCAAATGTCCACTTCCAAATATTACAAAAAGAGTGTTTCAAACCTGCTCTATGAAAGGAAGTTTTCAACTCTATGAGTGGAATGCAAACATCACAGAGAAGTTTCTGAGAATGCATCTGTCTTGAGTTTATATGCAGAAATTCCCGTTTCCAACGAAATCTTAAAATCTATCCAAATATCCACCTGCAGATCCTACAAAAGGAGTGTTTCCAAAATGCTGTATCAAAACAAAGGTTCAACTGTGTTCGTTTAGGACACACATCACAAATAAGTTTCTGAGAATCCTTCTGTCTAGTTTTTATTTGAAGATATTTCCTTTCTCCCCGTAGGCCTGAAAGCGCTTGAAATGTCCACTTCCAGATACTACAGAAAGAGTGTTTCAAACCTGCACTCTGAAAAGGAATGTTCAATTCTGTGACTTGAATGCAAACATCAGAAAGAAGTTCCTGAGAATGCTTCTCTCTAGATTTTATACGTCATCCCGTTTCCAACGAAATCCACAAAGCTACCCAATTATCCACTTTCAGATTCCACAAAAAGAGTGTTTTAAAATTGCTCTGTAACAGAAATGTTCAACTCTGTTAGTTGAATACACACATCACAAACAAGTTTCTGAGACGGCTTCCGTCTAGTTTTTATGGGAAGATATTTCCTTTTTCACCATAGGCCTCAAAGAGCTCGAAATCTCCACTTCCAGGGAGTGCAGAAAGAGTGTTTCAAACCTGCTCTGTAAAAGAATATTTAACTCTGTGACTTGAATGCAAACATCACAAAGCAGTTTCTGACAATGCTTCCGTCTAGATTTTATATGAAGATATTCCCGTTTCCAACGAAATCTTCAATGCTATCTAAATATCAACTTGCAGATTCTACTAAAGGAATGTTTCCAAAATGCTGTATCCAAGCAATGGTTCAACTCTGTTAATTGAGGACATACAGCACAAAGAAGTTTCTGAGAATGCTTCTGTCTAGATTTTATATGAAGATATCCCGTTTCCAACGAAATCCTCAAAGCTATCCAAATATCCACTTGCAGATTCTACAAAAAGATTGTTTCAAAACTGCTGTGTCAAAAGGAAGGTTCAACTCTGTTACTTGAGTACACACATCAAAAAGCAGTTTCTGAGAATGCTTGTTTCTGGTTTTTATGAGAAGATATTTCCTTTTTCACCATAGGCCTCAAAGCGCTGCAAATGTCCACTTCCAAATATTACAGAAAGAGTGTTTCAAACCTGTTCTATGAAAGGAAGTTTTCAACTCTATGAGTGGAATGCAAACATCACAGAGAAGTTTCTGAGAATGCATCTGTCTTGAGTTTATATGAAGAAATTCCCGTTTCCAACGAAATCTTAAAATCTATCCAAATATCCACCTGCAGATTCTACAAAGGGAGTGTTTCCAAAATGCTGTATCAAAACAAAGGTTCAACTGTGTTCGTTTAGGACACACATCACCAATAAGTTTCTGAGAATCCTTCTGTCTAGTTTTTATTTGAAGATATTTCCTTTCTCCCCATAGGCCTGAAAGCGCTGGAAATGTCCACTTCCAGATAGTACAGAAAGAGTGTTTCAAACCTGCACTATGAAAAGGAATGTTCAATTCTGTGACTTGAATGCAAACATCAGAAAGAAGTTCCTGAGAATGCTTCTCTCTAGATTTTATACGTCATCCCGTTTCCAACGAAATCCACAAAGCTATCCAATTATCCACTTTCAGATTCCACAAAGAGTGTTTTAAAATTGCTCTGTAACAGAAATGTTCAACTCTGTTAGTTGAATACACACATCACAAACAAGTTTCTGAGACGGCTTCTGTCTAGTTTTTATGGGAAGATATTTCCTTTTAACCATAGGCCTCAAAGAGCTCGAAATATCCACTTCCAGGTAGTGCCGAAAGAGTGTTTCAAACCTACTCTATAAAAGGGAATATTCAACTCTGTGACTTGAATGCAAACATCACAAAGCAGTTTCTGAGAATGCTTCCGTCTAGATTTTCTATGAAGATATTCCCGTTTCCAACGAAATCTTCAAAGCTATCTAAATATCAACTTGCAGATTCTACTAAAGGAATGTCTCCAAAATGCTGTATCCAAACAAAGGTTCAGCTCTGTGAATTGAGGACATACAGCACAAAGAAGTTTCTGAGAATGCTCCTGTCTGGATTTTATATGAAGATAACCCGTTTCCAACGAAATCCTCAAAGCTATCCAAATATCCACTTGCAGATTCTACCAAAAGAGTGTTTCAAAACTGCTCTGTCAAAAGGAAGGTTCAACACTGTTACTTGAGTACACACAACACAAAGAAGTTTCTGAGAATGCTTCTTTCTGGTTTTTATGAGAAGATATTTCCTTTTTCACCATAGGCCTCAAAGCGCTCGAAATGTCCGCTTCCAGGTAGTGCAGAAAGAGTGTTTCAAACCTGCTCTATGAAAGGAAGTGTTCAACTCTACTGAGTTGAATGCAAACATCACAGAGATGTTTCCGAGAATGCTTCTGTCTTGATTTTATATGAAGATATTCCGGTTTCCAACGAAATCTTCAAAGCTATCCAAATATCCACCTGCAGATTCTACAAAAGGAGTGTTTCCAAAATGCTGTATCAAAACAAAGGTTCAACTCTGTTATTTGAGGTCACACATCACAAATAAGTTTCTGAGAATGCTTCTGTCTAGTTTTTATTTGAAGGTATTTCCTTTCTCTCCATAGGCCTGAAAGCGCTTGAAATGCCCACTTCCAGATACTAGAGAAAGAGTGTTTCAAACCTGCTCTATGAAAGGGAATGTTCAATTCTGTGACTTGAATGCAAACATCACAAAGAAGTTCCTGAGAATGCTTCTCTCTAGATATTATATGTCATCCCGTTTCCAACGAAATCCTCAAAGCTATCCAAATATCCACTTGCAGATTCTACAAAAAGAGTGTTTCAAAACTCCTCTGTCAAAAGGATGGTTCAACACTGTTACATGAGTACACACAACACAAAGAAGTTTCTGAGAATGCTTCTTTCTGGTTTCTATGAGAAGATATTTCCTTTTTCACCATAGGACTCAAAGCGCTCGAAATGTCCTCTTCCAGGTAGTGCAGAAAGAGTGTTTCAAACCTGCTCTATGAAAGGAAGTGTTCAACTCCATGAGCTGAATGCAAACATCACTGAGAAGTTTCTGAGAATGCTTCTGTTTGATTTTATATGAAGAAATTCCCGTTTCCAACGAAATCTTCAAAGCTATCCACATATCCACCTGCAGATTCTTCAAAAGGAGTGTTTCCAAAATGCTGTATCAAAACCAAGGTTCAACTCTGTTAGTTGAGGACACACATCACAAATAAGTTTCTGAGAATGCTTCTGTCTACATTTTATATGAAGATATCCCCTTTCCAACGAATCCCTCTAAGCTATCCAAGTATCCACCTGCAGATTCTACAAAAAGAGTGTTTCCAAAATGCTGTATCAAAACAAAGTTTCAACTCTGTTAGTTGAGGACACACATCACAAATAAGTTTCTGAGGATGCTTCTGTCTAGTTTTTATTTGAAGATATTTCCTTTCTCACCATAGGCCTGAAAGCGCTTGAAATGTCCACTTCCAGATACTACAGAATGAGTGTTTCAAACCTGTTCTATCAAAGTGAATGTTCAATTCTGTGACTTCAATGCAAACATCACAAAGTAGTTCCTGAGAATGCTTCTCTCTAGATTTTATACGTAATCCCGCTTCCAACGAAATCCTCAGAGCCATCCGAATATCCACTTTCTGATTCCACAAAAAGATTGTTTTAAAACTGCTCTGTAAAAACAAAAGTTCAAGTCTGTTAGTTGAATACACACATCACAAACAAGTTTCTGAGAATGCTTCTGTCTAGTTTTTATGGGAAGATATTTCCTTTTTCACCATAGGCCTCAAAGCGCTCGAAATGTCCACTTCCAGATGGTGCAGAAAGAGTGTTTCAAACGTGCTCTATAAAAGAGAATATTCAACTCTGTGACTTGAATGGAAACATCACAAAGCAGTTTCTGAGAATGCCTCCGTCTAGATTTTATATGAAGGTATTCCCGTTTCCAACGAAATCTTCAAATCTATCTAAATATCAACTTGCAGATTCTACTAAAGGAATGTTTCCAAAATGCTGTATCCAAGCAATGGTTCAACTCTGTTAATTGAGGACATACAGCACAAAGAAGTTTCTGAGAATGCTTCTGTCTAGATTTTATATGAAGATATCCCGTTTCCAACGAAATCCTCAAAGCTATCCAAATATCCACTTGCAGATTCTACAAAAAGATTGTTTCAAAACTGCTGTGTCAAAAGGAAGGTTCAACTCTGTTACTTGAGTACACACATCAAAAAGCAGTTTCTGAGAATGCTTGTTTCTGGTTTTTATGAGAAGATATTTCCTTTTTCACCATAGGCCTCAAAGCGCTGCAAATGTCCACTTCCAAATATTACAAAAAGAGTGTTTCAAACCTGCTCTATGAAAGGAAGTTTTCAACTCTGTGAGTGGAATGCAAACATCACAGAGAAGTTTCTGAGAATGCATCTGTCTTGAGCTTCTATGAAGAAATTCCCGTTTCCAACGAAATCTTAAAATCTATCCAAATATCCACCTGCAGATCCTACAAAAGGAGTGTTTCCAAAATGCTGTATCAAAACAAAGGTTCAACTGTGTTCGTTTAGGACACACATCACAAATAAGTTTCTGAGAATCCTTCTGTCTAGTTTTTATTTGAAGATATTTCCTTTCTCCCCATAGGCCTGAAAGCGCTTGAAATGTCCACTTCCAGATACTACAGAAAGAGTGTTTCAAACCTGCACTATGAAAAGGAATGTTCAATTCTGTGACTTGAATGCAAACATCAGAAAGAAGTTCCTGAGAATGCTTCTCTCTAGATTTTATACGTCATCCCGTTTCCAACGAAATCCACAAAGCTATCCAATTATCCACTTTCAGATTCCACAAAAAGAGTGTTTTAAAATTGCTCTGTAACAGAAATGTTCAACTCTGGTAGTTGAATACACACATCACAAACAAGTTTCTGAGACGGCTTCTGTCTAGTTTTTATGGGAAGATATTTCCTTTTAACCATAGGCCTCAAAGAGCTCGAAATATCCACTTCCAGGTAGTGCCGAAAGAGTGTTTCAAACCTACTCTATAAAAGGGAATATTCAACTCTGTGACTTGAATGCAAACATCACAAAGCAGTTTCTGAGAATGCTTCCGTCTAGATTTTCTATGAAGATATTCCCGTTTCCAACGAAATCTTCAAAGCTATCTAAATATCAACTTGCAGATTCTACTAAAGGAATGTCTCCAAAATGCTGTATCCAAACAAAGGTTCAGCTCTGTGAATTGAGGACATACAGCACAAAGAAGTTTCTGAGAATGCTCCTGTCTGGATTTTATATGAAGATAACCCGTTTCCAACGAAATCCTCAAAGCTATCCAAATATCCACTTGCAGATTCTACCAAAAGAGTGTTTCAAAACTGCTCTGTCAAAAGGAAGGTTCAACACTGTTACTTGAGTACACACAACACAAAGAAGTTTCTGAGAATGCTTCTTTCTGGTTTTTATGAGAAGATATTTCCTTTTTCACCATAGGCCTCAAAGCGCTCGAAATGTCCGCTTCCAGGTAGTGCAGAAAGAGTGTTTGAAACCTGCTCTATGAAAGGAAGTGTTCAACTCTACTGAGTTGAATGCAAACATCACAGAGATGTTTCCGAGAATGCTTCTGTCTTGATTTTATATGAAGATATTCCGGTTTCCAACGAAATCTTCAAAGCTATCCAAATATCCACCTGCAGATTCTACAAAAGGAGTGTTTCCAAAATGCTGTATCAAAACAAAGGTTCAACTCTGTTAGTTGAGGACACACATCACAAATAAGTTTCTGAGAATGCTTCTGTCTAGATTTTATATGAAGATATCCCCTTTCCAACGAATCCCTCTAAGCTATCCAAATATCCACCTGCAGATTCTACAAAAAGAGTGTTTCCAAAATGCTGTATCAAAACAAAGTTTTAACTCTGTTAGTTGAGGACACACATCACAAATAAGTTTCTGAGGATGCTTCTGTCTAGTTTTTATTCGAAGATATTTCCTTTCTCACCATAGGCCTGAAAGCGCTTGAAATGTCCACTTCCAGATACTACAGAATGAGTGTTTCAAACCTGCTCTATCAAAGTGAATGTTCAATTCTGTGACTTCAATGCAAACATCACAAAGAAGTTCCTGAGAATGCTTCTCTCTAGATTTTATACGTAATCCCACTTCCAACGAAATCCTCAGAGCCATCCGAATATCCACTTTCTGATTCCACAAAAAGAGTGTTTTAAAACGGCTCTGTAAAAACAAAAGTTCAACTCTGTTAGTTGAATACACACATCACAAACAAGTTTCTGAGAATGCTTCTGTCTAGTTTTTATGGGAAGATATTTCCTTTTTCACCATAGGCCTCAAAGCGCTCGAAATGTCCGCTTCCAGATAGTGCAGAAAGAGTGTTTCAAACGTGCTCTATAAAAGGGAATATTCAACTCTGTGACTTGAATGGAAACATCACAAAGCAGTTTCTGAGAATGCTTCCCTCTAGATTTTATATGGAGATATTCCCGTTTCCAACGAAATCTTCAAATCTATCTAAATATCAACTTGCAGATTCTACTCAAGGAATGTTTCCAAAATGCTGTATCCAGGCAATGGTTCAACTCTGTTAATTGAGGTCATACAGCACAAAGAAGTTTCTGAGAATGCTTCTGTCTAGATTTTATATGAAGATATCCCGTTTCCAACGGAATCCTCAAAGCTATCCAAATATCCACTTGCAGATTCTACAAAAAGATTGTTTCAAAACTGCTGTGTCAAAAGGAAGGTTCAACTCTGTTACTTGAGTACACACATCAAAAAGAAGTTTCTGAGAATGCTTGTTTCTGGTTTTTATGAGAAGATATTTCCTTTTTCACCATAGGCCTCAAAGCACTGCAAATCTCCACTTCCAAATATTACAAAAAGAGTGTTTCAAACCTGCTCTATGAAAGGAAGTTTTCAACTCTATGAGTGGAATGCAAACATCACAGAGAAGTTTCTGAGAATGCATCTGTCTTGAGTTTATATGAAGAAATTCCCGTTTCCAACGAAATCTTAAAATCTATCCAAATATCCACCTGCAGATTCTACAAAGGGAGTGTTTCCAAAAGGCTGTATCAAAACAAAGGTTCAACTGTGTTCGTTTAGGACACACATCACCAAAAAGTTTCTGAGAATCCTTCTGTCTAGTTTTTATTTGAAGATATTTCCTTTCTCCCCACAGGCCTGAAAGCGCTTGAAATGTCCACTTCCAGATACTACAGAAAGAGTGTTTCAAACCTGCACTATGAAAAGGAATGTTCAATTCTGTGACTTGAATGCAAACATCAGAAAGAAGTTCCTGAGAATGCTTCTCTCTAGATTTTATACGTCATCCCGTTTCCAACGAAATCCACAAAGCTATCCAATTATCCACTTTCAGATTCCACAAAAAGAGTGTTTTAAAACTGCTCTCTAAAAAGAAATGTTCAACGCTCTTAGTTGAATACACACATCTCAAACAAGTTTCTGAGAAGGCTTCCGTCTAGTTTTTATGGGAAGATATTTCCTTTTTCACCATAGGCCTCAAAGAGCTCGAAATCTCCACTTCCAGGGAGTGCAGAAAGAGTGTTTCAAACCTGCTCTGTAAAAGAATATTTAACTCTGTGACTTGAATGCAAACATCACAAAGCAGTTTCTGACAATGCTTCCGTCTAGATTTTTAATGAAGTTATTCCCGTTTCCAACGAAATCTTCAAAGCTATCTAAATATCAACTTGCAGATTCTACTAAAGGAATGTTTCCAGAATGCTGTATCCAAACAAAGGTTCAACTCTGTGAATTGAGGACTTACAGCACAAAGAAGTTTCTGAGAATGCTCCTGTCTGGATTTTATAGGAAGATAACCCGTTTCCAACGAAATCCTCAAAGCTATCCAAATATCCACTTGCAGATTCTACCAAAAGAGTGTTTCAAAACTGCTCTGTCAAAAGGAAGGTTCAACACTGTTACTTGAGTACACACAACACAAAGAAGTTTCTGAGAATGCTTCTTTCTGGTTTTTATGAGAAGATATTTCCTTTTTCACCATAGGCCTCAAAGCGCTCGAAATGTCCGCTTCCAGGTAGTGCAGAAAGAGTGTTTCAAACCTGCTCTATGAAAGGAAGTGTTCAACTCTACTGAGTTGAATGCAAACATCACAGAGATGTTTCCGAGAATGCTTCTGTCTTGATTTTATATGAAGATATTCCGGTTTCCAACGAAATCTTCAAAGCTATCCAAATATCCACCTGCAGATTCTACAAAAGGAGTGTTTCCAAAATGCTGTATCAAAACAAAGGTTCAACTCTGTTAGTTGAGGACACACATCACAAATAAGTTTCTGAGAATGCTTCTGTCTAGTTTTTATTTGAAGGTATTTCCTTTCTCTCCATAGGCCTGAAAGCGCTTGAAATGCCCACTTCCAGATACTAGAGAAAGAGTGTTTCAAACCTGCTCTATGAAAGGGAATGTTCAATTCTGTGACTTGAATGCAAACATCACAAAGAAGTTCCTGAGAATGCTTCTCTCTAGATATTATATGTCATCCCGTTTCCAACGAAATCCTCAAAGCTATCCAAATATCCACTTGCAGATTCTACAAAAAGAGTGTTTCAAAACTCCTCTGTCAAAAGGATGGTTCAACACTGTTACATGAGTACACACAACACAAAGAAGTTTCTGAGAATGCTTCTTTCTGGTTTCTATGAGAAGATATTTCCTTTTTCACCATAGGACTCAAAGCGCTCGAAATGTCCTCTTCCAGGTAGTGCAGAAAGAGTGTTTCAAACCTGCTCTATGAAAGGAAGTGTACAACTCCATGAGCTGAATGCAAACATCACTGAGAAGTTTCTGAGAATGCTTCTGTTTGATTTTATATGAAGAAATTCCCGTTTCCAACGAAATCTTCAAAGCTATCCACATATCCACCTGCAGATTCTACAAAAGGAGTGTTTCCAAAATGCTGTATCAAAACCAAGGTTCAACTCTGTTAGTTGAGGACACACATCACAAACAAGATTCTGAGAATGCTTCTGTCTAGTTTTTATGGGAAGATATTTCCTTTTTCACCATAGGCCTCACAGCGCTCGAAATGTCCACTTCCAGATAGTGCAGAAAGAGTGTTTCAAACGTGCTCTATAAAAGAGAATATTCAACTCTCTGACTTGAATGGAAACATCACAAAGCAGTTTCTGAGAATGCCTCGGTCTAGTTTTTATTTGAAGATATTTCCTTTCTCACCATAGGCCTGAAAGCGCTTGAAATGTCCACTTCCAGATACTACAGAATGAGTGTTTCAAACCTGCTCTATAAAAGTGAATGTTCAATTCTGTGACTTCAATGCAAACATCACAAAGAAGTTCCTGAGAATGCTTCTCTCTAGATTTTATACGTAATCCCGCTTCCAACGAAATCCTCAGAGCCATCCGAATATCCACTTTCTGATTCCACAAAAAGAGTGTTTTAAAACGGCTCTGTAAAAACAAAAGTTCAACTCTGTTAGTTGAATACACACATCACAAACAAGTTTCTGAGAATGCTTCTGTCTAGTTTTTATGGGAAGATATTTCCTTTTTCACCATAGGCCTCACAGCGCTCGAAATGTCCACTTCCAGATGGTGCAGAAAGAGTGTTTCAAACGTGCTCTATAAAAGAGAATATTCAACTCTGTGACTTGAATGGAAACATCACAAAGCAGTTTCTGAGAATGCCTCCGTCTAGATTTTATATGAAGATATTCCCGTTTCCAACGAAATCTTCAAATCTATCTAAATATCAACTTGCAGATTCTACTAAAGGAATGTTTCCAAAATGCTGTATCCAAGCAATGGTTCAACTCTGTTAATTGAGGACATACAGCATAAAGAAGTTTCTGAGAATGCTTCTGTCTAGATTTTATATGAAGATATCCCGTTTCCAACGAAATCCTCAAAGCTATCCAAATATCCACTTGCAGATTCTACAAAAAGATTGTTTCAAAACTGCTGTGTCAAAAGGAAGGTTCAACTCTGTTACTTGAGTACACACATCAAAAAGAAGTTTCTGAGAATGCTTGTTTCTGGTTTTTATGAGAAGATATTTCCTTTTTCACCATAGGCCTCAAAGCGCTGCAAATGTCCACTTCCAAATACTACAAAAAGGGTGTTTCAAACCTGCTCTATGAAAGGAAGTTTTCAACTCTATGAGTGGAATGCAAACATCACAGAGAAGTTTCTGAGAATGCATCTGTCTTGAGTTTATATGCAGAAATTCCCGTTTCCAACGAAATCTTAAAATCTATCCAAATATCCACCTGCAGATCCTACAAAAGGAGTGTTTCCAAAATGCTGTATCAAAACAAAGGTTCAACTGTGTTCGTTTAGGACACACATCACAAATAAGTTTCTGAGAATCCTTCTCTCTAGTTTTTATTTGAAGATATTTCCTTTCTCCCCGTAGGCCTGAAAGCGCTTGAAATGTCCACTTCCAGATACTACAGAAAGAGTGTTTCAAACCTGCACTCTGAAAAGGAATGTTCAATTCTGTGACTTGAATGCAAACATCAGAAAGAAGTTCCTGAGAATGCTTCTCTCTAGATTTTATACGTCATCCCGTTTCCAACGAAATCCACAAAGCTATCCAATTATCCACTTTCAGATTCCACAGAAAGAGTGTTTTAAAATTGCTCTGTAACAGAAATGTTCAACTCTGGTAGTTGAATACACACATCACAAACAAGTTTCTGAGACGGCTTCTGTCTAGTTTTTATGGGAAGATATTTCCTTTTAACCATAGGCCTCAAAGAGCTCGAAATATCCACTTCCAGGTAGTGCCGAAAGAGTGTTTCAAACCTACTCTATAAAAGGGAATATTCAACTCTGTGACTTGAATGCAAACATCACAAAGCAGTTTCTGAGAATGCTTCCGTCTAGATTTTTTATGAAGATATTCCCGTTTCCAACGAAATCTTCAAATCTATCTAAATATCAACTTACAGATTCTACTAAAGGAATGTTTCCAAAATGCTGTATCCAAACAAAGGTTCAGCTCTGTGAATTGAGGACATACAGCACAAAGAAGTTTCTGAGAATGCTCCTGTCTGGATTTTATATGAAGATAACCCGTTTCCAACGAAATCCTCAAAGCTATCCAAATATCCACTTGCAGATTCTACCAAAAGAGTGTTTCAAAACTGCTCTGTCAAAAGGAAGGTTCAACACTGTTACTTGAGTACACACAACACAAAGAAGTTTCTGAGAATGCTTCTTTCTGGTTTTTATGAGAAGATATTTCCTTTTTCACCATAGGCCTCAAAGCGCCCGAAATGTCCGCTTCCAGGTAGTGCAGAAAGAGTGTTTCAAACCTGCTCTATGAAAGGAAGTGTTCAACTCTACTGAGTTGAATGCAAACATCACAGAGATGTTTCCGAGAATGCTTCTGTCTTGATTTTATACGAAGATATTCCGGTTTCCAACGAAATCTTCAAAGCTATCCAAATATACACCTGCAGATTCTACAAAAGGAGTGTTTCCAAAATGCTGTATCAAAACAAAGGTTCAACTCTGTTAGTTGAGGACACACATCACAAATAAGTTTCTGAGAATGCTTCTGTCTAGTTTTTATTTGAAGGTATTTCCTTTCTCTCCATAGGCCAGAAATCGCTTGAAATGTCCACTTCCAGATACTAGAGAAAGAGTGTTTCAAACCTGCTCTATGAAAGGGAATGTTCAATTCTGTGACTTGAATGCAAACATCACAAGGAAGTTCCTGAGAATGCTTCTCTCTAGATTTTATATGTCATCCCGCTTCCAACGAAATCCTCAAAGCTATCCAAACTTCCACTTTCAGATTCCACAAAAAGAGTGTTTTAAAACTGCTCTGTAAAAAGAAATGTTCAACTCTCCTAGTTGAATACACACATCTCAAACAAGTTTCGGAGAAGGCTTCTGTCTAGTTTTTATGGGAAGATATTTCCTTTTAACCATAGGCCTCAAAGAGCTCGAAATATCCACTTCCAGGTAGTGCCGAAAGAGTGTTTCAAACCTACTCTATAAAAGGGAATATTCAACTCTGTGACTTGAATGCAAACATCACAAAGCAGTTTCTGAGAATGCTTCCCGTCTAGATTTTCTATGAAGATATTCCCGTTTCCAACGAAATCTTCAAAGCTATCTAAATATCAACTTGCAGATTCTACTAAAGGAATGTCTCCAAAATGCTGTATCCAAACAAAGGTTCAGCTCTGTGAATTGAGGACATACAGCACAAAGAAGTTTCTGAGAATGCTCCTGTCTGGATTTTATAGGAAGATAACCCGTTCCCAACGAAATCCTCAAAGCTATCCAAATATCCACTTGCAGATTCTACCAAAAGAGTGTTTCAAAACTACTCTGTCAAAAGGAAGGTTCAACACTGTTACTTGAGTACACACAACACAAAGAAGTTTCTGAGAATGCTTCTTTCTGGTTTTTATGAGAAGATATTTCCTTTTTCACCATAGGCCTCAAAGAGCTCGAAATGTCCGCTTCCAGGTAGGGCAGAAAGAGTGTTTCAAACCTGCTCTATGAAAGGAAGTGTTCAACTCTACTGAGTTGAATGCAAACATCACAGAGATGTTTCCGAGAATGCTTCTGTCTTGATTTTATAGGAAGATATTCCGGTTTCCAACGAAATCTTCAAAGCTATCCAAATATCCACCTGCAGATTCTACAAAAGGAGTGTTTCCAAAATGCTGTATCAAAACAAAGGTTCAACTCTGTTAGTTGAGGACACACATCACAAATAAGTTTCTGAGAATGCTTCTGTCTAGTTTTTATTTGAAGGTATTTCCTTTCTCTCCATAGGCCTGAAAGCGCTTGAAATGCCCACTTCCAGATACTAGAGAAAGAGTGTTTCAAACCTGCTCTATGAAAGGGAATGTTCAATTCTGTGACTTGAATGCAAACATCACAAAGAAGTTCCTGAGAATGCTTCTCTCTAGATATTATATGTCATCCCGTTTCCAACGAAATCCTCAAAGCTATCCAAATATCCACTTGCAGATTCTACAAAAAGAGTGTTTCAAAACTGCTCTGTCAAAAGGATGGTTCAACACTGTTACATGAGTACACACAACACAAAGAAGTTTCTGAGAATGCTTCTTTCTGGTTTCTATGAGAAGATATTTCCTTTTTCACCATAGGACTCAAAGCGCTCGAAATGTCCTCTTCCAGGTAGTGCAGAAAGAGTGTTTCAAACCTGCTCTATGAAAGGAAGTGTACAACTCCATGAGCTGAATGCAAACATCACTGAGAAGTTTCTGAGAATGCTTCTGTTTGATTTTATATGAAGAAATTCCCGTTTCCAACGAAATCTTCAGAGCTATCCACATATCCACCTGCAGATTCTACAAAAGGAGTGTTTCCAAAATGCTGTATCAAAACCAAAGTTCAACTCTGTTAGTTGAGGACACACATCACAAATAAGTTTCTGAGAATGCTTCTGTCTAGATTTTATATGAAGATATCCCCTTTCCAACGAATCCCTCTAAGCTATCCAAATATCCACCTGCAGATTCTACAAAAAGAGTGTTTCCAAAATGCTGTATCAAAACAAAGGTTCAACTCTGTTAGTTGAGGACACACATCACAAATAAGTTTGAGGATGCTTCTGTCTAGTTTTTATTCGAAGATATTTCCTTTCTCACCATAGGCCTGAAAGCGCTTGAAATATCCACTTCCAGATACTACAGAATGAGTGTTTCAAACCTGCTCTATAAAAGTGAATGTTCAATTCCGTGACTTCAATGCAAACATCAGAAAGAAGTTCCTGAGAATGCTTCTCTCTAGATTTTATACGTAATCCCGCTTCCAACGAAATCCTCAGAGCCATCCGAATATCCACTTTCTGATTCCACAAAAAGAGTGTTTTAAAACGGCTCTGTAAAAACAAAAGTTCAACTCTGTTAGTTGAATACACACATCACAAACAAGTTTCTGAGAATGCTTCTGTCTAGTTTTTATGGGAAGATATTTCCTTTTTCACCATAGGCCTCAAAGCGCTCGAAATGTCCGCTTCCAGATAGTGCAGAAAGAGTGTTTCAAACGTGCTCTATAAAAGGGAATATTCAACTCTGTGACTTGAATGGAAACATCACAAAGCAGTTTCTGAGAATGCTTCCCTCTAGATTTTATATGGAGATATTCCCTTTTCCAACGAAATCTTCAAATCTATCTAAATATCAACTTGCAGATTCTACTCAAGGAATGTTTCCAAAATGCTGTATCCAGGCAATGGTTCAACTCTGTTAATTGAGGACATACAGCACAAAGAAGTTTCTGAGAATGCTTCTGTCTAGATTTTATATGAAGATATCCCGTTTCCAACGAAATCCTCAAAGCTATCCAAATATCCACTTGCAGATTCTACAAAAAGATTGTTTCAAAACTGCTGTGTCAAAAGGAAGGTTCAACTCTGTTACTTGAGTACACACATCAAAAAGAAGTTTGCTGAGAATGCTTGTTTCTGGTTTTTATGAGAAGCTATTTCCTTTTTCACCATAGGCCTCAAAGCGCTGCAAAGGTCCACTTCCAAATATTACAAAAAGAGTGTTTCAAACGTGCTCTATGAAAGGAAGTTTTCAACTCTATGAGTGGAATGCAAACATCACAGAGAAGTTTCTGAGAATGCATCTGTCTTGAGTTTATATGAAGAAATTCCCGTTTCCAACGAAATCTTAAAATCTATCCAAATATCCACCTGCAGATTCTACAAAGGGAGTGTTTCCAAAATGCTGTATCAAAACAAAGGTTCAACTGTGTTCGTTTAGGACACACATCACCAATAAGTTTCTGAGAATCCTTCTGTCTAGTTTTTATTTGAAGATATTTCCTTTCTCCCCATAGGCCTGAAAGCGCTTGAAATGTCCACTTCCAGATACTACAGAAAGAGTGTTTCAAACCTGCACTATGAAAAGTAATGTTCAATTCTGTGACTTGAATGCAAACATCAGAAAGAAGTTCCTGAGAATGCTTCTCTCTAGATTTTATACGTCATCCCGTTTCCAACGAAATCCACAAAGCTATCCAATTATCCACTTTCAGATTCCACAAAAAGAGTGTTTTAAAACTGCTCTGTAAAAAGAAATGTTCAACGCTCTTAGTTGAATACACACATCTCAAACAAGTTTCTGAGAAGGCTTCCGTCTAGTTTTTATGGGAAGATATTTCCTTTTTCACCATAGGCCTCAAAGTGCTCGAAATCTCCACTTCCAGGGAGTGCAGAAAGAGTGTTTCAAACCTGCTCTGTAAAAGAATATTTAACTCTGTGACTTGAATGCAAACATCACAAAGCAGTTTCTGACAATGCTTCCGTCTAGATTTTTTATGAAGATATTCCCGTTTCCAACGAAATCTTCAAAGCTACCTAAATATCAACTTGCAGATTCTACTAAAGGAATGTTTCCAAAATGCTGTATCCAAACAAAGGTTCAACTCTGTGAATTGAGGACATACAGCACAAAGAAGTTTCTGAGAATGCTCCTGTCTGGATTTTATATGAAGATAACCCGTTTCCAACGAAATCCTCAAAGCTATCCAAATATCCACTTGCAGATTCTACCAAAAGAGTGTTTCAAAACTGCTCTGTCAAAAGGAAGGTTCAACACTGTTACTTGAGTACACACAACACAAAGAAGTTTCTGAGAATGCTTCTTTCTGGTTTTTATGAGAAGATATTTCCTTTTTCACCATAGGCCTCAAAGCGCTCGAAATGTCCGCTTCCAGGTAGTGCAGAAAGAGTGTTTCAAACCTGCTCTATGAAAGGAAGTGTTCAACTCTACTGAGTTGAATGCAAACATCACAGAGATGTTTCCGAGAATGCTTCTGTCTTGATTTTATATGAAGATATTCCGGTTTCCAACGAAATCTTCAAAGCTATCCAAATATCCACCTGCAGATTCTACAAAAGGAGTGTTTCCAAAATGCTGTATCAAAACAAAGGTTCAACTCTGTTAGTTGAGGACACACATCACAAATAAGTTTCTGAGAATGCTTCTGTCTAGTTTTTATTTGAAGGTATTTCCTTTCTCTCCATAGGCCTGAAAGCGCTTGAAATGCCCACTTCCAGATACTAGAGAAAGAGTGTTTCAAACCTGCTCTATGAAAGGGAATGTTCAATTCTGTGACTTGAATGCAAACATCACAAAGAAGTTCCTGAGAATGCTTCTCTCTAGATATTATATGTCATCCCGTTTCCAACGAAATCCTCAAAGCTATCCAAATATCCACTTGCAGATTCTACAAAAAGAGTGTTTCAAAACTGCTCTGTCAAAAGGATGGTTCAACACTGTTACATGAGTACACACAACACAAAGAAGTTTCTGAGAATGCTTCTTTCTGGTTTCTATGAGAAGATATTTCCTTTTTCACCATAGGACTCAAAGCGCTCGAAATGTCCTCTTCCAGGTAGTGCAGAAAGAGTGTTTCAAACCGGCTCTATGAAAGGAAGTGTTCAACTCCATGAACTGAATGCAAACATCACTGAGAAGTTTCTGAGAATGCTTGTGTTTGATTTTATATGAAGAAATTTCCGTTTCCAACGAAATCTTCAAAGCTATCCACATATCCACCTGCAGATTCTACAAAAGGAGTGTTTCCAAAATGCTGTATCAAAACCAAGGTTCAACTCTGTTAGTTGAGGACACACATCACAAATAAGTTTCTGAGAATGCTTCTGTCTAGATTCTATATGAAGATATCCCCTTTCCAACGAATCCCTCTAAGCTATCCAAATATCCACCTGCAGATTCTACAAAAAGAGTGTTTCCAAAATGCTGTATCAAAACAAAGTTTCAACTCTGTTAGTTGAGGACACACATCACAAATAAGTTTGAGGATGCTTCTGTCTAGTTTTTATTCGAAGATATTTCCTTTCTCACCATAGGCCTGAAAGCGCTTGAAATGTCCACTTCCAGATCCTACAGAATGAGTGTTTCAAACCTGCTCTATCAAAGTGAATGTTCAATTCTGTGACTTCAATGCAAACATCACAAAGAAGTTCCTGAGAATGCTTCTCTCTAGATTTTATACGTAATCCCGCTTCCAACGAAATCCTCAGAGCCATCCGAATATCCACTTTCTGATTCCACAAAAAGAGTGTTTTAAAACGGCTCTGTAAAAACAAAAGTTCAACTCTGTTAGTTGAATACACACATCACAAACAAGTTTCTGAGAATGCTTCTGTCTAGTTTTTATGGGAAGATATTTCCTTTTTCACCATAGGCCTCAAAGCGCTCGAAATGTCCGCTTCCAGATAGTGCAGAAAGAGTGTTTCAAACGTGCTCTATAAAAGGGAATATTCAACTCTGTGACTTGAATGGAAACATCACAAAGCAGTTTCTGAGAATGCTTCCCCTCTAGATTTTATATGGAGATATTCCCTTTTCCAACGAAATCTTCAAATCTATCTAAATATCAACTTGCAGATTCTACTCAAGGAATGTTTCCAAAATGCTGTATCCAAGCAATGGTTCAACTCTGTTAATTGAGGACATACAGCACAAAGAAGTTTCTGAGAATGCTTCTGTCTAGATTTTATATGAAGATATCCCGTTTCCAACGAAATCCTCAAAGCTATCCAAATATCCACTTGCAGATTCTACAAAAAGATTGTTTCAAAACTGCTGTGTCAAAAGGAAGGTTCAACTCTGTTACTTGAGTACACACATCAAAAAGAAGTTTCTGAGAATGCTTGTTTCTGGTTTTTATGAGAAGATATTTCCTTTTTCACCATAGGCCTCAAAGCGCTGCAAATGTCCACTTCCACATATTACAAAAAGAGTGTTTCAAACCTGCTCTATGAAAGGAAGTTTTCAACTCTATGAGTGGAATGCAAACATCACAGAGAAGTTTCGGAGAATGCATCTGTCTTGAGTTTATATGAAGAAATTCCCGTTTCCAACGAAATCTTAAAATCTATCCAAATATCCACCTGCAGATTCTACAAAGGGAGTGTTTCCAAAATGCTGTATCAAAACAAAGGTTCAACTGTGTTCGTTTAGGACACACATCACCAATAAGTTTCTGAGAATCCTTCTGTCTAGTTTTTATTTGAAGATATTTCCTTTCTCCCCGTAGGCCTGAAAGCGCTTGAAATGTCCACTTCCAGATACTACAGAAAGAGTGTTTCAAACCTGCACTCTGAAAAGGAATGTTCAATTCTGTGACTTGAATGCAAACATCAGAAAGAAGTTCCTGAGAATGCTTCTCTCTAGATTTTATACGTCATCCCGCTTCCAACGAAATCCACAAAGCTATCCAATTATCCACTTTCAGATTCCACAAAGAGTGTTTTAAAATTGCTCTGTAACAGAAATGTTCAACTCTGTTAGTTGAATACACACATCACAAACAAGTTTCTGAGACGGCTTCTGTCTAGTTTTTATGGGAAGATATTTCCTTTTAACCATAGGCCTCAAAGAGCTCGAAATATCCACTTCCAGGTAGTGCCGAAAGAGTGTTTCAAACCTACTCTATAAAAGGGAATATTCAACTCTGTGACTTGAATGCAAACATCACAAAGCAGTTTCTGAGAATGCTTCCGTCTAGATTTTCTATGAAGATATTCCCGTTTCCATCGAAATCTTCAAAGCTATCTAAATATCAACTTGCAGATTCTACTAAAGGAATGTCTCCAAAATGCTGTATCCAAACAAAGGTTCAGCTCTGTGAATTGAGGACATACAGCACAAAGAAGTTTCTGAGAATGCTCCTGTCTGGATTTTATATGAAGATAACCCGTTTCCAACGAAATCCTCAAAGCTATCCAAATATCCACTTGCAGATTCTACCAAAAGAGTGTTTCAAAACTGCTCTGTCAAAAGGAAGGTTCAACACTGTTACTTGAGTACACACAACACAAAGAAGTTTCTGAGAATGCTTCTTTCTGGTTTTTATGAGAAGATATTTCCTTTTTCACCATAGGCCTCAAAGCGCTCGAAATGTCCACTTCCAGGTAGTGCAGAAAGAGTGTTTCAAACCTGCTCTATGAAAGGAAGTGTTCAACTCTACTGAGTTGAATGCAAACATCACAGAGATGTTTCCGAGAATGCTTCTGTCTTGATTTTATATGAAGATATTCCGGTTTCCAACGAAATCTTCAAAGCTATCCAAATATCCACCTGCAGATTCTACAAAAGGAGTGTTTCCAAAATGCTGTATCAAAACAAAGGTTCAACTCTGTTAGTTGAGGACACACATCACAAATAAGTTTCTGAGAATGCTTCTGTCTAGTTTTTATTTGAAGGTATTTCCTTTCTCTCCATAGGCCTGAAAGCGCTTGAAATGCCCACTTCCAGATACTAGAGAAAGAGTGTTTCAAACCTGCTCTATGAAAGGGAATGTTCAATTCTGTGACTTGAATGCAAACATCACAAAGAAGTTCCTGAGAATGCTTCTCTCTAGATATTATATGTCATCCCGTTTCCAACGAAATCCTCAAAGCTATCCAAATATCCACTTGCAGATTCTACAAAAAGAGTGTTTCAAAACTGCTCTGTCAAAAGGATGGTTCAACACTGTTACATGAGTACACACAACAGAAAGAAGTTTGCTGAGAATGCTTCTTTCTGGTTTTTATGAGAGGATATTTCCTTTTTCACCATAGGCCTCAAAGCGCTCGAAATGTCCACTTCCAGGTAGTGCAGAAAGAGTGTTTCAAACCTGCTCTATGAAAGGAAGTGTTCAACTCCATGAGCTGAATGCAAACATCACAGAGAAGTTCCTGAGAATGCTTCTGTTTGATTTTATATGAAGAAATTCCCGTTTCCAACGAAATCTTCAGAGCTATCCACATATCCACCTGCAGATTCTACAAAAGGAGTGTTTCCAAAATGCTGTATCAAAACCAAGGTTCAACTCTGTTAGTTGAGGACACACATCACAAATAAGTTTCTGAGAATGCTCTGTCTAGATTTTATATGAAGATATCCCCTTTCCAACGAATCCCTCTAAGCTATCCAAATATCCACCTGCAGATTCTACAAAAAGAGTGTTTCCAAAATGCTGTATCAAAACAAAGTTTCAACTCTGTTAGTTGAGGACACACATCACAAATAAGTTTCTGAGGATGCTTTCTGTCTAGTTTTTATTCGAAGATATTTCCTTTCTCACCATAGGCCTGAAAGCGCTTGAAATGTCCACTTCCAGATACTACAGAATGAGTGTTTCAAACCTGCTCTATCAAAGTGAATGTTCAATTCTGTGACTTCAATGCAAACATCACAAAGAAGTTCCTGAGAATGCTTCTCTCTAGATTTTATACGTAATCCCGCTTCCAACGAAATCCTCAGAGCCATCCGAATATCCACTTTCTGATTCCACAAAAAGAGTGTTTTAAAACGGCTCTGTAAAAACAAAAGTTCAACTCTGTTAGTTGAATACACACATCACAAACAAGTTTCTGAGAATGCTTCTGTCTAGTTTTTATGGGAAGATATTTCCTTTTTCACCATAGGCCTCAAAGCGCTCGAAATGTCCACTTCCAGATAGTGCAGAAAGAGTGTTTCAAACGTGCTCTAGAAAAGAGAATATTCAACTCTGTGACTTGAATGGAAACATCACAAAGCAGTTTCTGAGAATGCCTCCGTCTAGATTTTATATGAAGATATTCCCGTTTCCAACGAAATCTTCAATGCTATCTAAATATCAACTTGCAGATTCTACTAAAGGAATGTTTCCAAAATGCTGTATCCAAGCAATGGTTCAACTCTGTTAATTGAGGACATACAGCACAAAGAAGTTTCTGAGAATGCTTCTGTCTAGATTTTATATGAAGATATCCCGTTTCCAACGAAATCCTCAAAGCTATCCAAATATCCACTTGCAGATTCTACAAAAAGATTGTTTCAAAACTGCTGTGTCAAAAGGAAGGTTCAACTCTGTTACTTGAGTACACACATCAAAAAGAAGTTTCTGAGAATGCTTGTTTCTGGTTTTTATGAGAAGATATTTCCTTTTTCACCATAGGCCTCAAAGCGCTGCAAATGTCCACTTCCAAATATTTCAAAAAGAGTGTTTCAAACCTGCTCTATGAAAGGAAGTTTTCAACTCTATGAGTGGAATGCAAACATCACAGAGAAGTTTCTGAGAATGCATCTGTCTTGAGCTTCTATGAAGAAATTCCCGTTTCCAACGAAATCTTAAAATCTATCCAAATATCCACCTGCAGATCCTACAAAAGGAGTGTTTCCAAAATGCTGTATCAAAACAAAGGTTCAACTGTGTTCGTTTAGGACACACATCACAAATAAATTTCTGAGAATCCTTCTGTCTAGTTTTTATTTGAAGATATTTCCTTTCTCCCCGTAGGCCTGAAAGCGCTTGAAATGTCCACTTCCAGATACTACAGAAAGAGTGTTTCAAACCTGCACTCTGAAAAGGAATGTTCAATTCTGTGACTTGAATGCAAACATCAGAAAGAAGTTCCTGAGAATGCTTCTCTCTAGATTTTATACGTCATCCCGTTTCCAACGAAATCCACAAAGCTATCCAATTATCCACTTTCAGATTCCACAAAAAGAGTGTTTTAAAATTGTTCTGTAACAGAAATGTTCAACTCTGTTAGTTGAATACACACATCACAAACAAGTTTCTGAGACGGCTTCTGTCTAGTTTTTATGGGAAGATATTTCCTTTTAACCATAGGCCTCAAAGAGCTCGAAATATCCACTTCCAGGTAGTGCCGAAAGAGTGTTTCAAACCTACTCTATAAAAGGGAATATTCAACTCTGTGACTTGAATGCAAACATCACAAAGCAGTTTCTGAGAATGCTTCCGTCTAGATTTTCTATGAAGATATTCCCGTTTCCAACGAAATCTTCAACGCTATCTAAATATCAACTTGCAGATTCTACTAAAGGAATGTTTCCAAAATGCTGTATCCAAACAAAGGTTCAGCTCTGTGAATTGAGGACATACAGCACAAAGAAGTTTCTGAGAATTCTCCTGTCTGGATTTTATATGAAGATAACCCGTTTCCAACGAAATCCTCAAAGCTATCCAAATATCCACTTGCAGATTCTACCAAAAGAGTGTTTCAAAACTGCTCTGTCAAAAGGAAGGTTCAACACTGTTACTTGAGTACACACAACACAAAGAAGTTTCTGAGAATGCTTCTTTCTGGTTTTTATGAGAAGATATTTCCTTTTTCACCATAGGCCTCAAAGCACTCGAAATGTCCACTTCCAGGTAGTGCAGAAAGAGTGTTTCAAACCTGCTCTATGAAAGGAAGTGTTCAACTCTACTGAGTTGAATGCAAACATCACAGGATGTTTCCGAGAATGCTTCTGTCTTGATTTTATAGGAAGATATTCCGGTTTCCAACGAAATCTTCAAAGCTATCCACATATCCACCTGCAGATTCTACAAAAGGAGTGTTTCCAAAATGCTGTATCAAAACAAAGGTTCAACTCTGTTAGTTGAGGACACACATCACAAATAAGTTTCTGAGAATGCTTCTGTCTAGTTTTTATTTGAAGGTATTTCCTTTCTCTCCATAGGCCTGAAAGCGCTTGAAATGCCCACTTCCAGATACTAGAGAAAGAGTGTTTCAAACCTGCTCTATGAAAGGGAATGTTCAATTCTGTGACTTGAATGCAAACATCACAAAGAAGTTCCTGAGAATGCTTCTGTCTAGATTTAATATGAAGATAACCCGTTTCCAACGAAATCCTCAAAGCTATCCAAATATCCACTTGCAGATTCTACAAAAAGAGTGTTTCAAAACTGCTCTGTCAAAAGGATGGTTCAACACTGTTACATGAGTACACACAACACAAAGAAGTTTCTGAGAACGCTTCTTTCTGGTTTCTATGAGAAGATATTTCCTTTTTCACCATAGGACTCAAAGCGCTCGAAATGTCCTCTTCCAGGTAGTGCAGAAAGAGTGTTTCAAACCTGCTCTATGAAAGGAAGTGTACAACTCCATGAGCTGAATGCAAACATCACTGAGAAGTTTCTGAGAATGCTTCTGTTTGATTTTATATGAAGAAATTCCCGTTTCCAACGAAATCTTCAGAGCTATCCACATATCCACCTGCAGATTCTACAAAAGGAGTGTTTCCAAAATGCTGTATCAAAACCAAGGTTCAACTCTGTTAGTTGAGGACACACATCACAAATAAGTTTCTGAGAATGCTTCTGTCTAGATTTTATATGAAGATATCCCCTTTCCAACGAATCCCTCTAAGCTATCCAAATATCCACCTGCAGATTCTACAAAAAGAGTGTTTCCAAAATGCTGTATCAAAACAAAGTTTCAACTCTGTTAGTTGAGGACACACATCACAAATAAGTTTGAGGATGCTTCTGTCTAGTTTTTATTCGAAGATATTTCCTTTCTCACCATAGGCCTGAAAGCGCTTGAAATGTCCACTTCCAGATACTACAGAATGAGTGTTTCAAACCTGCTCTATAAAAGTGAATGTTCAATTCTGTGACTTCAATGCAAACATCAGAAAGAAGTTCCTGAGAATGCTTCTCTCTAGATTTTATATGTAATCCCGCTTCCAACGAAATCCTCAGAGCCATCCGAATATCCACTTTCTGATCCCACAAAAAGAGTGTTTTAAAACGGCTCTGTAAAAACAAAAGTTCAACTCTGTTAGTTGAATACACACATCACAAACAAGTTTCTGAGAATGCTTCTGTCTAGTTTTTATGGGAAGATATTTCCTTTTTCACCATAGGCCTCAAAGCGCTCGAAATGTCCGCTTCCAGATAGTGCAGAAAGAGTGTTTCAAACGTGCTCTATAAAAGGGAATATTCAACTCTGTGACTTGAATGGAAACATCACAAAGCAGTTTCTGAGAATGCTTCCGTCTAGATTTTATATGAAGATATTCCCGTTTCCAACGAAATCTTCAAATCTATCTAAATATCAACTTGCAGATTCTACTAAAGGAATGTTTCCAAAATGCTGTATCCAAGCAATGGTTCAACTCTGTTAATTGAGGACATACAGCACAAAGAAGTTTCTGAGAATGCTTCTGTCTAGATTTTATATGAAGATATCCCGTTTCCAACGAAATCCTCAAAGCTATCCAAATATCCACTTGCAGATTCTACAAAAAGATTGTTTCAAAACTGCTGTGTCAAAAGGAAGGTTCAACTCTGTTACTTGAGTACACACATCAAAAAGAAGTTTCTGAGAATGCTTGTTTCTGGTTTTTATGAGAAGATATTTCCTTTTTCACCATAGGCCTCAAAGCGCTGCAAATGTCCACTTCCAAATATTACAAAAAGAGTGTTTCAAACCTGCTCTATGAAAGGAAGTTTTCAACTCTGTGAGTGGAATGCAAACATCACAGAGAAGTTTCTGAGAATGCATCTGTCTTGAGTTTATATGAAGAAATTCCCGTTTCCAATGAAATCTTGAAATCTATCCAAATATCCACCTGCAGATTCTACAAAAGAGTGCTTCCAAAATGCTATATCAAAACAAAGGTTCAACTGTATTCGTTGAGAACACACATCACAAATAAGTTTCTGAGAATCCTTCTGTCTAGTTTTTATTTCAAGATATTTCCTTTCTCCCCATAGGCCTGAAAGCGCTTGAAATGTCCACTTCCAGATACTACAGAGTGTTTCAAACCTGCACTATGAAAAGGAATGTTCAATTCTGTGACTTGAATGCAAACATCAGAAAGAAGTTCCTGAGAATGCTTCTCTCTAGATTTTAAACGTAATCCCGTTTCCAACGAAATCCACAAAGCTATCCAATTATCCACTTTCAGATTGCACCAAAAGAGTGTTTTAAAACTGCTCTGTAAAAAGAAATGTTCAACGCTCTTAGTTGAATACACACATCTCAAACAAGTTTCTGAGAAGGCTTCCGTCTAGTTTTTACGGGAAGATATTTCCTTTTTCACCATAGGCCTCAAAGCGCTCGAAATCTCCACTTCCAGGGAGTGCAGAAAGAGTGTTTCAAACCTGCTCTATAAAAGAATATTTAACTCTGTGACTTGAATGCAAACATCACAGAGCAGTTTCTGACAATGCTTCCGTCTAGATTTTTTATGAAGATATTCTCGTTTCCAACGAAATCTTCAAAGCTATCTAAATATCAACTTGCAGATTCTACTAAAGGAATGTTTCCAAAATGCTGTATCCAAACAAAGGTTCAACTCTGTGAATTGAGGACATACAGCACAAAGAAGTTTCTGAGAATGCTCCTGTCTGGATTTTATATGAAGATAACCCGTTTCCAACGAAATCCTCAAAGCTATCCAAATATCCACTTGCAGATTCTACAAAAAGAGTGTTTCAAAACTGCTCTGTCAAAAGGATGGTTCAACACTGTTACATGAGTACACACAACACAAAGAAGTTTCTGAGAATGCTTCTTTCTGGTTTCTATGAGAAGATATTTCCTTTTTCACCATAGGACTCAAAGCGCTCGAAATGTCCTCTTCCAGGTAGTGCAGAAAGAGTGTTTCAAACCGGCTCTATGAAAGGAAGTGTTCAACTCCATGAACTGAATGCAAACATCACTGAGAAGTTTCTGAGAATGCTTCTGTTTGATTTTATATGAAGAAATTCCCGTTTCCAACGAAATCTTCAGAGCTATCCACATATCCACATGCAGATTCTACAAAAGGAGTGTTTCCAAAATGCTGTATCAAAACCAAGGTTCAACTCTGTTAGTTGAGGACACACATCACAAATAAGTTTCTGAGAATGCTTCTGTCTAGATTTTATATGAATTTATCCCCTTTCCAACGAATCCCTCTAAGCTATCCAAGTATCCACCTGCAGATTCTACAAAAAGAGTGTTTCCAAAATGCTGTATCAAAACAAAGTTTCAACTCTGTTAGTTGAGGACACACATCACAAATAAGTTTCTGAGGATGCTTCTGTCTAGTTTTAATTTGAAGATATTTCCTTTCTCCCCATAGGCCTGAAAGCGCTTGAAATGTCCACTTCCAGATACTACAGCATGAGTGTTTCAAACCTGCTCTATCAAAGTGAATGTTCAATTCTGTGACTTCAATGCAAACATCACAAAGTAGTTCCTGAGAATGCTTCTCTCTAGATTTTATATGTAATCCCGCTTCCAACGAAATCCTCAAACCCATCCGAATATCCACTTTCTGATTCCACAAAAAGATTGTTTTAAAACTGCTCTGTAAAAACAAAAGTTCAAGTCTGTTAGTTGAATACACACATCACAAACAAGTGTCTGAGAATGCTTCTGTCTAGTTTTTATGGGAAGATATTTCCTTTTTCACCATAGGCCTCAAAGCGCTCGAAATGTCCACTTCCAGATAGTGCAGAAAGAGTGTTTCAAACGTGCTCTATAAAAGAGAATATTCAACTCTGTGACTTGAATGGAAACATCACAAAGCAGTTTCTGAGATTGCCTCCCTCTAGATTTTATATGGAGATATTCCCTTTTCCAACGAAATCTTCAAATCTATCTAAATATCAACTTGCAGATTCTACTCAAGGAATGTTTCCAAAATGCTGTATCCAAGCAATGGTTCAACTCTGTTAATTGAGGACATACAGCACAAAGAAGTTTCTGAGAATGCTTCTGTCTAGATTTTATATGAAGATATCCCGTTTCCAACGAAATCCTCAAAGCTATCCAAATATCCACTTGCAGATTCTACAAAAAGATTGTTTCAAAACTGCTGTGTCAAAAGGAAGGTTCAACTCTGTTACTTGAGTACACACATCAAAAAGAAGTTTCTGAGAATGCTTGTTTCTGGTTTTTATGAGAAGATATTTCCTTTTTCACCATAGGCCTCAAAGCGCTGCAAATGTCCACTTCCACATATTACAAAAAGAGTGTTTCAAACCTGCTCTATGAAAGGAAGTTTTCAACTCTATGAGTGGAATGCAAACATCACAGAGAAGTTTCTGAGAATGCATCTGTCTTGAGCTTCTATGAAGAAATTCCCGTTTCCAACGAAATCTTAAAATCTATCCAAATATCCACCTGCAGATCCTACAAAAGGAGTGTTTCCAAAATGCTGTATCAAAACAAAGGTTCAACTGTGTTCGTTTAGGACACACATCACAAATAAGTTTCTGAGAATCCTTCTCTCTAGTTTTTATTTGAAGATATTTCCTTTCTCCCCGTAGGCCTGAAAGCGCTTGAAATGTCCACTTCCAGATACTACAGAAAGAGTGTTTCAAACCTGCACTCTGAAAAGGAATGTTCAATTCTGTGACTTGAATGCAAACATCAGAAAGAAGTTCCTGAGAATGCTTCTCTCTAGATTTTATACGTCATCCCGTTTCCAACGAAATCCACAAAGCTACCCAATTATCCACTTTCAGATTCCACAAAAAGAGTGTTTTAAAATTGCTCTGTAACAGAAATGTTCAACTCTGTTAGTTGAATACACACATCACAAACAAGTTTCTGAGACGGCTTCTGTCTAGTTTTTATGGGAAGATATTTCCTTTTAACCATAGGCCTCAAAGAGCTCGAAATATCCACTTCCAGGTAGTGCCGAAAGAGTGTTTCAAACCTACTCTATAAAAGGGAATATTCAACTCTGTGACTTGAATGCAAACATCACAAAGCAGTTTCTGAGAATGCTTCCGTCTAGATTTTCTATGAAGATATTCCCGTTTCCAACGAAATCTTCAAAGCTATCTAAATATCAACTTGCAGATTCTACTAAAGGAATGTCTCCAAAATGCTGTATCCAAACAAAGGTTCAGCTCTGTGAATTGAGGACATACAACACAAAGAAGTTTCTGAGAATGCTCCTGTCTGGATTTTATAGGAAGATAACCCGTTCCCAACGAAATCCTCAAAGCTATCCAAATATCCACTTGCAGATTCTACCAAAAGAGTGTTTCAAAACTACTCTGTCAAAAGGAAGGTTCAACACTGTTACTTGAGTACACACAACACAAAGAAGTTTCTGAGAATGCTTCTTTCTGGTTTTTATGAGAAGATATTTCCTTTTTCACCATAGGCCTCAAAGCGCTCGAAATGTCCGCTTCCAGGTAGTGCAGAAAGAGTGTTTCAAACCTGCTCTATGAAAGGAAGTGTTCAACTCTACTGAGTTGAATGCAAACATCACAGAGATGTTTCCGAGAATGCTTCTGTCCTGATTTTATATGAAGATATTCCGGTTTCCAACGAAATCTTCAAAGCTATCCAAATATCCACCTGCAGATTCTACAAAAGGAGTGTTTCCAAAATGCTGTATCAAAACCAAGGTTCAACTCTGTTAGTTGAGGACACACATCACAAATAAGTTTCTGAGAATGCTTCTGTCTAGTTTTTATTTGAAGGTATTTCCTTTCTCTCCATAGGCCTGAAAGCGCTTGAAATGCCCACTTCCAGATACTAGAGAAAGAGTGTTTCAAACCTGCTCTATGAAAGGGAATGTTCAATTCTGTGACTTGAATGCAAACATCACAAAGAAGTTCCTGAGAATGCTTCTCTCTAGATATTATATGTCATCCCGTTTCCAACGAAATCCTCAAAGCTATCCAAATATCCACTTGCAGATTCTACAAAAAGAGTGTTTCAAAACTGCTCTGTCAAAAGGATGGTTCAACACTGTTACATGAGTACACACAACACAAAGAAGTTTCTGAGAATGCTTCTTTCTGGTTTCTATGAGAAGATATATCCTTTTTCACCATAGGACTCAAAGCGCTCGAAATGTCCTCTTCCAGGTAGTGCAGAAAGAGTGTTTCAAACCTGCTCTATGAAAGGAAGTGTACAACTCCATGAGCTGAATGCAAACATCACTGAGAAGTTTCTGAGAATGCTTCTGTTTGATTTTATATGAAGAAATTCCCGTTTCCAACGAAATCTTCAGAGCTATCCACATATCCACATGCAGATTCTACAAAAGGAGTGTTTCCAAAATGCTGTATCAAAACCAAGGTTCAACTCTGTTAGTTGAGGACACACATCACAAATAAGTTTCTGAGAATGCTTCTGTCTAGATTTTATATGAAGATATCCCCTTTCCAACGAATCCCTCTAAGCTATCCAAATATCCACCTGCAGATTCTACAAAAAGAGTGTTTCCAAAATGCTGTATCAAAACAAAGTTTCAACTCTGTTAGTTGAGGACACACATCACAAATAAGTTTCTGAGGATGCTTCTGTCTAGTTTTTATTCGAAGATATTTCCTTTCTCACCATAGGCCTGAAAGCGCTTGAAATGTCCACTTCCAGATACTACAGAATGAGTGTTTCAAACCTGCTCTATCAAAGTGAATGTTCAATTCTGTGACTTCAATGCAAACATCACAAAGAAGTTCCTGAGAATGCTTCTCTCTAGATTTTATACGTAATCCCGCTTCCAACGAAATCCTCAGAGCCATCCGAATATCCACTTTCTGATTCCACAAAAAGAGTGTTTTAAAACGGCTCTGCAAAAACAAAAGTTCAACTCTGTTAGTTGAATACACACATCACAAACAAGTTTCTGAGAATGCTTATCTGTCTAGTTTTTATGGGAAGATATTTCCTTTTTCACTATAGGCCTCACAGCGCTCGAAATTTCCACTTCCAGATAGTGCAGAAAGAGTGTTTCAAACGTGCTCTATAAAAGAGAATATTCAACTCTGTGACTTGAATGGAAACATCACAAAGCAGTTTCTGAGAATGCCTCCGTCTAGATTTTATATGAAGATATTCCCGTTTCCAACGAAATCTTCAAATCTCTCTAAATATCAACTTGCAGATTCTACTAAAGGAATGTTTCCAAAATGCTGTACCCAAGCAATGGTTCAACTCTGTTAATTGAGGACATACAGCACAAAGAAGTTTCTGAGAATGCTTCTGTCTAGATTTTAT
This sequence comes from Homo sapiens, assembly GCF_000001405.40. Classification (NCBI taxonomy): domain Eukaryota; kingdom Metazoa; phylum Chordata; class Mammalia; order Primates; family Hominidae; genus Homo; species Homo sapiens. Next base: position 51,351,531 of record NC_000004.12, on the reverse strand, counting down.
ATGAAGATATCCCGTTTCCAACGAAATCCTCAAAGCTATCCAAATATCCACTTGCAGATTCTACAAAAAGATTGTTTCAAAACTGCTGTGTCAAAAGGAAGGTTCAACTCTGTTACTTGAGTACACACATCAAAAAGAAGTTTCTGAGAATGCTTGTTTCTGGTTTTTATGAGAAGATATTTCCTTTTTCACCATAGGCCTCAAAGCGCTGCAAATGTCCACTTCCAAATATTACAAAAAGAGTGTTTCAAACCTGCTCTATGAAAGGAAGTTTTCAACTCTATGAGTGGAATGCAAACATCACAGAGAAGTTTCTGAGAATGCATCTGTCTTGAGTTTATATGAAGAAATTCCCGTTTCCAATGAAATCTTAAAATCTATCCAAATATCCACCTGCAGATTCTACAAAAGGAGTGTTTCCAAAATGCTGTATCAAAACAAAGGTTCAACTGTGTTCGTTTAGGACACACATCACAAATAAGTTTCTGAGAATCCTTCTGTCTAGTTTTTATTTGAAGATATTTCCTTTCTCCCCGTAGGCCTGAAAGCGCTTGAAATGTCCACTTCCAGATACTACAGAAAGAGTGTTTCAAACCTGCACTCTGAAAAGGAATGTTCAATTCTGTGACTTGAATGCAAACATCAGAAAGAAGTTCCTGAGAATGCTTCTCTCTAGATTTTAAACGTAATCCCGTTTCCAACGAAATCCACAAAGCTATCCAATTATCCACTTTCAGATTCCACCAAAAGACTGTTTTAAAACTGCTCTGTAAAAAGAAATGTTCAACGCTCTTAGTTGAATACACACATCTCAAACAAGTTTCTGAGAAGGCTTCTGTCTAGTTTTTATGGGAAGATATTTCCTTTTAACCATAGGCCTCAAAGAGCTCGAAATATCCACTTCCAGGTAGTGCCGAAAGAGTGTTTCAAACCTACTCTATAAAAGGGAATATTCAACTCTGTGACTTGAATGCAAACATCACAAAGCAGTTTCTGAGAATGCTTCCGTCTAGATTTTCTATGAAGATATTCCCGTTTCCATCGAAATCTTCAAAGCTATCTAAATATCAACTTGCAGATTCTACTAAAGGAATGTCTCCAAAATGCTGTATCCAAACAAAGGTTCAGCTCTGTGAATTGAGGACATACAGCACAAAGAAGTTTCTGAGAATGCTCCTGTCTGGATTTTATAGGAAGATAACCCGTTTCCAACGAAATCCTCAAAGCTATCCAAATATCCACTTGCAGATTCTACCAAAAGAGTGTTTCAAAACTGCTCTGTCAAAAGGAAGGTTCAACACTGTTACTTGAGTACACACAACACAAAGAAGTTTCTGAGAATGCTTCTTTCTGGTTTTTATGAGAAGATATTTCCTTTTTCACCATAGGCCTCAAAGCGCTCGAAATGTCCGCTTCCAGGTAGTGCAGAAAGAGTGTTTCAAACCTGCTCTATGAAAGGAAGTGTTCAACTCTACTGAGTTGAATGCAAACATCACAGGATGTTTCCGAGAATGCTTCTGTCTTGATTTTATATGAAGATATTCCGGTTTCCAACGAAATCTTCAAAGCTATCCACATATCCACCTGCAGATTCTACAAAAGGAGTGTTTCCAAAATGCTGTATCAAAACAAAGGTTCAACTCTGTTAGTTGAGGACACACATCACAAATAAGTTTCTGAGAATGCTTCTGTCTAGTTTTTATTTGAAGGTATTTCCTTTCTCTCCATAGGCCTGAAAGCGCTTGAAATGCCCACTTCCAGATACTAGAGAAAGAGTGTTTCAAACCTGCTCTATGAAAGGGAATGTTCAATTCTGTGACTTGAATGCAAACATCACAAAGAAGTTCCTGAGAATGCTTCTCTCTAGATATTATATGTCATCCCGTTTCCAACGAAATCCTCAAAGCTATCCAAATATCCACTTGCAGATTCTACAAAAAGAGTGTTTCAAAACTGCTCTGTCAAAAGGATGGTTCAACACTGTTACATGAGTACACACAACACAAAGAAGTTTCTGAGAATGCTTCTTTCTGGTTTCTATGAGAAGATATTTCCTTTTTCACCATAGGACTCAAAGCGCTCGAAATGTCCTCTTCCAGGTAGTGCAGAAAGAGTGTTTCAAACCGGCTCTATGAAAGGAAGTGTTCAACTCCATGAACTGAATGCAAACATCACTGAGAAGTTTCTGAGAATGCTTCTGTTTGATTTTATATGAAGAAATTCCCGTTTCCAACGAAATCTTCAAAGCTATCCACATATCCACCTGCAGATCCTTCAAAAGGAGTGTTTCCAAAATGCTGTATCAAAACCAAGGTTCAACTCTGTTAGTTGAGGACACACATCACAAATAAGTTTCTGAGAATGCTTCTGTCTAGATTTTATATGAAGATATCCCCTTTCCAACGAATCCCTCTAAGCTATCCAAATATCCACCTGCAGATTCTACAAAAAGAGTGTTTCCAAAATGCTGTATCAAAACAAAGTTTCAACTCTGTTAGTTGAGGACACACATCACAAATAAGTTTCTGAGGATGCTTCTGTCTAGTTTTTATTCGAAGATATTTCCTTTCTCACCATAGGCCTGAAAGCTCTTGAAATGTCCACTTCCAGATACTACAGAATGAGTGTTTCAAACCTGCTCTATCAAAGTGAATGTTCAATTCCGTGACTTCAATGCAAACATCAGAAAGAAGTTCCTGAGAATGCTTCTCTCTAGATTTTATACGTAATCCCGCTTCCAACGAAATCCTCAGAGCCATCCGAATATCCACTTTCTGATTCCACAAAAAGAGTGTTTTAAAACGGCTCTGTAAAAACAAAAGTTCAACTCTGTTAGTTGAATACACACATCACAAACAAGTTTCTGAGAATGCTTCTGTCTAGTTTTTATGGGAAGATACTTCCTTTTTCACCATAGGCCTCAAAGCGCTCGAAATGTCCACTTCCAGATAGTGCAGAAAGAGTGTTTCAAACGTGCTCTATAAAAGAGAATATTCAACTCTGTGACTTGAATGGAAACATCACAAAGCCGTTTCTGAGAATGCCTCCGTCTAGATTTTATATGAAGATATTCCCGTTTCCAACGAAATCTTCAAATCTATCTAAATATCTACTTGCAGATTCTACTAAAGGAATGTTTCCAAAATGCTGTATCCAAGCAATGGTTCAACTCTGTTAATTGAGGACATACAGCACAAAGAAGTTTCTGAGAATGCTTCTGTCTAGATTTTATATGAAGATATCCCGTTTCCAACGAAATCCTCAAAGCTATCCAAATATCCACTTGCAGATTCTACAAAAAGATTGTTTCAAAACTGCTGTGTCAAAAGGAAGGTTCAACTCTGTTACTTGAGTACACACATCAAAAAGAAGTTTCTGAGAATGCTTGTTTCTGGTTTTTATGAGAAGATATTTCCTTTTTCACCATAGGCCTCAAAGCGCTGCAAATGTCCACTTCCAAATATTACAAAAAGAGTGTTTCAAACCTGCTCTATGAAAGGAAGTTTTCAACTCTATGAGTGGAATGCAAACATCACAGAGAAGTTTCTGAGAATGCATCTGTCTTGAGTTTCTATGCAGAAATTCCCGTTTCCAACGAAATCTTAAAATCTATCCAAATATCCACCTGCAGATCCTACAAAAGGAGTGTTTCCAAAATGCTGTATCAAAACAAAGGTTCAACTGTGTTCGTTTAGGACACACATCACAAATAAGTTTCTGAGAACCCTTCTGTCTAGTTTTTATTTGAAGATATTTCCTTTCTCCCCGTAGGCCTGAAAGCGCTTGAAATGTCCACTTCCAGATACTACAGAAAGAGTGTTTCAAACCTGCACTCTGAAAAGGAATGTTCAATTCTGTGACTTGAATGCAAACATCAGAAAGAAGTTCCTGAGAATGCTTCTCTCTAGATTTTATACGTCATCCCGTTTCCAACGAAATCCACAAAGCTATCCAATTATCCACTTTCAGATTCCACAAAAAGAGTGTTTTAAATTGCTCTGTAACAGAAATGTTCAACTCTGTTAGTTGAATACACACATCACAAACAAGTTTCTGAGACGGCTTCTGTCTAGTTTTTATGGGAAGATATTTCCTTTTAACCATAGGCCTCAAAGAGCTCGAAATATCCACTTCCAGGTAGTGCCGAAAGAGTGTTTCAAACCTACTCTATAAAAGGGAATATTCAACTCTGTGACTTGAATGCAAACATCACAAAGCAGTTTCTGAGAATGCTTCCGTCTAGATTTTTTATGAAGATATTCCCGTTTCCAACGAAATCTTCAAAGCTATCTAAATATCAACTTGCAGATTCTACTAAAGGAATGTTTCCAAAATGCTGTATCCAAACAAAGGTTCAACTCTGTGAATTGAGGACATACAGCACAAAGAAGTTTCTGAGAATGCTCTTGTATGGATTTTATATGAAGATAACCCATTTCCAACGAAATCCTCAAAGCTCTCCAAATATCCACTTGCAGATTCTACCAAAAGAGTGTTTCAAAACTGCTCTGTCAAAAGGAAGGTTCAACACTGTTACTTGAGTACACACAACACAAAGAAGTTTCTGAGAATGCTTCTTTCTGGTTTTTATGAGAAGATATTTCCTTTTTCAACATAGGCCTCAAAGCGCCCGAAATGTCCGCTTCCAGGTAGTGCAGAAAGAGTGTTTCAAACCTGCTCTATGAAAGGAAGTGTTCAACCCTACTGAGTTGAATGCAAACATCACAGAGATGTTTCCGAGAATGCTTCTGTCTTGGTTTTATATGAAGATATTCCGGTTTCCAATGAAATCTTCAAAGCTATCCAAATATCCACCTGCAGATTCTACAAAAGGAGTGTTTCCAAAATGCTGTATCAAAACAAAGGTTCAACTCTGTTAGTTGAGGACACACATCACAAATAAGTTTCTGAGGATGCTTCTGTCTAGTTTTTATTTGAAGGTATTTCCTTTCTCTCCATAGGCCTGAAAGCGCTTGAAATGCCCACTTCCAGATACTAGAGAAAGAGTGTTTCAAACCTGCTCTATGAAAGGGAATGTTCAATTCTGTGACTTGAATGCAAACATCACAAAGAAGTTCCTGAGAATGCTTCTCTCTAGATATTATATGTCATCCCGTTTCCAACGAAATCCTCAAAGCTATCCAAATATCCACTTGCAGATTCTACAAAAAGAGTGTTTCAAAACTGCTCTGTCAAAAGGATGGTTCAACACTGTTACATGAGTACACACAACACAAAGAAGTTTCTGAGAATGCTTCTTTCTGGTTTTTATGAGAAGATATTTCCTTTTTCACCATAGGCCTCAAAGCGCTCGAAATGTCCACTTCCAGGTAGTGCAGAAAGAGTGTTTCAAACCTGCTCTATGAAAGGAAGTGTTCAACTCCATGAGCTGAATGCAAACATCACAGAGAAGTTCCTGAGAATGCTTCTGTTTGATTTTATATGAAGAAATTCCCGTTTCCAACGAAATCTTCAAAGCTATCCACATATCCACCTGCAGATTCTTCAAAAGGAGTGTTTCCAAAATGCTGTATCAAAACCAAGGTTCAACTCTGTTAGTTGAGGACACACATCACAAATAAGTTTCTGAGAATGCTTCTGTCTAGATTCTATATGAAGATATCCCCTTTCCAACGAATCCCTCTAAGCTATCCAAATATCCACCTGCAGATTCTACAAAAAGAGTGTTTCCAAAATGCTGTATCAAAACAAAGTTTCAACTCTGTTAGTTGAGGACACACATCACAAATAAGTTTGAGGATGCTTCTGTCTAGTTTTTATTCGAAGATATTTCCTTTCTCACCATAGGCCTGAAAGCGCTTGAAATGTCCACTTCCAGATACTACAGAATGAGTGTTTCAAACCTGCTCTATCAAAGTGAATGTTCAATTCTGTGACTTCAATGCAAACATCACAAAGAAGTTCCTGAGAATGCTTCTCTCTAGATTTTATATGTAATCCCGCTTCCAACGAAATCCTCAGAGCCATCCGAATATCCACTTTCTGATTCCACAAAAAGAGTGTTTTAAAACGGCTCTGTAAAAACAAAAGTTCAACTCTGTTAGTTGAATACACACATCACAAACAAGTTTCTGAGAATGCTTCTGTCTAGTTTTTATGGGAAGATATTTCCTTTTTCACCATAGGCCTCAAAGCGCTCGAAATGTCCACTTCCAGATAGCGCAGAAAGAGTGTTTCAAACGTGCTCTATAAAAGGGAATATTCAACTCTGTGACTTGAATGGAAACATCACAAAGCAGTTTCTGAGAATGCTTCCGTCTAGATTTTATATGAAGATATTCCCGTTTCCAACGAAATCTTCAAATCTATCTAAATATCAACTTGCAGATTCTACTAAAGGAATGTTTCCAAAATGCTGTATCCAAGCAATGGTTCAACTCTGTTAATTGAGGACATACAGCACAAAGAAGTTTCTGAGAATGCTTCTGTCTAGATTTTATATGAAGATATCCCGTTTCCAACGAAATCCTCAAAGCTATCCAAATATCCACTTGCAGATTCTACAGAAAGATTGTTTCAAAACTGCTGTGTCAAAAGGAAGGTTCAACTCTGTTACTTGAGTACACACATCAAAAAGCAGTTTCTCAGAATGCTTGTTTCTGGTTTTTATGAGAAGATATTTCCTTTTTCACCATAGGCCTCAAAGCGCTGCAAATGTCCACTTCCAAATATTACAAAAAGAGTGTTTCAAACCTGCTCTATGAAAGGAAGTTTTCAACTCTATGAGTGGAATGCAAACATCACAGAGAAGTTTCTGAGAATGCATCTGTCTTGAGCTTCTATGAAGAAATTCCCGTTTCCAACGAAATCTTAAAATCTATCCAAATATCCACCTGCAGATCCTACAAAAGGAGTGTTTCCAAAATGCTGTATCAAAACAAAGGTTCAACTGTGTTCGTTTAGGACACACATCACAAATAAGTTTCTGAGAATCCTTCTGTCTAGTTTTTATTTGAAGATATTTCCTTTCTCCCCGTAGGCCTGAAAGCGCTTGAAATGTCCACTTCCAGATACTACAGAAAGAGTGTTTCAAACCTGCACTCTGAAAAGGAATGTTCAATTCTGTGACTTGAATGCAAACATCAGAAAGAAGTTCCTGAGAATGCTTCTCTCTAGATTTTATACGTCATCCCGTTTCCAACGAAATCCACAAAGCTATCCAATTATCCACTTTCAGATTCCACAAAGAGTGTTTTAAAATTGCTCTGTAACAGAAATGTTCAACTCTGTTAGTTGAATACACACATCACAAACAAGTTTCTGAGACGGCTTCTGTCTAGTTTTTATGGGAAGATATTTCCTTTTAACCATAGGCCTCAAAGAGCTCGAAATATCCACTTCCAGGTAGTGCCGAAAGAGTGTTTCAAACCTACTCTATAAAAGGGAATATTCAACTCTGTGACTTGAATGCAAACATCACAAAGCAGTTTCTGAGAATGCTTCCGTCTAGATTTTCTATGAAGATATTCCCGTTTCCAACGAAATCTTCAAAGCTATCTAAATATCAACTTGCAGATTCTACTAAAGGAATGTCTCCAAAATGCTGTATCCAAACAAAGGTTCAGCTCTGTGAATTGAGGACATACAGCACAAAGAAGTTTCTGAGAATGCTCCTGTCTGGATTTTATAGGAAGATAACCCGTTTCCAACGAAATCCTCAAAGCTATCCAAATATCCACTTGCAGATTCTACCAAAAGAGTGTTTCAAAACTGCTCTGTCAAAAGGAAGGTTCAACACTGTTACTTGAGTACACACAACACAAAGAAGTTTCTGAGAATGCTTCTTTCTGGTTTTTATGAGAAGATATTTCCTTTTTCACCATAGGCCTCAAAGCGCTCGAAATGTCCGCTTCCAGGTAGGGCAGAAAGAGTGTTTCAAACCTGCTCTATGAAAGGAAGTGTTCAACTCTACTGAGTTGAATGCAAACATCACAGAGATGTTTCCGAGAATGCTTCTGTCTTGATTTTATATGAAGATATTCCGGTTTCCAACGAAATCTTCAAAGCTATCCAAATATCCACCTGCAGATTCTACAAAAGGAGTGTTTCCAAAATGCTGTATCAAAACAAAGGTTCAACTCTGTTAGTTGAGGACACACATCACAAATAAGTTTCTGAGAATGCTTCTGTCTAGTTTTTATTTGAAGGTATTTCCTTTCTCTCCATAGGCCTGAAAGCGCTTGAAATGCCCACTTCCAGATACTAGAGAAAGAGTGTTTCAAACCTGCTCTATGAAAGGGAATGTTCAATTCTGTGACTTGAATGCAAACATCACAAAGAAGTTCCTGAGAATGCTTCTCTCTAGATATTATATGTCATCCCGTTTCCAACGAAATCCTCAAAGCTATCCAAATATCCACTTGCAGATTCTACAAAAAGAGTGTTTCAAAACTGCTCTGTCAAAAGGATGGTTCAACACTGTTACATGAGTACACACAACACAAAGAAGTTTCTGAGAATGCTTCTTTCTGGTTTCTATGAGAAGATATTTCCTTTTTCACCATAGGACTCAAAGCGCTCGAAATGTCCTCTTCCAGGTAGTGCAGAAAGAGTGTTTCAAACCGGCTCTATGAAGGGAAGTGTTCAACTCCATGAACTGAATGCAAACATCACTGAGAAGTTTCTGAGAATGCTTCTGTTTGATTTTATATGAAGAAATTCCCGTTTCCAACGAAATCTTCAGAGCTATCCACATATCCACCTGCAGATTCTACAAAAGGAGTGTTTCCAAAATGCTGTATCAAAACCAAAGTTCAACTCTGTTAGTTGAGGACACACATCACAAATAAGTTTCTGAGAATGCTTCTGTCTAGATTCTATATGAAGATATCCCCTTTCCAACGAATCCCTCTAAGCTATCCAAATATCCACCTGCAGATTCTACAAAAAGAGTGTTTCCAAAATGCTGTATCAAAACAAAGTTTCAACTCTGTTAGTTGAGGACACACATCACAAATAAGTTTGAGGATGCTTCTGTCTAGTTTTTATTCGAAGATATTTCCTTTCTCACCATAGGCCTGAAAGCGCTTGAAATGTCCACTTCCAGATACTACAGAATGAGTGTTTCAAACCTGCTCTATCAAAGTGAATGTTCAATTCTGTGACTTCAATGCAAACATCACAAAGAAGTTCCTGAGAATGCTTCTCTCTAGATTTTATATGTAATCCCGCTTCCAACGAAATCCTCAGAGCCATCCGAATATCCACTTTCTGATTCCACAAAAAGAGTGTTTTAAAACGGCTCTGTAAAAACAAAAGTTCAACTCTGTTAGTTGAATACACACATCACAAACAAGTTTCTGAGAATGCTTCTGTCTAGTTTTTATGGGAAGATATTTCCTTTTTCACCATAGGCCTCAAAGCGCTCGAAATGTCCACTTCCAGATAGCGCAGAAAGAGTGTTTCAAACGTGCTCTATAAAAGGGAATATTCAACTCTGTGACTTGAATGGAAACATCACAAAGCAGTTTCTGAGAATGCTTCCCTCTAGATTTTATATGGAGATATTCCGTTTTCGAACGAAATCTTCAAATCTATCTAAATATCAACTTGCAGATTCTACTCAAGGAATGTTTCCAAAATGCTGTATGCAAGCAATGGTTCAACTCTGTTAATTGAGGTCATACAGCACAAAGAAGTTTCTGAGAATGCTTCTGTCTAGATTTTATATGAAGATATCCCGTTTCCAACGAAATCATCAAAGCTATCCAAATGTCCACTTGCAGATTCTACAAAAAGATTGTTTCAAAACTGCTGTGTCAAAAGGAAGGTTCAACTCTGATATTTGAGTACACACATCAAAAAGAAGTTTCTGAGAATGCTTGTTTCTGGTTTTTATGAGAAGATATTTCCTTTTTCACCATAGGCCTCAAAGCGCTGCAAATGTCCACTTCCAAATATTTCAAAAAGAGTGTTTCAAACCTGCTCTATGAAAGGAAGTTTTCAACTCTATGAGTGGAATGCAAACATCACAGTGAAGTTTCTGAGAATGCATCTGTCTTGAGTTTATATGAAGGAATTGCCGTTTCCAACGAAATCTTAAAATCTATCCAAATATCCACCTGCAGATTCTACAAAGGGAGTGTTTCCAAAATGCTGTATCAATACAAAGGTATAACTGTGTTCGTTTAGGACACACATCACCAATAAGTTTCTGAGAATCCTTCTGTCTAGTTTTTATTTGAAGATATTTCCTTTCTCCCCATAGGCCTGAAAGCGCTTGAAATGTCCACTTCCAGATACTACAGAAAGAGTGTTTCAAACCTGCACTCTGAAAAGGAATGTCAATTCTGTGACTTGAATGCAAACATCAGAAAGAAGTTCCTGAGAATGCTTCTCTCTAGATTTTATACGTAATCCCGTTTCCAACGAAATCCACAAAGCTATCCAATTATCCACTTTCAGATTCCACAAAAAGAGTGTTTTAAAACTGCTCTGTAGAAAGAAATGTTCAACGCTCTTAGTTGAATACACACATCTCAAACAAGTTTCTGAGAAGGCTTCTGTCTAGTTTTTATGGGAAGATATTTCCTTTTAACCATAGGCCTCAAAGAGCTCGAAATATCCACTTCCAGGTAGTGCCGAAAGAGTGTTTCAAACCTACTCTATAAAAGGGAATATTCAACTCTGTGACTTGAATGCAAACATCACAAAGCAGTTTCTGAGAATGCTTCCGTCTAGATTTTCTATGAAGATATTCCCGTTTCCAACGAAATCTTCAAAGCTATCTAAATATCAACTTGCAGATTCTACTAAAGGAATGTCTCCAAAATGCTGTATCCAAACAAAGGTTCAGCTCTGTGAATTGAGGACATACAGCACAAAGAAGTTTCTGAGAATGCTCCTGTCTGGATTTTATATGAAGATAACCCGTTTCCAACGAAATCCTCAAAGCTCTCCAAATATCCACTTGCAGATTCTACCAAAAGAGTGTTTCAAAACTGCTCTGTCAAAAGGAAGGTTCAACACTGTTACTTGAGTACACACAACACAAAGAAGTTTCTGAGAATGCTTCTTTCTGGTTTTTATGAGAAGATATTTCCTTTTTCACCATAGGCCTCAAAGCGCTCGAAATGTCCGCTTCCAGGTAGTGCAGAAAGAGTGTTTCAAACCTGCTCTATGAAAGGAAGTGTTCAACTCTACTGAGTTGAATGCAAACATCACAGAGATGTTTCCGAGAATGCTTCTGTCTTGATTTTATATGAAGATATTCCGGTTTCCAACGAAATCTTCAAAGCTATCCAAATATCCACCTGCAGATTCTACAAAAGGAGTGTTTCCAAAATGCTGTATCAAAACAAAGGTTCAACTCTGTTAGTTGAGGACACACATCACAAATAAGTTTCTGAGAATGCTTCTGTCTAGTTTTTATTTGAAGGTATTTCCTTTCTCTCCATAGGCCTGAAAGCGCTTGAAATGCCCACTTCCAGATACTAGAGAAAGAGTGTTTCAAACCTGCTCTATGAAAGGGAATGTTCAATTCTGTGACTTGAATGCAAACATCACAAAGAAGTTCCTGAGAATGCTTCTCTCTAGATATTATATGTCATCCCGTTTCCAACGAAATCCTCAAAGCTATCCAAATATCCACTTGCAGATTCTACAAAAAGAGTGTTTCAAAACTCCTCTGTCAAAAGGATGGTTCAACACTGTTACATGAGTACACACAACACAAAGAAGTTTCTGAGAATGCTTCTTTCTGGTTTCTATGAGAAGATATTTCCTTTTTCACCATAGGACTCAAAGCGCTCAAAATGTCCTCTTCCAGGTAGTGCAGAAAGAGTGTTTCAAACCTGCTCTATGAAAGGAAGTGTTCAACTCCATGAGCTGAATGCAAACATCACTGAGAAGTTTCTGAGAATGCTTCTGTTTGATTTTATATGAAGAAATTCCCGTTTCCAACGAAATCCTCAAAGCTATCCACATATCCACCTGCAGATTCTACAAAAGGAGTGTTTCCAAAATGCTGTATCAAAACCAAGGTTCAACTCTGTTAGTTGAGGACACACATCACAAATAAGTTTCTGAGAATGCTTCTGTCTAGATTTTATATGAAGATATCCCCTTTCCAACGAATCCCTCTAAGCGATCCAAATATCCACCTGCAGATTCTACAAAAAGAGTGTTTCCAAAATGCTGTATCAAAACAAAGTTTCAACCCTGTTAGTTGAGGACACACATCACAAATAAGTTTCTGAGGATGCTTCTGTCTAGTTTTTATTCGAAGATATTTCCTTTCCCACCATAGGCCTGAAAGCGCTTGAAATGTCCACTTCCAGATACTACAGAATGAGTGTTTCAAACCTGCTCTATCAAAGTGAATGTTCAATTCTGTGACTTCAATGCAAACATCACAAAGAAGTTCCTGAGAATGCTTCTCTCTAGATTTTATATGTAATCCCGCTTCCAACGAAATCCTCAGAGCCATCCGAATATCCACTTTCTGATTCCACAAAAAGAGTGTTTTAAAACGGCTCTGTAAAAACAAAAGTTCAACTCTGTTAGTTGAATACACACATCACAAACAAGTTTCTGAGAATGCTTCTGTCTAGTTTTTATGGGAAGATATTTCCTTTTTCACCATAGGCCTCAAAGCGCTCGAAATGTCCACTTCCAGATAGTGCAGAAAGAGTGTTTCAAACGTGCTCTATAAAAGAGAATATTCAACTCTGTGACTTGAATGGAAACATCACAAAGCAGTTTCTGAGAATGCTTCCGTCTAGATTTTCTATGAAGATATTCCCTTTTCCAACGAAATCTTCAAATCTATCTAAATATCAACTTGCAGATTCTACTAAAGGAATGTTTCCAAAATGCTGTATCCAAGCAATGGTTCAACTCTGTTAATTGAGGACATACAGCACAAAGAAGTTTCTGAGAATGCTTCTGTCTAGATTTTATATGAAGATATCCCGTTTCCAACGAAATCCTCAAAGCTATCCAAATATCCACTTGCAGATTCTACAAAAAGATTGTTTCAAAACTGCTGTGTCAAAAGGAAGGTTCAACTCTGTTACTTGAGTACACACATCAAAAAGAAGTTTCTGAGAATGCTTGTTTCTGGTTTTTATGAGAAGATATTTCCTTTTTCACCATAGGCCTCAAAGCGCTGCAAATGTCCACTTCCAAATATTACAAAAAGAGTGTTTCAAACCTGCTCTATGAAAGGAAGTTTTCAACTCTATGAGTGGAATGCACACATCACAGAGAAGTTTCTGAGAATGCATCTGTCTTGAGTTTATATGAAGAAATTCCCGTTTCCAACGAAATCTTAAAATCTATCCAAATATCCACCTGCAGATTCTACAAAGGGAGTGTTTCCAAAATGCTGTATCAAAACAAAGGTTCAACTGTGTTCGTTTAGGACACACATCACCAATAAGTTTCTGAGAATCCTTATCTGTCTAGTTTTTATTCGAAGATATTTCCTTTCTCCACGAAGGCCTGAAAGCGCTTGAAATGTCCACTTCCAGATACTACAGAAAGAGTGTTTCAAACCTGCACTCTGAAAAGGAATGTTCAATTCTGTGACTTGAATGCAAACATCAGAAAGAAGTTCCTGAGAATGCTTCTCTCTAGATTTTATACGTCATCCCGTTTCCAACGAAATCCACAAAGCTATCCAATTATCCACTTTCTGATTCCACAGAAAGAGTGTTTTAAAATTGCTCTGTAACAGAAATGTTCAACTCTGGTAGTTGAATACACACATCACAAACAAGTTTCTGAGACGGCTTCTGTCTAGTTTTTATGGGAAGATATTTCCTTTTAACCATAGGCCTCAAAGAGCTCGAAATATCCACTTCCAGGTAGTGCCGAAAGAGTGTTTCAAACCTACTCTATAAAAGGGAATATTCAACTCTGTGACTTGAATGCAAACATCACAAAGCAGTTTCTGAGAATGCTTCCGTCTAGATTTTTTATGAAGATATTCCCGTTTCCAACGAAATCTTCAAAGCTATCTAAATATCAACTTGCAGATTCTACTAAAGGAATGTTTCCAAAATGCTGTATCCAAGCAATGGTTCAACTCTGTGAATTGAGGACATACAGCACAAAGAAGTTTCTGAGAATGCTTCTGTCTAGATTTTATATGAAGATATCCCGTTTCCAACGAAATCCTCAAAGCTATCCAAATATCCACTTGCAGATTCTACAAAAAGATTGTTTCAAAACTGCTCTGTCAAAAGGATGGTTCAACACTGTTACATGAGTACACACAACACAAAGAAGTTTCTGAGAACGCTTCTTTCTGGTTTCTATGAGAAGATATTTCCTTTTTCACCATAGGACTCAAAGCGCTCGAAATGTCCTCTTCCAGGTAGTGCAGAAAGAGTGTTTCAAACCTGCTCTATGAAAGGAAGTGTTCAACTCCATGAGCTGAATGCAAACATCACTGAGAAGTTTCTGAGAATGCTTCTGTTTGATTTTATATGAAGAAATTCCCGTTTCCAACAAAATCTTCAGAGCTATCCACATATCCACCTGCAGATTCTACAAAAGGAGTGTTTCCAAAATGCTGTATCAAAACCAAGGTTCAACTCTGTTAGTTGAGGACACACATCACAAATAAGTTTCTGAGAATGCTTCTGTCTAGATTTTATATGAAGATATCTCCTTTCCAACGAATCCCTCTAAGCTATCCAAATATCCACCTGCAGATTCTACAAAAAGAGTGTTTCCAAAATGCTGTATCAAAACAAAGTTTCAACTCTGTTAGTTGAGGACACACATCACAAATAAGTTTCTGAGGATGCTTCTGTCTAGTTTTAATTTGAAGATATTTCCTTTCTCCCCATAGGCCTGAAAGCACTTGAAATGTCCACTTCCAGATACTACAGAATGAGTGTTTCAAACCTGCTCTATCAAAGTGAATGTTCAATTCTGTGACTTCAATGCAAACATCACAAAGTAGTTCCTGAGAATGCTTCTCTCTACATTTTATATGTAATCCCGCTTCCAACGAAATCCTCAAAGCCATCCGAATATCCACTTTCTGATTCCACAAAAAGATTGTTTTAAAACTGCTCTGTAAAAACAAAAGTTCAAGTCTGTTAGTTGAATACACACATCACAAACAAGTTTCTGAGAATGCTTCTGTCTAGTTTTTATGGGAAGATATTTCCTTTTTCACCATAGGCCTCAAAGCGCTCGAAATGTCCACTTCCAGATAGTGCCGAAAGAGTGTTTCAAACGTGCTCTATAAAAGGGAATATTCAACTCTGTGACTTGAATGGAAACATCACAAAGCAGTTTCTGAGAATGCCTCCGTCTAGATTTTATATGAAGATATTCCCGTTTCCAACGAAATCTTCAAATCTATCTAAATATCAACTTGCAGATTCTACTAAAGGAATGTTTCCAAAATGCTGTATCCAAGCAATGGTTCAACTCTGTTAATTGAGGACATACAGCACAAAGAAGTTTCTGAGAATGCTTCTGTCTAGATTTTATATGAAGATATCCCGTTTCCAACGAAATCCTCAAAGCTATCCAAATATCCACTTGCAGATTCTACAAAAAGATTGTTTCAAAACTGCTGTGTCAAAAGGAAGGTTCAACTCTGTTACTTGAGTACACACATCAAAAAGAAGTTTCTGAGAATGCTTGTTTCTGGTTTTTATGAGAAGATATTTCCTTTTTCACCATAGGCCTCAAAGCGCTGCAAATGTCCACTTCCAAATATTACAAAAAGAGTGTTTCAAACCTGCTCTATGAAAGGAAGTTTTCAACTCTATGAGTGGAATGCAAACATCACAGAGAAGTTTCTGAGAATGCATCTGTCTTGAGCTTCTATGAAGAAATTCCCATTTCCAACGAAATCTTAAAATCTATCCAAATATCCACCTGCAGATCCTACAAAAGGAGTGTTTCCAAAATGCTGTATCAAAACAAAGGTTCAACTGTGTTCGTTTAGGACACACATCACAAATAAGTTTCTGAGAATCCTTCTGTCTAGTTTTTATTTGAAGATATTTCCTTTCTCCCCACAGGCCTGAAAGCGCTTGAAATGTCCACTTCCAGATACTACAGAAAGAGTGTTTCAAACCTGCACTATGAAAAGGAATGTTCAATTCTGTGACTTGAATGCAAACATCAGAAAGAAGTTCCTGAGAATGCTTCTCTCTAGATTTTATACGTCATCCCGTTTCCAACGAAATCCACAAAGCTATCCAATTATCCACTTTCAGATTCCACAAAGAGTGTTTTAAAATTGCTCTGTAACAGAAATGTTCAACTCTGTTAGTTGAATACACACATCACAAACAAGTTTCTGAGACGGCTTCTGTCTAGTTTTTATGGGAAGATATTTCCTTTTAACCATAGGCCTCAAAGAGCTCGAAATATCCACTTCCAGGTAGTGCCGAAAGAGTGTTTCAAACCTACTCTATAAAAGGGAATATTCAACTCTGTGACTTGAATGCAAACATCACAAAGCAGTTTCTGAGAATGCTTCCGTCTAGCATTTTATATGAAGATATTCCCGTTTCCAACGAAATCTTCAAAGCTATCTAAATATCAACTTGCAGATTCTACTAAAGGAATGTTTCCAAAATGCTGTATCCAAGCAATGGTTCAACTCTGTTAATTGAGGACATACAGCACAAAGAAGTTTCTGAGAATGCTTCTGTCTAGATTTTATATGAAGATATCCCGTTTCCAACGAAATCCTCAAAGCTATCCAAATATCCACTTGCAGATTCTACAAAAAGATTGTTTCAAAACTGCTGTGTCAAAAGGAAGGTTCAACTCTGTTACTTGAGTACACACATCAAAAAGCAGTTTCTGAGAATGCTTGTTTCTGGTTTTTATGAGAAGATATTTCCTTTTTCACCATAGGCCTCAAAGCGCTGCAAATGTCCACTTCCAAATATTACAAAAAGAGTGTTTCAAACCTGCTCTATGAAAGGAAGTTTTCAACTCTATGAGTGGAATGCACACATCACAGAGAAGTTTCTGAGAATGCATCTGTCTTGAGTTTATATGCAGAAATTCCCGTTTCCAACGAAATCTTAAAATCTATCCAAATATCCACCTGCAGATCCTACAAAAGGAGTGTTTCCAAAATGCTGTATCAAAACAAAGGTTCAACTGTGTTCGTTTAGGACACACATCACAAATAAGTTTCTGAGAATCCTTCTGTCTAGTTTTTATTTGAAGATATTTCCTTTCTCCCCGTAGGCCTGAAAACGCTTGAAATGTCCACTTCCAGATACTACAGAAAGAGTGTTTCAAACCTGCACTCTGAAAAGGAATGTTCAATTCTGTGACTTGAATGCAAACATCAGAAAGAAGTTCCTGAGAATGCTTCTCTCTAGATTTTATACGTCATCCCGTTTCCAACGAAATCCACAAAGCTATCCAATTATCCACTTTCAGATTCCACAGAAAGAGTGTTTTAAAATTGCTCTGTAACAGAAATGTTCAACTCTGGTAGTTGAATACACACATCACAAACAAGTTTCTGAGACGGCTTCTGTCTAGTTTTTATGGGAAGATATTTCCTTTTAACCATAGGCCTCAAAGAGCTCGAAATATCCACTTCCAGGTAGTGCCGAAAGAGTGTTTCAAACCTACTCTATAAAAGGGAATATTCAACTCTGTGACTTGAATGCAAACATCACAAAGCAGTTTCTGAGAATGCTTCCGTCTAGATTTTCTATGAAGATATTCCCGTTTCCAACGAAATCTTCAAAGCTATCTAAATATCAACTTGCAGATTCTACTAAAGGAATGTCTCCAAAATGCTGTATCCAAACAAAGGTTCAGCTCTGTGAATTGAGGACATACAGCACAAAGAAGTTTCTGAGAATGCTCCTGTCTGGATTTTATATGAAGATAACCCGTTTCCAACGAAATCCTCAAAGCTATCCAAATATCCACTTGCAGATTCTACCAAAAGAGTGTTTCAAAACTGCTCTGTCAAAAGGAAGGTTCAACACTGTTACTTGAGTACACACAACACAAAGAAGTTTCTGAGAATGCTTCTTTCTGGTTTTTATGAGAAGATATTTCCTTTTTCACCATAGGCCTCAAAGCGCTCGAAATGTCCACTTCCAGGTAGGGCAGAAAGAGTGTTTCAAACCTGCTCTATGAAAGGACGTGTTCAACTCTACTGAGTTGAATGCAAACATCACAGAGATGTTTCCGAGAATGCTTCTGTCTTGATTTTATATGAAGATATTCCGGTTTCCAACGAAATCTTCAAAGCTATCCAAATATCCACCTGCAGATTCTACAAAAGGAGTGTTTCCAAAATGCTGTATCAAAACAAAGGTTCAACTCTGTTAGTTGAGGACACACATCACAAATAAGTTTCTGAGAATGCTTCTGTCTAGTTTTTATTTGAAGGTATTTCCTTTCTCTCCATAGGCCTGAAAGCGCTTGAAATGCCCACTTCCAGATACTAGAGAAAGAGTGTTTCAAACCTGCTCTATGAAAGGGAATGTTCAATTCTGTGACTTGAATGCAAACATCACAAAGAAGTTCCTGAGAATGCTTCTCTCTAGATATTATATGTCATCCCGTTTCCAACGAAATCCTCAAAGCTATCCAAATATCCACTTGCAGATTCTACAAAAAGAGTGTTTCAAAACTCCTCTGTCAAAAGGATGGTTCAACACTGTTACATGAGTACACACAACACAAAGAAGTTTCTGAGAATGCTTCTTTCTGGTTTTTATGAGAGGATATTTCCTTTTTCACCATAGGCCTCAAAGCGCTCGAAATGTCCACTTCCAGGTAGTGCAGAAAGAGTGTTTCAAACCTGCTCTATGAAAGGAAGTGTTCAACTCCATGAGCTGAATGCAAACATCACAGAGAAGTTCCTGAGAATGCTTCTGTTTGATTTTATATGAAGAAATTCCCGTTTCCAACGAAATCTTCAAAGCTATCCACATATCCACCTGCAGATTCTACAAAAGGAGTGTTTCCAAAATGCTGTATCAAAACCAAGGTTCCACTCTGTTAGTTGAGGACACACATCACAAATAAGTTTCTGAGAATGCTTCTGTCTAGATTTTATATGAAGATATCCCCTTTCCAACGAATCCCTCTAAGCTATCCAAATATCCACCTGCAGATTCTACAAAAAGAGTGTTTCCAAAATGCTGTATCAAAACAAAGTTTCAACTCTGTTAGTTGAGGACACACATCACAAATAAGTTTGAGGATGCTTCTGTCTAGTTTTTATTCGAAGATATTTCCTTTCTCACCATAGGCCTGAAAGCGCTTGAAATGTCCACTTCCAGATACTACAGAATGAGTGTTTCAAACCTGCTCTATCAAAGTGAATGTTCAATTCTGTGACTTCAATGCAAACATCACAAAGAAGTTCCTGAGAATGCTTCTCTCTAGATATTATATGTAATCCCGCTTCCAACGAAGTCCTCAAAGCCATCCGAATATCCACTTTCTGATTCCACAAAAGGATTGTCTTAAAACTGCTCTGTAAAAACAAAAGTTCAAGTCTGTTAGTTGAATACACACATCACAAACAAGTTTCTGAGAATGCTTCTGTCTAGTTTTTATGTGGAAGATATTTCCTTTTTCACCATAGGCCTCACAGCGCTCGAAATGTCCACTTCCAGAGAGTGCAGAAAGAGTGTTTCAAACGTGCTCTATAAAAGAGAATATTCAACTCTGTGACTTGAATGGAAACATCACAAAGCAGTTTCTGAGAATGCCTCCGTCTAGATTTTATATGAAGATATTCCCGTTTCCAACGAAATCTTCAAATCTATCTAAATATCAACTTGCAGATTCTACTAAAGGAATGTTTCCAAAATGCTGTATCCAAGCAATGGTTCAACTCTGTTAATTGAGGACATACAGCACAAAATAGTTTCTGAGAATGCTTCTGTCTAGATTTTATATGAAGATATCCCGTTTCCAACGAAATCCTCAAAGCTATCCAAATATCCACTTGCAGATTCTACAAAAAGATTGTTTCAAAACTGCTGTGTCAAAAGGAAGGTTCAACTCTGTTACTTGAGTACACACATCAAAAAGCAGTTTCTGAGAATGCTTCTTTCTGGTTTTTATGAGAAGATATTTCCTTTTTCACCATAGGCCTCAAAGCGCTGCAAATGTTCACTTCCAAATATTACAAAAAGAGTGTTTCAAACCTGCTCTATGAAAGGAAGTTTTCAACTCTTTGAGTGGAATGCAAACATCACAGAGAAGTTTCTGAGAATGCATCTGTCTTGAGCTTCTATGAAGAAATTCCCGTTTCCAACGAAATTTTAAAATCTATCCCAAATATCCACCTGCAGATCCTACAAAAGGAGTGTTTCCAAAATGCTGTATCAAAACAAAGGTTCAACTGTGTTCGTTTAGGACACACATCACAAATAAGTTTCTGAGAATCCTTCTGTCTAGTTTTTATTTGAAGATATTTCCTTTCTCCCCGTAGGCCTGAAAGCGCTTGAAATGTCCACTTCCAGATACTACAGAAAGAGTGTTTCAAACCTGCACTCTGAAAAGGAATGTTCAATTCTGTGACTTGAATGCAAACATCAGAAAGAAGTTCCTGAGAATGCTTCTCTCTAGATTTTATACGTCATCCCGTTTCCAACGAAATCCACAAAGCTATCCAATTATCCACTTTCAGATTCCACAAAAAGAGTGTTTTAAAATTGCTCTGTAACAGAAATGTTCAACTCTGGTAGTTGAATACACACATCACAAACAAGTTTCTGAGACGGCTTCTGTCTAGTTTTTATGGGAAGATATTTCCTTTTAACCATAGGCCTCAAAGAGCTCGAAATATCCACTTCCAGGTAGTGCCGAAAGAGTGTTTCAAACCTACTCTATAAAAGGGAATATTCAACTCTGTGACTTGAATGCAAACATCACAAAGCAGTTTCTGAGAATGCTTCCGTCTAGATTTTATATGAAGATATTCCCGTTTCCAACGAAATCTTCAAAGCTATCTAAATATCAACTTGCAGATTCTACTAAAGGAATGTTTCCAAAATGTTGTATCCAAGCAATGGTTCAACTCTGTTAATTGAGGACATACAGCACAAAGAAGTTTCTGAGAATGCTCCTGTCTGGATTTTATATGAAGATATCCCGTTTCCAACGAACTCCTCAAAGCTATCCAAATATCCACTTGCAGATTCTACAAAAAGATTGTTTCAAAACTGCTGTGTCAATAGGAAGGTTCAAGTCTGTTACTTGAGTACACACATCAAAAAGAAGTTTCTGAGAATGCTTGTTTCTGGTTTTTATGAGAAGATATTTCCTTTTTCACCATAGGCCTCAAAGCGCTGCAAATGTCCACTTCCAAATATTACAAAAAGAGTGTTTCAAACGTGCTCTATGAAAGGAAGTTTTCAACTCTATGAGTGGAATGCAAACATCACAGAGAAGTTTCGGAGAATGCATCTGTCTTGAGCTTCTATGAAGAAATTCCCGTTTCCAACGAAATCTTAAAATCTATCCAAATATCCACCTGCAGATCCTACAAAAGGAGTGTTTCCAAAATGCTGTATCAAAACAAAGGTTCAACTGTGTTCGTTTAGGACACACATCACAAATAAGTTTCTGAGAATCCTTCTGTCTAGTTTTTATTTCAAGATATTTCCTTTCTCCCCATAGGCTTGAAAGCGCTTGAAATGTCCACTTCCAGATACTACAGAGTGTTTCAAACCTGCACTATGAAAAGGAATGTTCAATTCTGTGACTTGAATGCAAACATCAGAAAGAAGTTCCTGAGAATGCTTCTCTCTAGATTTTAAACGTCATCCCGTTTCCAACGAAATCCACAAAGCTATCCAATTATCCACTTTCAGATTCCACCAAAAGAGTGTTTTAAAACTGCTCTGTAAAAAGAAATATTCAACGCTCTTAGTTGAATACACACATCTCAAACAAGTTTCTAAGAAGGCTTCCGTCTAGTTTTTATGGGAAGATATTTCCTTTTTCACCATAGGCCTCAAAGCGCTCGAAATCTCCACTTCCAGGGAGTTTAGAAAGAGTGTTTCAAACCTGCTCTATAAAAGAATATTTAACTCTGTGACTTGAATGCAAACATCACAGAGCAGTTTCTGACAATGCTTCCCTCTAGATTTTATATGGAGATATTCCCTTTTCCAACGAAATCTTCAAATCTATCTAAATATCAACTTGCAGATTCTACTCAAGGAATGTTTCCAAAATGCTGTATGCAAGCAATGGTTCAACTCTGTTAATTGAGGTCATACAGCACAAAGAAGTTTCTGAGAATGCTTCTGTCTAGATTTTATATGAAGATATCCCGTTTCCAACGAAATCCTCAAAGCTATCCAAATATCCACTTGCAGATTCTACAAAAAGATTGTTTCAAAACTGCTGTGTCAAAAGGAAGGTTCAACTCTGTTACTTGAGTACACACATCAAAAAGAAGTTTCTGAGAATGCTTGTTTCTGGTTTTTATGAGAAGATATTTCCTTTTTCACCATAGGCCTCAAAGCGCTGCAAATGTCCACTTCCAAATATTACAAAAAGAGTGTTTCAAACCTGCTCTATGAAAGGAAGTTTTCAACTCTATGAGTGGAATGCAAACATCACAGAGAAGTTTCCTGAGAATGCATCTGTCTTGAGTTTATATGAAGAAATTCCCGTTTCCAACGAAATCTTAAAATCTATCCAAATATCCACCTGCAGATTCTACAAAAGGAGTGTTTCCAAAATGCTGTATCAAAACAAAGGTTCAACTGTGTTCTTTTAGGACACACATCACAAATAAGTTTCTGAGAATCCTTCTGTCTAGTTTTTATTTCAAGATATTTCCTTTCTCCCCATAGGCCTGAAAGCGCTTGAAATGTCCACTTCCAGATACTACAGAGTGTTTCAAAACTGCACTATGAAAAGGAATGTTCAATTCTGTGACTTGAATGTAAACATCAGAAAGAATTTCCTGAGAATGCTTCTCTCTAGTATTTTAAACGTAATCCCGTTTCCAACGAAATCCACAAAGCTATCCAATTATCCACTTTCAGATTCCACCAAAAGACTGTTTTAAAACTGCTCTGTAAAAAGAAATGTTCAACGCTCTTAGTTGAATACACACATCTCAAACAAGTTTCTGAGAAGGCTTCTGTCTAGTTTTTATGGGAAGATATTTCCTTTTAACCATAGGCCTCAAAGAGCTCGAAATATCCACTTCCAGGTAGTGCCGAAAGAGTGTTTCAAACCTACTCTATAAAAGGGAATATTCAACTCTGTGATTTGAATGCAAACATCACAAAGCAGTTTCTGAGAAACCTTCCGTCTACATTTTCTATGAAGATATTCCCGTTTCCAACGAAATCTTCAAAGCTATCTAAATATGAACTTGCAGATTTTACTAAAGGAATGTTTCCAAAATGCTGTATCCAAACAAAGGTTCAGCTCTGTGAATTGAGGACATACAGCACAAAGAAGTTTCTGAGAATGCTCCTGTCTGGATTTTATATGAAGATAACCCGTTTCCAATGAAATCCTCAAAGCTATCCAAATATCCACTTGCAGATTCTACCAAAAGAGTGTTTCAAAACTGCTCTGTCAAAAGGAAGGTTCAACACTGTTACTTGAGTACACACAACACAAAGAAGTTTCTGAGAATGCTTCTTTCTGGTTTTTATGAGAAGATATTTCCTTTTTCACCATAGGCCTCAAAGCGCTCGAAATGTCCGCTTCCAGGTAGTGCAGAAAGAGTGTTTCAAACCTGCTCTATGAAAGGAAGTGTTCAACTCTACTGAGTTGAATGCAAACATCACAGAGATGTTTCCGAGAATGCTTCTGTCTTGATTTTATACGAAGATATTCCGGTTTCCAACGAAATCTTCAAAGCTATCCAAATATACACCTGCAGATTCTACAAAAGGAGTGTTTCCAAAATGCTGTATCAAAACAAAGGTTCAACTCTGTTAGTTGAGGACACACATCACAAATAAGTTTCTGATAATGCTTCTGTCTAGTTTTTATTTGAAGGTATTTCCTTTCTCTCCATAGGCCTGAAAGCGCTTGAAATGTCCACTTCCAGATACTAGAGAAAGAGTGTTTCAAACCTGCTCTATGAAAGGGAATGTTCAATTCTGTGACTTGAATGCAAACATCACAAAGAAGTTCCTGAGAATGCTTCTCTCTAGATATTATATGTCATCCCGTTTCCAACGAAATCCTCAAAGCTATCCAAATATCCACTTGCAGATTCTACAAAAAGAGTGTTTCAAAACTGCTCTGTCAAAAGGATGGTTCAACACTGTTACATGAGTACACACAACACAAAGAAGTTTCTGAGAATGCTTCTTTCTGGTTTCTATGAGAAGATATTTCCTTTTTCACCATAGGACTCAAAGCGCTCGAAATGTCCTCTTCCAGGTAGTGCAGAAAGAGTGTTTCAAACCTGCTCTATGAAAGGAAGTGTACAACTCCATGAGCTGAATGCAAACATCACTGAGAAGTTTCTGAGAATGCTTCTGTTTGATTTTATATGAAGAAATTCCCGTTTCCAACGAAATCTTCAGAGCTATCCACATATCCACCTGCAGATTCTACAAAAGGAGTGTTTCCAAAATGCTGTATCAAAACCAAGGTTCAACTCTGTTAGTTGAGGACACACATCACAAATAAGTTTCTGAGAATGCTTCTGTCTAGATTTTATATGAAGATATCCCCTTTCCAACGAATCCCTCTAAGCTATCCAAATATCCACCTGCAGATTCTACAAAAAGAGTGTTTCCAAAATGCTGTATCAAAACAAAGGTTCAACTCTGTTAGTTGAGGACACACATCACAAATAAGTTTGAGGATGCTTCTGTCTAGTTTTTATTCGAAGATATTTCCTTTCTCACCATAGGCCTGAAAGCGCTTGAAATGTCCACTTCCAGATACTACAGAATGAGTGTTTCAAACCTGCTCTATCAAAGTGAATGTTCAATTCTGTGACTTCAATGCAAACATCACAAAGAAGTTCCTGAGAATGCTTCTCTCTAGATTTTATACGTAATCCCACTTCCAACGAAATCCTCAGAGCCATCCGAATATCCACTTTCTGATTCCACAAAAAGAGTGTTTTAAAACGGCTCTGTAAAAACAAAAGTTCAACTCTGTTAGTTGAATACACACATCACAAACAAGTTTCTGAGAATGCTTCTGTCTAGTTTTTATGGGAAGATATTTCCTTTTTCACCATAGGCCTCAAAGCGCTCGAAATGTCCGCTTCCAGATAGTGCAGAAAGAGTGTTTCAAACGTGCTCTATAAAAGGGAATATTCAACTCTGTGACTTGAATGGAAACATCACAAAGCAGTTTCTGAGAATGCTTCCCTCTAGATTTTATATGGAGCTATTCCCTTTTCCAACGAAATCTTCAAATCTATCTAAATATCAACTTGCAGATTCTACTCAAGGAATGTTTCCAAAATGCTGTATCCAAGCAATGGTTCAACTCTGTTAATTGAGGACATACAGCACAAAGAAGTTTCTGAGAATGCTTCTGTCTAGATTTTATATGAAGATATCCCGTTTCCAACGAAATCCTCAAAGCTATCCAAATATCCACTTGCAGATTCTACAAAAAGATTGTTTCAAAACTGCTGTGTCAAAAGGAAGGTTCAACTCTGTTACTTGAGTACACACATCAAAAAGAAGTTTCTGAGAATGCTTGTTTCTGGTTTTTATGAGAAGATATTTCCTTTTTCACCATAGGCCTCAAAGCGCTGCAAATGTCCACTTCCAAATATTACAAAAAGAGTGTTTCAAACCTGCTCTATGAAAGGAAGTTTTCAACTCTATGAGTGGAATGCAAACATCACAGAGAAGTTTCTGAGAATGCATCTGTCTTGAGTTTCTATGCAGAAATTCCCGTTTCCAACGAAATCTTAAAATCTATCCAAATATCCACCTGCAGATCCTACAAAAGGAGTGTTTCCAAAATGCTGTATCAAAACAAAGGTTCAACTGTGTTCGTTTAGGACACACATCACAAATAAGTTTCTGAGAATCCTTCTGTCTAGTTTTTATTTGAAGATATTTCCTTTCTCCCCGTAGGCCTGAAAGCGCTTGAAATGTCCACTTCCAGATACTACAGAAAGAGTGTTTCAAACCTGCACTCTGAAAAGGAATGTTCAATTCTGTGACTTGAATGCAAACATCAGAAAGAAGTTCCTGAGAATGCTTCTCTCTAGATTTTATACGTCATCCCGTTTCTAACGAAATCCACAAAGCTACCCAAATATCCACTTTCAGATTCCACAAAAAGAGTGTTTTAAAATTGCTCTGTAACAGAAATGTTCAACTCTGTTAGTTGAATACACACATCACAAACAAGTTTCTGAGACGGCTTCTGTCTAGTTTTTATGGGAAGATATTTCCTTTTAACCATAGGCCTCAAAGAGCTCGAAATATCCACTTCCAGGTAGTGCCGAAAGAGTGTTTCAAACCTACTCTATAAAAGGGAATATTCAACTCTGTGACTTGAATGCAAACATCACAAAGCAGTTTCTGAGAATGCTTCCGTCTAGATTTTCTATGAAGATATTCCCGTTTCCAACGAAATCTTCAAAGCTATCTAAATATCAACTTGCAGATTCTACTAAAGGAATGTCTCCAAAATGCTGTATCCAAACAAAGGTTCAGCTCTGTGAATTGAGGACATACAGCACAAAGAAGTTTCTGAGAATGCTCCTGTCTGGATTTTATAGGAAGATAACCCGTTTCCAACGAAATCCTCAAAGCTATCCAAATATCCACTTGCAGATTCTACCAAAAGAGTGTTTCAAAACTACTCTGTCAAAAGGAAGGTTCAACACTGTTACTTGAGTACACACAACACAAAGAAGTTTCTGAGAATGCTTCTTTCTGGTTTTTATGAGAAGATATTTCCTTTTTCACCATAGGCCTCAAAGCGCTCGAAATGTCCGCTTCCAGGTAGTGCAGAAAGAGTGTTTCAAACCTGCTCTATGAAAGGAAGTGTTCAACTCTACTGAGTTGAATGCAAACATCACAGAGATGTTTCCGAGAATGCTTCTGTCTTGATTTTATATGAAGATATTCCGGTTTCCAACGAAATCTTCAAAGCTATCCAAATATCCACCTGCAGATTCTACAAAAGGAGTGTTTCCAAAATGCTGTATCAAAACAAAGGTTCAACTCTGTTAGTTGAGGACACACATCACAAATAAGTTTCTGAGAATGCTTCTGTCTAGTTTTTATTTGAAGGTATTTCCTTTCTCTCCATAGGCCTGAAAGCGCTTGAAATGCCCACTTCCAGATACTAGAGAAAGAGTGTTTCAAACCTGCTCTATGAAAGGGAATGTTCAATTCTGTGACTTGAATGCAAACATCACAAAGAAGTTCCTGAGAATGCTTCTCTCTAGATATTATATGTCATCCCGTTTCCAACGAAATCCTCATAGCTATCCAAATATCCACTTGCAGATTCTACAAAAAGAGTGTTTCAAAACTGCTCTGTCAAAAGGATGGTTCAACACTGTTACATGAGTACACACAACACAAAGAAGTTTCTGAGAATGCTTCTTTCTGGTTTCTATGAGAAGATATTTCCTTTTTCACCATAGGACTCAAAGCACTCGAAATGTCCTCTTCCAGGTAGTGCAGAAAGAGTGTTTCAAACCTGCTCTATGAAAGGAAGTGTACAACTCCATGAGCTGAATGCAAACATCACTGAGAAGTTTCTGAGAATGCTTCTGTTTGATTTTATATGAAGAAATTCCCGTTTCCAACGAAATCTTCAGAGCTATCCACATATCCACCTGCAGATTCTACAAAAGGAGTGTTTCCAAAATGCTGTATCAAAACCAAGGTTCAACTCTGTTAGTTGAGGACACACATCACAAATAAGTTTCTGAGAATGCTTCTGTCTAGATTCTATATGAAGATATCCCCTTTCCAACGAATCCCTCTAAGCTATCCAAATATCCACCTGCAGATTCTACAAAAAGAGTGTTTCCAAAATGCTGTATCAAAACAAAGTTTCAACTCTGTTAGTTGAGGACACACATCACAAATAAGTTTGAGGATGCTTCTGTCTAGTTTTTATTTGAAGATATTTCCTTTCTCATCATAGGCCTGAAAGCGCTTGAAATGTCCACTTCCAGATACTACAGCATGAGTGTTTCAAACCTGCTCTATCATAGTGAATGTTCAATTCTGTGACTTCAATGCAAACATCACAAAGTAGTTCCTGAGAATGCTTCTCTCTAGATTTTATATGTAATCACGCTTCCAACGAAATCCTCAAAGCCATCCGAATATCCACTTTCTGATTCCACAAAAAGATTGTTTTAAAACTGCTCTGTAAAAACAAAAGTTCAAGTCTGTTAGTTGAATACACACATCACAAACAAGTTTCTGAGAATGCTTCTGTCTAGTTTTTATGGGAAGATATTTCCTTTTTCACCATAGGCCTCAAAGCGCTCGAAATGTCCACTTCCAGATAGTGCAGAAAGAGTGTTTCAAACGTGCTCTATAAAAGAGAATATTCAACTCCGTGACTTGAATGGAAACGTCACAAAGCAGTTTCTGAGAATGCTTCCGTCTAGATTTTATATGAAGATATTCCCGTTTCCAACGAAATCTTCAAATCTATCTAAATATCAACTTGCAGATTCTACTAAAGGAATGTTTCCAAAATGCTGTATCCAAGCAATGGTTCAACTCTGTTAATTGAGGACATACAGCACAAAGAAGTTTCTGAGAATGCTTCTGTCTAGATTTTATATGAAGATATCCCGTTTCCAACGAAATCCTCAAAGCTATCCAAATATCCACTTGCAGATTCTACAAAAAGATTGTTTCAAAACTGCTGTGTCAAAAGGAAGGTTCAACTCTGTTACTTGAGTACACACATCAAAAAGAAGTTTCTGAGAATGCTTGTTTCTGGTTTTTATGAGAAGATATTTCCTTTTTCACCATAGGCCTCAAAGCGCTGCAAATGTCCACTTCCAAATATTACAAAAAGAGTGTTTCAAACCTGCTCTATGAAAGGAAGTTTTCAACTCTATGAGTGGAATGCAAACATCACAGAGAAGTTTCTGAGAATGCATCTGTCTTGAGTTTATATGAAGAAATTCCCGTTTCCAACGAAATCTTAAAATCTATCCAAATATCCACCTGCAGATTCTACAAAGGGAGTGTTTCCAAAATGCTGTATCAAAACAAAGGTTCAACTGTGTTCGTTTAGGACACACATCACCTATAAGTTTCTGAGAATCCTTCTGTCTAGTTTTTATTTGAAGATATTTCCTTCCTCCCCAGAGGCCTGAAAGCGCTTGAAATGTCCCCTTCCAGATACTACAGAAAGAGTGTTTCAAACCTGCACTATGAAAAGGAATGTTCAATTCTGTGACTTGAATGCAAACATCAGAAAGAAGTTCCTGAGAATGCTTCTCTCTAGATTTTATACGTCATCCCGTTTCCAACGAAATCCACAAAGCTATCCAATTATCCACTTTCAGATTCCACAAAGAGTGTTTTAAAATTGCTCTGTAACAGAAATGTTCAACTCTGTTAGTTGAATACACACATCACAAACAAGTTTCTGAGACGGCTTCTGTCTAGTTTTTATGGGAAGATATTTCCTTTTAACCATAGGCCTCAAAGAGCTCGAAATATCCACTTCCAGGTAGTGCCGAAAGAGTGTTTCAAACCTACTCTATAAAAGGGAATATTCAACTCTGTGACTTGAATGCAAACATCACAAAGCAGTTTCTGAGAATGCTTCCGTCTAGATTTTCTATGAAGATATTCCCGTTTCCAACGAAATCTTCAAAGCTATCTAAATATCAACTTGCAGATTCTACTAAAGGAATGTCTCCAAAATGCTGTATCCAAACAAAGGTTCAGCTCTGTGAATTGAGTACATACAGCACAAAGAAGTTTCTGAGAATGCTCCTGTCTGGATTTTATAGGAAGATAACCCGTTTCCAACGAAATCCTCAAAGCTCTCCAAATATCCACTTGCAGATTCTACCAAAAGAGTGTTTCAAAACTGCTCTGTCAAAAGGAAGGTTCAACACTGTTACTTGAGTACACACAACACAAAGAAGTTTCTGAGAATGCTTCTTTCTGGTTTTTATGAGAAGATATTTCCTTTTTCACCATAGGCCTCAAAGCGCTCGAAATGTCCGCTTCCAGGTAGTGCAGAAAGAGTGTTTCAAACCTGCTCTATGAAAGGAAGTGTTCAACTCTACTGAGTTGAATGCAAACATCACAGAGATGTTTCCGAGAATGCTTCTGTCTTGAGTTTATATGAAGATATTCCGGTTTCCAACGAAATCTTCAAAGCTATCCAAATATCCACCTGCAGATTCTACAAAAGGAGTGTTTCCAAAATGCTGTATCAAAACAAAGGTTCAACTCTGTTAGTTGAGGACACACATCACAAATAAGTTTCTGAGAATGCTTCTGTCTAGTTTTTATTTGAAGGTATTTCCTTTCTCTCCATAGGCCTGAAAGCGCTTGAAATGCCCACTTCCAGATACTAGAGAAAGAGTGTTTCAAACCTGCTCTATGAAAGGGAATGTTCAATTCTGTGACTTGAATGCAAACATCACAAAGAAGTTCCTGAGAATGCTTCTCTCTAGATATTATATGTCATCCCGTTTCCAACGAAATCCTCAAAGCTATCCAAATATCCACTTGCAGATTCTACAAAAAGAGTGTTTCAAAACTGCTCTGTCAAAAGGATGGTTCAACACTGTTACATGAGTACACACAACACAAAGAAGTTTCTGAGAATGCTTCTTTCTGGTTTCTATGAGAAGATATTTCCTTTTTCACCATAGGACTCAAAGCGCTCGAAATGTCCTCTTCCAAGTAGTGCAGAAAGAGTGTTTCAAACCTGCTCTATGAAAGGAAGTGTACAACTCCATGAGCTGAATGCAAACATCACTGAGAAGTTTCTGAGAATGCTTCTGTTTGATTTTATATGAAGAAATTCCCGTTTCCAACGAAATCTTCAGAGCTATCCACATATCCACCTGCAGATTCTACAAAAGGAGTGTTTCCAAAATGCTGTATCAAAACCAAGGTTCAACTCTGTTAGTTGAGGACACACATCACAAATAAGTTTCTGAGAATGCTTCTGTCTAGATTTTATATGAAGATATCCCCTTTCCAACGAATCCCTCTAAGCTATCCAAATATCCACCTGCAGATTCTACAAAAAGAGTGTTTCCAAAATGCTGTATCAAAACAAAGTTTAAACTCTGTTATTTGAGGACACACATCACAAATAAGTTTCTGAGGTTGCTTCTGTCTAGTTTTCATTTGAAGATATTTCCTTTCTCACCATAGGCCTGAAAGCGCTTGAAATGTCCACTTCCAGATACTACAGAATGAGTGTTTCATACCTGCTCTATCAAAGTGAATGTTCAATTCTGTGACTTCAATGCAAACATCACAAAGTAGTTCCTGAGAATGCTTCTCTATAGATTTTATATGTAATCCCGCTTCCAACGAAATCCTCAAAGCCATCCGAATATCCACTTTCTGATTCCACCAAAAGATTGTTTTAAAACTGCTCTGTAAAAACAAAAGTTCAAGTCTGTTAGGTTGAATACACACATCACAAACAAGTTTCTGAGAATGCTTCTGTCTAGTTTTTATGGGAAGATATTTCCTTTTTCACCATAGGCCTCAAAGCGCTCGAAATGTCCACTTCCAGATAGTGCAGAAAGAGTGTTTCAAACGTGCTCTATAAAAGGGAATATTCAACTCTGTGACTTGAATGGAAACATCACAAAGCAGTTTCTGAGAATGCTTCCCTCTAGATTTTCTATGAAGATATTCCCTTTTCCAACGAAATCTTCAAATCTATCTAAATATCAACTTGCAGATTCTACTCAAGGAATGTTTCCAAAATGCTGTATCCAAGCAATGGTTCAACTCTGTTAATTGAGGACATACAGCACAAAGAAGTTTCTGAGAATGCTTCTGTCTAGATTTTATATGAAGATATCCCGTTTCCAACGAAATCCTCAAAGCTATCCAAATATCCACTTGCAGATTCTACAAAAAGATTGTTTCAAAACTGCTGTGTCAAAAGGAAGGTTCAACTCTGTTACTTGAGTACACACATCAAAAAGAAGTTTCTGAGAATGCTTGTTTCTGGTTTTTATGAGAAGATATTTCCTTTTTCACCATAGGCCTCAAAGCGCTGCAAATGTCCACTTCCAAATATTACAAAAAGAGTGTTTCAAACCTGCTCTATGAAAGGAAGTTTTCAACTCTATGAGTGGAATGCAAACATCACAGAGAAGTTTCTGAGAATGCATCTGTCTTGAGTTTATATGCAGAAATTCCCGTTTCCAACGAAATCTTAAAATCTATCCAAATATCCACCTGCAGATCCTACAAAAGGAGTGTTTCCAAAATGCTGTATCAAAACAAAGGTTCAACTGTGTTCGTTTAGGACACACATCACAAATAAGTTTCTGAGAATCCTTCTGTCTAGTTTTTATTTGAAGATATTTCCTTTCTCCCCGTAGGCCTGAAAGCGCTTGAAATGTCCACTTCCAGATACTACAGAAAGAGTGTTTCAAACCTGCACTCTGAAAAGGAATGTTCAATTCTGTGACTTGAATGCAAACATCAGAAAGAAGTTCCTGAGAATGCTTCTCTCTAGATTTTATACGTCATCCCGTTTCCAACGAAATCCACAAAGCTATCCAATTATCCACTTTCAGATTCCACAAAAAGAGTGTTTTAAAATTGCTCTGTAACACAAATGTTCCACTCTGGTAGTTGAATACACACATCACAAACAAGTTTCTGAGACGGCTTCTGTCTAGTTTTTATGGGAAGATATTTCCTTTTAACCATAGGCCTCATAAGAGCTCGAAATATCCACTTCCAGGTAGTGCCGAAAGAGTGTTTCAAACCTACTCTATAAAAGGGAATATTCAACTCTGTGACTTGAATGCAAACATCACAAAGCAGTTTCTGAGAATGCTTCCGTCTAGATTTTCTATGAAGATATTCCCGTTTCCAACGAAATCTTCAAAGCTATCTAAATATCAACTTGCAGATTCTACTAAAGGAATGTCTCCAAAATGCTGTATCCAAACAAAGGTTCAGCTCTGTGA
The DNA here is from genome assembly GCF_000001405.40 of Homo sapiens. Classification (NCBI taxonomy): domain Eukaryota; kingdom Metazoa; phylum Chordata; class Mammalia; order Primates; family Hominidae; genus Homo; species Homo sapiens. Next base: position 51,318,434 of record NC_000004.12, on the reverse strand, counting down.
ATTGAGGACATACAGCACAAAGAAGTTTCTGAGAATGCTCCTGTCTGGATTTTATATGAAGATAACCCGTTTCCAATGAAATCCTCAAAGCTCTCCAAATATCCACTTGCAGATTCTACCAAAAGAGTGTTTCAAAACTGCTCTGTCAAAAGGAAGGTTCAACACTGTTACTTGAGTACACACAACACAAAGAAGTTTCTGAGAATGCTTCTTTCTGGTTTTTATGAGAAGATATTTCCTTTTTCACCATAGGCCTCAAAGCGCTCGAAATGTCCGCTTCCAGGTAGTGCAGAAAGAGTGTTTCAAACCTGCTCTATGAAAGGAAGTGTTCAACTCTACTGAGTTGAATGCAAACATCACAGAGATGTTTCCGAGAATGCTTCTGTCTTGATTTTATATGAAGATATTCCGGTTTCCAACGAAATCTTCAAAGCTATCCAAATATCCACCTGCAGATTCTACAAAAGGAGTGTTTCCAAAATGCTGTATCAAAACAAAGGTTCAACTCTGTTAGTTGAGGACACACATCACAAATAAGTTTCTGAGAATGCTTCTGTCTAGTTTTTATTTGAAGGTATTTCCTTTCTCTCCATAGGCCTGAAAGCGCTTGAAATGCCCACTTCCAGATACTAGAGAAAGAGTGTTTCAAACCTGCTCTATGAAAGGGAATGTTCAATTCTGTGACTTGAATGCAAACATCACAAAGAAGTTCCTGAGAATGCTTCTGTCTAGATTTAATATGAAGATAACCCGTTTCCAACGAAATCCTCAAAGCTATCCAAATATCCAGTTGCAGATTCTACAAAAAGAGTGTTTCAAAACTGCTCTGTCAAAAGTATGGTTCAACACTGTTACATGAGTACACACAACACAAAGAAGTTTCTGAGAACGCTTCTTTCTGGTTTTTATGAGAAGATATTTCCTTTTTCACCATAGGCCTCAAAGCGCTCGAAATGTCCACTTCCTGGTAGTGCAGAAAGAGTGTTTCAAAGCTGCTCTATGAAAGGAAGTGTTCAACTCCATGAGCTGAATGCAAACATCACAGAGAAGTTTCTGAGAATGCTTCTGTTTGATTTTATATGAAGAAATTCCCGTTTCCAACGAAATCTTCAAAGCTATCCACATATCCACCTGCAGATTCTACAAAAAGAGTGTTTCCAAAATGCTGTATCAAAACCAAGGTTCCACTCTGTTAGTTGAGGACACACATCACAAATAAGTTTCTGAGAATGCTTCTGTCTAGATTTTATATGAAGATATCCCCTTTCCAACGAATCCCTCTAAGCTATCCAAATATCCACCTGCAGATTCTACAAAAAGAGTGTTTCCAAAATGCTGTATCAAAACAAAGTTTCAACTCTGTTAGTTGAGGACACACATCACAAATAAGTTTCTGAGGATGCTTCTGTCTAGTTTTTATTTGAAGATATTTCCTTTCTCCCCATAGGCCTGAAAGCGCTTGAATTGTCCACTTCCAGATACTACAGAATGAGTGTTTCAAACCTGCTCTATCAAAGTGAATGTTCAATTCTGTGACTTCAATGCAAACATCACAAACTAGTTCCTGAGAATGCTTCTCTCTAGATTTTATATGTAATCCCGCTTCCAACGAAATCCTCAAAGCCATCCGAATATCCACTTTCTGATTCCACAAAAAGATTGTCTTAAAACTGCTCTGTAAAAACAAAAGTTCAAGTCTGTTAGTTGAATACACACATCACAAACAAGTTTCTGAGAATGCTTCCGTCTAGTTTTTATGGGAAGATATTTCCTTTTTCACCATAGGCCTCAAAGCGCTCGAAATGTCCACTTCCAGATAGTGCAGAAAGAGTGTTTCAAACGTGCTCTATAAAAGGGAATATTCAACTCTGTGACTTGAATGGAAACATCACAAAGCAGTTTCTGAGAATGCTTCCCTCTAGATTTTATATGGAGATATTCCCTTTTCCAACGAAATCTTCAAATCTATCTAAATATCAACTTGCAGATTCTACTCAAGGAATGTTTCCAAAATGCTGTATCCAAGCAATGGTTGAACTCTGTTAATTGAGGACATACAGCACAAAGAAGTTTCTGAGAATGCTTCTGTCTAGATTTTATATGAAGATATCCCGTTTCCAACGAAATCCTCAAAGCTATCCAAATATCCACTTGCAGATTCTACAAAAAGATTGTTTCAAAACTGCTGTGTCAAAAGGAAGGTTCAACTCTGTTACTTGAGTACACACATCAAAAAGAAGTTTCTGAGAATGCTTGTTTCTGGTTTTTATGAGAAGATATTTCCTTTTTCACCATAGGCCTCAAAGCGCTGCAAATGTCCACTTCCAAATATTACAAAAAGAGTGTTTCAAACCTGCTCTATGAAAGGAAGTTTTCAACTCTATGAGTGGAATGCAAACATCACAGAGAAGTTTCTGAGAATGCATCTGTCTTGAGTTTATATGAAGAAATTCCCGTTTCCAACGAAATCTTAAAATCTATCCAAATATCCACCTGCAGATTCTACAAAGGGAGTGTTTCCAAAATGCTGTATCAAAACAAAGGTTCAACTGCGTTCGTTTAGGACACACATCACCAATAAGTTTCTGAGAATCCTTCTGTCTAGTTTTTATTTGAAGATATTTCCTTTCTCCCCATAGGCCTGAAAGCGCTTGAAATGTCCACTTCCAGATACTACAGAAAGAGTGTTTCAAACCTGCACTATGAAAAGGAATGTTCAATTCTGTGACTTGAATGCAAACCTCAGAAAGAAGTTCCTGAGAATGCTTCTCTCTAGATTTTATACGTCATCCCGTTTCCAACGAAATCCACAAAGCTATCCAATTATCCACTTTCAGATTCCACAAAAGAGTGTTTTAAAACTGCTCTGTAAAAAGAAATGTTCAACGCTCTTAGTTGAATACACACATCTCAAACAAGTTTCTGAGAAGGCTTCTGTCTAGTTTTTATGGGAAGATATTTCCTTTTAACCATAGGCCTCAAAGAGCTCGAAATATCCACTTCCAGGTAGTGCCGAAAGAGTGTTTCAAACCTACTCTATAAAAGGGAATATTCAACTCTGTGACTTGAATGCAAACATCACAAAGCAGTTTCTGAGAATGCTTCCGTCTAGATTTTCTATGAAGATATTCCCGTTTCCAACGAAATCTTCAAAGCTATCTAAATATCAACTTGCAGATTCTACTAAAGGAATGTCTCCAAAATGCTGTATCCAAACAAAGGTTCAGCTCTGTGAATTGAGGACATACAGCACAAAGAAGTTTCTGAGAATGCTCCTGTCTGGATTTTATATGAAGATAACCCGTTTCCAACGAAATCCTCAAATCTCTCCAAATATCCACTTGCAGATTCTACCAAAAGAGTGTTTCAAAACTGCTCTGTCAAAAGGAAGGTTCAACACTTGTTACTTGAGTACACACAACACAAAGAAGTTTCTGAGAATGCTTCTTTCTGGTTTTTATGAGAAGATATTTCCTTTTTCACCATAGGCCTCAAAGCGCTCGAAATGTCCGCTTCCAGGTAGTGCAGAAAGAGTGTTTCAAACCTGCTCTATGAAAGGAAGTGTTCAACTCTACTGAGTTGAATGCAAACATCACAGAGATGTTTCCGAGAATGCTTCTGTCTTGATTTTATATGAAGATATTCCGGTTTCCAACGAAATCTTCAAAGCTATCCAAATATCCACCTGCAGATTCTACAAAAGGAGTGTTTCCAAAATGCTGTATCAAAACAAAGGTTCAACTCTGTTAGTTGAGGACACACATCACAAAAAAGTTTCTGAGAATGCTTCTGTCTAGTTTTTATTTGAAGGTATTTCCTTTCTCTCCATAGGCCTGAAAGCGCTTGAAATGCCCACTTCCAGATACTAGAGAAAGAGTGTTTCAAACCTGCTCTATGAAAGGGAATGTTCAATTCTGTGACTTGAATGCAAACATCACAAAGAAGTTCCTGAGAATGCTTCTGTCTAGATTTAATATGAAGATAACCCGTTTCCAACGAAATCCTCAAAGCTATCCAAATATCCACTGGCAGATTCTACAAAAAGAGTGTTTCAAAACTGCTCTGTCAAAAGGATGGTTCAACACTGTTACATGAGTACACACAACACAAAGAAGTTTCTGAGAACGCTTCTTTCTGGTTTCTATGAGAAGATATTTCCTTTTTCACCATAGGACTCAAAGCGCTCGAAATGTCCTCTTCCAGGTAGTGCAGAAAGAGTGTTTCAAACCTGCTCTATGAAAGGAAGTGTACAACTCCATGAGCTGAATGCAAACATCACTGAGAAGTTTCTGAGAATGCTTCTGTTTGATTTTATATGAAGAAATTCCCGTTTCCAACGAAATCTTCAGAGCTATCCACATATCCACCTGCAGATTGTAGAAAAGGAGTGTTTCCAAAATGCTGTATCAAAACCAAGGTTCAACTCTGTTAGTTGAGGACACACATCACAAATAAGTTTCTGAGAATGCTTCTGTCTAGATTTTATATGAAGATATCCCCTTTCCAACGAATCCCTCTAAGCTATCAAAATATCCACCTGCAGATTCTACAAAAAGAGTGTTTCCAAAATGCTGTATCAAAACAAAGTTTCAACTCTGTTAGTTGAGGACACACATCACAAATAAGTTTCTGAGGATGCTTCTGTCTAGTTTTTATTCGAAGATATTTCCTTTCTCACCATAGGCCTGAAAGCGCTTGAAATGTCCACTTCCAGATACTACAGAATGAGTGTTTCAAACCTGCTCTATCAAAGTGAATGTTCAATTCTGTGACTTCAATGCAAACATCAGAAAGAAGTTCCTGAGAATGCTTCTCTCTAGATTTTATACGTAATCCCGCTTCCAACGAAATCCTCAGAGCCATCCGAATATCCACTTTCTGATTCCACAAAAAGAGTGTTTTAAAACGGCTCTGTAAAAACAAAAGTTCAACTCTGTTAGTTGAATACACACATCACAAACAAGTTTCTGAGAATGCTTCTGTCTAGTTTTTATGGGAAGATATTTCCTTTTTCACCATAGGCCTCAAAGCGCTCGAAATGTCCACTTCCAGATAGTGCAGAAAGAGTGTTTCAAACGTGCTCTATAAAAGGGAATATTCAACTCTGTGACTTGAATGGAAACATCACAAAGCAGTTTCTGAGAATGCTTCCGTCTAGATTTTATATGAAGATATTCCCGTTTCCAACGAAATCTTCAAATCTATCTAAATATCAACTTGCAGATTCTACTAAAGGAATGTTTCCAAAATGCTGTATCCAAGCAATGGTTCAACTCTGTTAATTGAGGACATACAGCACAAAGAAGTTTCTGAGAATGCTTCTGTCTAGATTTTATATGAAGATATCCCGTTTCCAACGAAATCCTCAAAGCTATCCAAATATCCACTTGCAGATTCTACAAAAAGATTGTTTCAAAACTGCTGTGTCAAAAGGAAGGTTCAACTCTGTTACTTGAGTACACACATCAAAAAGAAGTTTCTGAGAATGGTTGTTTCTGGTTTTTATGAGAAGATATTTCCTTTTTCACCATAGGCCTCAAAGCGCTGCAAATGTCCACTTCCACATATTACAAAAAGAGTGTTTCAAACCTGCTCTATGAAAGGAAGTTTTCAACTCTATGAGTGGAATGCAAACATCACAGAGAAGTTTCTGAGAATGCATCTGTCTTGAGTTTATATGAAGAAATTCCCGTTTCCAACGAAATCTTAAAATCTATCCAAATATCCACCTGCAGATTCTACAAAGGGAGTGTTTCCAAAATGCTGTATCAAAACAAAGGTTCAACTGTGTTCGTTTAGGACACACATCACCTATAAGTTTCTGAGAATCCTTCTGTCTAGTTTTTATTTCAAGATATTTCCTTTCTCCCCATAGGCCTGAAAGCGCTTGAAATGTCCACTTCTAGATACCACAGAAAGAGTGTTTCAAACCTGCACTATGAAAAGGAATGTTCAATTCTGTGACTTGAATGCAAACATCAGAAAGAAGTTCCTGAGAATGCTTCTCTCTAGATTTTATACGTAATCCCGTTTCCAACGAAATCCACAAAGCTATCCAATTATCCACTTTCAGATTCCACAAAAAGAGTGTTTTAAAACTGCTCTCTAAAAAGAAATGTTCAACGCTCTTAGTTGAATACACACATCTCAAACAAGTTTCTGAGAAGGCTTCCGTTTAGTTTTTATGGGAAGATATTTCCTTTTTCACCATAGGCCTCAAAGCGCTCGAAATCTCCACTTCCAGGGAGTGCAGAAAGAGTGTTTCAAACCTGCTCTGTAAAAGAATATTTAACTCTGTGACTTGAATGCAAACATCACAGAGCAGTTTCTGACAATGCTTCCGTCTAGATTTTTTATGAAGATATTCCCGTTTCCAACGAAATCTTCAAAGCTATCTAAATATCAACTTGCAGATTCTACTAAAGGAATGTTTCCAAAATGCTGTATCCAAACAAAGGTTCAACTCTGTGAATTGAGGACATACAGCACAAAGAAGTTTCTGAGAATGCTCCTGTCTGGATTTTATAGGAAGATAACCCGTTTCCAACGAAATCCTCAAAGCTATCCAAATATCCACTTGCAGATTCTACCAAAAGAGTGTTTCAAAACTGCTCTGTCAAAAGGAAGGTTCAACACTGTTACTTGAGTACACACAACACAAAGAAGTTTCTGAGAATGCTTCTGTCTAGTTTTTATGGGAAGATATTTCCTTTTTCACCATAGGCCTCAAAGCGCTCGAAATGTCCGCTTCCAGATAGTGCAGAAAGAGTGTTTCAAACGTGCTCTATGACAGGAAGTTTTCAACTCTATGAGTGGAATGCAAACATCACAGAGAAGTTTCTGAGAATGCATCTGTCTTGAGCTTCTATGAAGAAATTCCCGTTTCCAACGAAATCTTAAAATCTATCCAAATATCCACCTGCAGATCCTACAAAAGGAGTGTTTCCAAAATGCTGTATCAAAACAAAGGTTCAACTGTGTTCGTTTAGGACACACATCACAAATAAGTTTCTGAGAATCCTTCTGTCTAGTTTTTATTTGAAGATATTTCCTTTCTCCCCGTAGGCCTGAAAGCGCTTGAAATGTCCACTTCCAGATACTACAGAAAGAGTGTTTCAAACCTGCACTCTGAAAAGGAATGTTCAATTCTGTGACTTGAATGCAAACATCAGAAAGAAGTTCCTGAGAATGCTTCTCTCTAGATTTTATACGTCATCCCGTTTCCAACGAAATCCACAAAGCTATCCAATTATCCACTTTCAGATTCCACAAAAGAGTGTTTTAAAACTGCTCTGTAAAACGAAATGTTCAACGCTCTTAGTTGAATACACACATCTCAAACAAGTTTCTGAGAAGGCTTCTGTCTAGTTTTTATGGGAAGATATTTCCTTTTAACCATAGGCCTCAAAGAGCTCGAAATATCCACTTCCAGGTAGTGCCGAAAGAGTGTTTCAAACCTACTCTATAAAAGGGAATATTCAACTCTGTGACTTGAATGCAAACATCACAAAGCAGTTTCTGAGAATGCTTCCGTCTAGATTTTCTATGAAGATATTCCCGTTTCCAACGAAATCTTCAAAGCTATCTAAATATCAACTTGCAGATTCTACTAAAGGAATGTCTCCAAAATGCTGTATCCAAACAAAGGTTCAGCTCTGTGAATTGAGGACATACAGCACAAAGAAGTTTCTGAGAATGCTCCTGTCTGGATTTTATATGAAGATAACCCGTTTCCAACGAAATCCTCAAAGCTATCCAAATATCCACTTGCAGATTCTACCAAAAGAGTGTTTCAAAACTGCTCTGTCAAAAGGAAGGTTCAACACTGTTACTTGAGTACACACAACACAAAGAAGTTTGCTGAGAATGCTCTTTCTGGTTTTTATGAGAAGATATTCCCTTTTTCACCATAGGCCTCAAAGCGCTCGAAATGTCCGCTTCCAGGTAGGGCAGAAAGAGTGTTTCAAACCTGCTCTATGAAAGGACGTGTTCAACTCTACTGAGTTGAATGCAAACATCACAGAGATGTTTCCGAGAATGCTTCTGTCTTGATTTTATATGAAGATATTCCGGTTTCCAACGAAATCTTCAAAGCTATCCAAATATCCACCTGCAGATTCTACAAAAGGAGTGTTTCCAAAATGCTGTATCAAAACAAAGGTTCAACTCTGTTAGTTGAGGACACACATCACAAATAAGTTTCTGAGAATGCTTCTGTCTAGTTTTTATTTGAAGGTATTTCCTTTCTCTCCATAGGCCTGAAAGCGCTTGAAATGCCCACTTCCAGATACTAGAGAAAGAGTGTTTCAAACCTGCTCTATGAAAGGGAATGTTCAATTCTGTGACTTGAATGCAAACATCACAAAGAAGTTCCTGAGAATGCTTCTCTCTAGATATTATATGTCATCCCGTTTCCAACGAAATCCTCAAAGCTATCCAAATATCCACTTGCAGATTCTACAAAAAGAGTGTTTCAAAACTGCTCTGTCAAAAGGATGGTTCAACACTGTTACATGAGTACACACAACACAAAGAAGTTTCTGAGAATGCTTCTTTCTGGTTTCTATGAGAAGATATTTCCTTTTTCACCATAGGACTCAAAGCGCTCGAAATGTCCTCTTCCAGGTAGTGCAGAAAGAGTGTTTCAAACCGGCTCTATGAAAGGAAGTGTTCAACTCCATGAACTGAATGCAAACATCACTGGAGAAGTTTCTGAGAATGCTTCTGTTTGATTTTATATGAAGAAATTCCCGTTTCCAACGAAATCTTCAAAGCTATCCACATATCCACCTGCAGATTCTACAAAAGAAGTGTTTCCAAAATGCTGTATCAAAACCAAGGTTCAACTCTGTTAGTTGAGGACACACATCACAAATAAGTTTCTGAGAATGCTTCTGTCTAGATTCTATATGAAGATATCCCCTTTCCAACGAATCCCTCTAAGCTATCCAAATATCCACCTGCAGATTCTACAAAAAGAGTGTTTCCAAAATGCTGTATCAAAACAAAGTTTCAACTCTGTTAGTTGAGGACACACATCACAAATAAGTTTGAGGATGCTTCTGTCTAGTTTTAATTTGAAGATATTTCCTTTCTCCCCATAGGCCTGAAAGCGCTTGAAATGTCCACTTCCAGATACTACAGAATGAGTGTTTCAAACCTGCTCTATCAAAGTGAATGTTCAATTCTGTGACTTCAATGCAAACATCACAAAGTAGTTCCTGAGAATGCTTCTCTCTAGATTTTATACGTAATCCCGCTTCCAACGAAATCCTCAGAGCCATCCGAATATCCACTTTCTGATTCCACAAAAAGAGTGTTTTAAAACGGCTCTGTAAAAACAAAAGTTCAACTCTGTTAGTTGAATACACACATCACAAACAAGTTTCTGAGAATGCTTCTGTCTAGTTTTTATGGGAAGATATTTCCTTTTTCACCATAGGCCTCAAAGCGCTCGAAATGTCCACTTCCAGATAGTGCAGAAAGAGTGTTTCAAACGTGCTCTATAAAAGGGAATATTCAACTCTGTGACTTGAATGGAAACATCACAAAGCAGTTTCTGAGAATGCTTCCCTCTAGATTTTATATGGAGATATTCCCTTTTCCAACGAAATCTTCAAATCTATCTAAATATCAACTTGCAGATTCTACTCAAGGAATGTTTCCAAAATGCTGTATGCAAGCAATGGTTCAACTCTGTTAATTGAGGTCATACAGCACAAAGAAGTTTCTGAGAATGCTTCTGTCTAGATTTCATATGAAGATATCCCGTTTCCAACGAAATCCTCAAAGCTATCCAAATATCCACTTGCAGATTCTACAAAAAGATTGTTTCAAAACTGCTGTGTCAAAAGGAAGGTTCAACTCTGTTACTTGAGTACACACATCAAAAAGAAGTTTCTGAGAATGCTTGTTTCTGGTTTTTATGAGAAGATATTTCCTTTTTCACCATAGGCCTCAAAGCGCTGCAAATGTCCACTTCCAAATATTACAAAAAGAGTGTTTCAAACCTGCTCTATGAAAGGAAGTTTTCAACTCTATGAGTGGAATGCAAACATCACAGAGAAGTTTCTGAGAATGCATCTGTCTTGAGCTTCTATGAAGAAATTCCCGTTTCCAACGAAATCTTAAAATCTATCCAAATATCCACCTGCAGATCCTACAAAAGGAGTGTTTCCAAAATGCTGTATCAAAACAAAGGTTCAACTGTGTTCGTTTAGGACACACATCACAAATAAGTTTCTGAGAATCCTTCTGTCTAGTTTTTATTTGAAGATATTTCCTTTCTCCCCATAGGCCTGAAAGCGCTTGAAATGTCCACTTCCAGATACTACAGAAAGAGTGTTTCAAACCTGCACTGTGAAAAGGAATGTTCAATTCTGTGACTTGAATGCAAACATCAGAAAGAAGTTCCTGAGAATGCTTCTCTCTAGATTTTATACGTCATCCCGTTTCCAACGAAATCCACAAAGCTATCCAATTATCCACTTTCAGATTCCACAAAGAGTGTTTTAAAATTGCTCTGTAACAGAAATGTTCAACTCTGTTAGTTGAATACACACATCACAAACAAGTTTCTGAGACGGCTTCTGTCTAGTTTTTATGGGAAGATATTTCCTTTTAACCATAGGCCTCAAAGAGCTCGAAATATCCACTTCCAGGTAGTGCCGAAAGAGTGTTTCAAACCTACTCTATAAAAGGGAATATTCAACTCTGTGACTTGAATGCAAACATCACAAAGCAGTTTCTGAGAATGCTTCCGTCTAGATTTTCTATGAAGATATTCCCGTTTCCAACGAAATCTTCAAAGCTATCTAAATATCAACTTGCAGATTCTACTAAAGGAATGTCTCCAAAATGCTGTATCCAAACAAAGGTTCAGCTCTGTGAATTGAGGACATACAGCACAAAGAAGTTTCTGAGAATGCTCCTGTCTGGATTTTATAGGAAGATAACCCGTTTCCAACGAAATCCTCAAAGCTATCCAAATATCCACTTGCAGATTCTACCAAAAGAGTGTTTCAAAACTGCTCTGTCAAAAGGAAGGTTCAACACTGTTACTTGAGTACACACAACACAAAGAAGTTTCTGAGAATGCTTCTTTCTGGTTTTTATGAGAAGATATTTCCTTTTTCACCATAGGCCTCAAAGCGCTCGAAATGTCCGCTTCCAGGTAGTGCAGAAAGAGTGTTTCAAACCTGCTCTATGAAAGGAAGTGTTCAACTCTACTGAGTTGAATGCAAACATCACAGAGATGTTTCCGAGAATGCTTCTGTCTTGATTTTATATGAAGATATTCCGGTTTCCAACGAAATCTTCAAAGCTATCCAAATATCCACCTGCAGATTCTACAAAAGGAGTGTTTCCAAAATGCTGTATCAAAACAAAGGTTCAACTCTGTTAGTTGAGGACACACATCACAAATAAGTTTCTGAGAATGCTTCTGTCTAGTTTTTATTTGAAGGTATTTCCTTTCTCTCCATAGGCCTGAAAGCGCTTGAAATGCCCACTTCCAGATACTAGAGAAAGAGTGTTTCAAACCTGCTCTATGAAAGGGAATGTTCAATTCTGTGACTTGAATGCAAACATCACAAAGAAGTTCCTGAGAATGCTTCTCTCTAGATATTATATGTCATCCCGTTTCCAACGAAATCCTCAAAGCTATCCAAATATCCACTTGCAGATTCTACAAAAAGAGTGTTTCAAAACTGCTCTGTCAAAAGGATGGTTCAACACTGTTACATGAGTACACACAACACAAAGAAGTTTCTGAGAATGCTTCTTTCTGGTTTCTATGAGAAGATATTTCCTTTTTCACCATAGGACTCAAAGCGCTCGAAATGTCCTCTTCCAGGTAGTGCAGAAAGAGTGTTTCAAACCGGCTCTATGAAGGGAAGTGTTCAACTCCATGAACTGAATGCAAACATCACTGAGAAGTTTCTGAGAATGCTTCTGTTTGATTTTATATGAAGAAATTCCCGTTTCCAACGAATCCCTCTAAGCTATCCAAATATCCACCTGCAGATTCTACAAAAGAAGTGTTTCCAAAATGCTGTATCAAAACCAAGGTTCAACTCTGTTAGTTGAGGACACACATCACAAATAAGTTTCTGAGAATGCTTCTGTCTAGATTTTATATGAAGATATCCCCTTTCCAACGAATCCCTCTAAGCTATCCAAATATCCACCTGCAGATTCTACAAAAAGAGTGTTTCCAAAATGCTGTATCAAAACAAAGTTTCAACTCTGTTAGTTGAGGACACACATCACAAATAAGTTTCTGAGAATGCTTCTGTCTAGTTTTTATTCGAAGATATTTCCTTTCTCACCATAGGCCTGAAAGCGCTTGAAATGTCCACTTCCAGATACTACAGAATGAGTGTTTCAAACCTGCTCTATCAAAGTGAATGTTCAATTCTGTGACTTCAATGCAAACATCACAAAGAAGTTCCTGAGAATGCTTCTCTCTAGATTTTATATGTAATCCCGCTTCCAACGAAATCCTCAGAGCCATCCGAATATCCACTTTCTGATTCCACAAAAAGAGTGTTTTAAAACGGCTCTGTAAAAACAAAAGTTCAACTCTGTTAGTTGAATACACACATCACAAACAAGTTTCTGAGAATGCTTCTGTCTAGTTTTTATGGGAAGATATTTCCTTTTTCACCATAGGCCTCAAAGCGCTCGAAATGTCCACTTCCAGATAGCACAGAAAGAGTGTTTCAAACGTGCTCTATAAAAGGGAATATTCAACTCTGTGACTTGAATGGAAACATCACAAAGCAGTTTCTGAGAATGCTTCCCTCTAGATTTTATATGGAGATATTCCGTTTTCGAACGAAATCTTCAAATCTATCTAAATATCAACTTGCAGATTCTACTCAAGGAATGTTTCCAAAATGCTGTATGCAAGCAATGGTTCAACTCTGTTAATTGAGGTCATACAGCACAAAGAAGTTTCTGAGAATGCTTCTGTCTAGATTTTATATGAAGATATCCCGTTTCCAACGAAATCCTCAAAGCTATCCAAATATCCACTTGCAGATTCTACAAAAAGATTGTTTCAAAACTGCTGTGTCAAAAGGAAGGTTCAACTCTGTTACTTGAGTACACACATCAAAAAGAAGTTTCTGAGAATGCTTGTTTCTGGTTTTTATGAGAAGATATTTCCTTTTTCACCATAGGCCTCAAAGCGCTGCAAATGTCCACTTCCAAATATTACAAAAAGAGTGTTTCAAACCTGCTCTATGAAAGGAAGTTTTCAACTCTATGAGTGGAATGCACACATCACAGAGAAGTTTCTGAGAATGCATCTGTCTTGAGTTTCTATGCAGAAATTCCCGTTTCCAACGAAATCTTAAAATCTATCCAAATATCCACCTGCAGATCCTACAAAAGGAGTGTTTCCAAAATGCTGTATCAAAACAAAGGTTCAACTGTGTTCGTTTAGGACACACATCACAAATAAGTTTCTGAGAATCCTTCTGTCTAGTTTTTATTTGAAGATATTTCCTTTCTCCCCACAGGCCTGAAAGCGCTTGAAATGTCCACTTCCAGATACTACAGAAAGAGTGTTTCAAACCTGCACTATGAAAAGGAATGTTCAATTCTGTGACTTGAATGCAAACATCAGAAAGAAGTTCCTGAGAATGCTTCTCTCTAGATTTTATACGTCATCCCGTTTCCAACGAAATCCACAAAGCTATCCAATTATCCACTTTCAGATTCCACAAAAGAGTGTTTTAAAACTGCTCTGTAAAAAGAAATGTTCAACGCTCTTAGTTGAATACACACATCTCAAACAAGTTTCTGAGAAGGCTTCTGTCTAGTTTTTATGGGAAGATATTTCCTTTTAACCATAGGCCTCAAAGAGCTCGAAATATCCACTTCCAGGTAGTGCCGAAAGAGTGTTTCAAACCTACTCTATAAAAGGGAATATTCAACTCTGTGACTTGAATGCAAACATCACAAAGCAGTTTCTGAGAATGCTTCCGTCTAGATTTTCTATGAAGATATTCCCGTTTCCAACGAAATCTTCAAAGCTATCTAAATATCAACTTGCAGATTCTACTAAAGGAATGTCTCCAAAATGCTGTATCCAAACAAAGGTTCAGCTCTGTGAATTGAGGACATACAGCACAAAGAAGTTTCTGAGAATGCTCCTGTCTGGATTTTATATGAAGATAACCCGTTTCCAACGAAATCCTCAAAGCTATCCAAATATCCACTTGCAGATTCTACCAAAAGAGTGTTTCAAAACTGCTCTGTCAAAAGGAAGGTTCAACACTGTTACTTGAGTACACACAACACAAAGAAGTTTCTGAGAATGCTTCCTTCTGGTTTTTATGAGAAGATATTTCCTTTTTCACCATAGGCCTCAAAGCGCTCGAAATGTCCGCTTCCAGGTAGTGCAGAAAGTGTGCTTCAAACCTGCTCTATGAAAGGAAGTGTTCAACTCTACTGAGTTGAATGCAAACATCACAGGATGTTTCCGAGAATGCTTCTGTCTTGATTTTATATGAAGATATTCCGGTTTCCAACGAAATCTTCAAAGCTATCCAAATATCCACCTGCAGATTCTACAAAAGGAGTGTTTCCAAAATGCTGTATCAAAACAAAGGTTCAACTCTGTTAGTTGAGGACACACATCACAAATAAGTTTCTGAGAATGCTTCTGTCTAGTTTTTATTTGAAGGTATTTCCTTTCTCTCCATAGGCCTGAAAGCGCTTGAAATGCCCACTTCCAGATACTAGAGAAAGAGTGTTTCAAACCTGCTCTATGAAAGGGAATGTTCAATTCTGTGACTTGAATGCAAACATCACAAAGAAGTTCCTGAGAATGCTTCTCTCTAGATATTATATGTCATCCCGTTTCCAACGAAATCCTCAAAGCTATCCAAATATCCACTTGCAGATTCTACAAAAAGAGTGTTTCAAAACTCCTCTGTCAAAAGGATGGTTCAACACTGTTACATGAGTACACACAACACAAAGAAGTTTCTGAGAATGCTTCTTTCTGGTTTCTATGAGAAGATATTTCCTTTTTCACCATAGGACTCAAAGCGCTCGAAATGTCCTCTTCCAGGTAGTGCAGAAAGAGTGTTTCAAACCTGCTCTATGAAAGGAAGTGTACAACTCCATGAGCTGAATGCAAACATCACTGAGAAGTTTCTGAGAATGCTTCTGTTTGATTTTATATGAAGAAATTCCCGATTCCAACGAAATCTTCAAAGCTATCCACATATCCACCTGCAGATTCTACAAAAGGAGTGTTTCCAAAATGCTGTATCAAAACCAAGGTTCAACTCTGTTAGTTGAGGGCACACATCACAAATAAGTTTCTGAGAATGCTTCTGTCTAGATTTTATATGAAGATATCCCCTTTCCAACGAATCCCTCTAAGCTATCCAAATATCCACCTGCAGATTCTACAAAAAGAGTGTTTCCAAAATGCTGTATCAAAACAAAGTTTCAACTCTGTTAGTTGAGGACACACATCACAAATAAGTTTCTGAGGATGCTTCTGTCTAGTTTTTATTTGAAGATATTTCCTTTCTCCCCATAGGCCTGAAAGCGCTTGAATTGTCCGCTTCCAGATACTACAGAATGAGTGTTTCAAACCTGCTCTATCAAAGTGAATGTTCAATTCTGTGACTTCAATGCAAACATCACAAAGTAGTTCCTGAGAATGCTTCTCTCTAGATTTTATATGTAATCCCGCTTCCAACGAAGTCCTCAAAACCATCCGAATATCCACTTTCTGATTCCACAAAAGGATTGTCTTAAAACTGCTCTGTAAAAACAAAAGTTCAAGTCTGTTAGTTGAATACACACATCACAAACAAGTTTCTGAGAATGCTTCTGTCTACTTTTTATGGGAAGATATTTCCTTTTTCACCATAGGCCTCAAAGCGCTCGAAATGTCCACTTCCAGATAGTGCAGAAAGAGTGTTTCAAACGTGCTCTATAAAAGAGAATATTCAACTCTGTGACTTGAATGGAAACATCACAAAGCAGTTTCTGAGAATGCCTCCGTCTAGATTTTATATGAAGATATTCCCGTTTCCAACGAAATCTTCAAATCTATCTAAATATCAACTTGCAGATTCTACTAAAGGAATGTTTCCAAAATGCTGTATCCAAGCAATGGTTCAACTCTGTTAATTGAGGACATACAGCACAAAGAAGTTTCTGAGAATGCTTCTGTCTAGATTTTATATGAAGATATCCCGTTTCCAACGAAATCCTCAAAGCTATCCAAATATCCACTTGCAGATTCTACAAAAAGATTGTTTCAAAACTGCTGTGTCAAAAGGAAGGTTCAACTCTGTTACTTGAGTACACACATCAAAAAGAAGTTTCTGAGAATGCTCGTTTCTGGTTTTTATGAGAAGATATATCCTTTTTCACCATAGGCCTCAAAGCGCTGCAAATGTCCACTTCCAAATATTACAAAAAGAGTGTTTCAAACCTACTCTATGAAAGGAAGTTTTCAACTCTATGAGTGGAATGCAAACATCACAGAGAAGTTTCTGAGAATGCATCTGTCTTGATCTTCTATGAAGAAATTCCCGTTTCCAACGAAATCTTAAAATCTATCCAAATATCCACCTGCAGATCCTAAAAAAGGAGTGTTTCCAAAATGCTGTATCAAAACAAAGGTTCAACTGTGTTCGTTTAGGACACACATCACAAATAAGTTTCTGAGAATGCTTCTGTCTAGTTTTTATTTGAAGATATTTCCTTTCTCCCCATAGGCCTGAAAGCGCTGGAAATGTCCACTTCCAGATACTAGAGAAAGAGTGTTTCAAACCTGCACTATGAAAAGGAATGTTCAATTCTGTGACTTGAATGCAAACATCAGAAAGAAGTTCCTGAGAATGCTTCTCTCTAGATTTTATACGTCATCCCGTTTCCAACGAAATCCACAAAGCTATCCAATTATCCACTTTCAGATTCCACAAAAAGAGTGTTTTAAAACTGCTCTGTAAAAAGAAATGTTCAACGCTCTTAGTTGAATACACACATCTCAAACAAGTTTCTGAGAAGGCTTCCGTCTAGTTTTTATGGGAAGATATTTCCTTTTTCACCATAGGCCTCAAAGCGCTCGAAATCTCCACTTCCAGGGAGTGCAGAAAGAGTGTTTCAAACCTGCTCTGTAAAAGAATATTTAACTCTGTGACTTGAATTTAAACATCACAAAGCAGTTTCTGGCAATGCTTCCGTCTAGATTTTTTATGAAGATATTCCCGTTTCCAACGAAATCTTCAAAGCTGTCTAAATATCAACTTGCAGATTCTACTAAAGGAATGTTTCCAA
This sequence comes from Homo sapiens, assembly GCF_000001405.40. Classification (NCBI taxonomy): domain Eukaryota; kingdom Metazoa; phylum Chordata; class Mammalia; order Primates; family Hominidae; genus Homo; species Homo sapiens. Next base: position 51,301,115 of record NC_000004.12, on the reverse strand, counting down.
AATGCTGTATCCAAACAAAGGTTCAACTCTGTGAATTGAGGACATACAGCACAAAGAAGTTTCTGAGAATGCTTCTGTCTAGTATTTAATATGAAGATAACCCGTTTCCAACGAAATCCTCAAAGCTATCCAAATATCCACTTGCAGATTCTACAAAAAGAGTGTTTCAAAACTGCTCTGTCAAAAGGATGGTTCAACACTGTTACATGAGTACACACAACACAAAGAAGTTTCTGAGAACGCTTCTTTCTGGTTTTTATGAGAAGATATTTCCTTTTTCACCATAGGCCTCAAAGCGCTCGAAATGTCCACTTCCTGGTAGTGCAGAAAGAGTGTTTCAAAGCTGCTCTATGAAAGGAAGTGTTCAACTCCATGAGCTGAATGCAAACATCACAGAGAAGTTTCTGAGAATGCTTCTGTTTGATTTTATATGAAGAAATTCCCGTTTCCAACGAAATCTTCAGAGCTATCCACATATCCACATGCAGATTCTACAAAAGGAGTGTTTCCAAAATGCTGTATCAAAACCAAGGTTCAACTCTGTTAGTTGAGGACACACATCACAAATAAGTTTCTGAGAATGCTTCTGTCTAGATTTTATATGAAGATATCCCCTTTCCAACGAATCCCTCTAAGCTATCAAAATATCCACCTGCAGATTCTACAAAAAGAGTGTTTCCAAAATGCTGTATCAAAACAAAGTTTCAACTCTGTTAGTTGAGGACACACATCACAAATAAGTTTCTGAGGATGCTTCTGTCTAGTTTTTATTCGAAGATATTTCCTTTCTCACCATAGGCCTGAAAGCGCTTGAAATGTCCACTTCCAGATACTACAGAATGAGTGTTTCAAACCTGCTCTATAAAAGTGAATGTTCAATTCCGTGACTTCAATGCAAACATCAGAAAGAAGTTCCTGAGAATGCTTCTCTCTAGATTTTATACGTAATCCCGCTTCCAACGAAATCCTCAGAGCCATCCGAATATCCACTTTCTGATTCCACAAAAAGAGTGTTTTAAAACGGCTCTGTAAAAACAAAAGTTCAACTCTGTTAGTTGAATACACACATCACAAACAAGTTTCTGAGAATGCTTCTGTCTAGTTTTTATGGGAAGATATTTCCTTTTTCACCATAGGCCTCAAAGCGCTCGAAATGTCCGCTTCCAGATAGTGCAGAAAGAGTGTTTCAAACGTGCTCTATGAAAGGAAGTTTTCAACTCTATGAGTGGAATGCAAACATCACAGAGAAGTTTCTGAGAATGCATCTGTCTTGAGCTTCTATGAAGAAATTCCCGTTTCCAACGAAATCTTAAAATCTATCCAAATATCCACCTGCAGATCCTACAAAAGGAGTGTTTCCAAAATGCTGTATCAAAACAAAGGTTCAACTGTGTTCGTTTAGGACACACATCACAAATAAGTTTCTGAGAATCCTTCTGTCTAGTTTTTATTTGAAGATATTTCCTTTCTCCCCGTAGGCCTGAAAGCGCTTGAAATGTCCACTTCCAGATACTACAGAAAGAGTGTTTCAAACCTGCACTCTGAAAAGGAATGTTCAATTCTGTGACTTGAATGCAAACATCAGAAAGAAGTTCCTGAGAATGCTTCTCTCTAGATTTTATACGTCATCCCGTTTCCAACGAAATCCACAAAGCTATCCAATTATCCACTTTCAGATTCCACAAAAAGAGTGTTTTAAAATTGCTCTGTAACAGAAATGTTCAACTCTGGTAGTTGAATACACACATCACAAACAAGTTTCTGAGACGGCTTCTGTCTAGTTTTTATGGGAAGATATTTCCTTTTAACCATAGGCCTCAAAGAGCTCGAAATATCCACTTCCAGGTAGTGCCGAAAGAGTGTTTCAAACCTACTCTATAAAAGGGAATATTCAACTCTGTGACTTGAATGCAAACATCACAAAGCAGTTTCTGAGAATGCTTCCGTCTAGATTTTCTATGAAGATATTCCCGTTTCCAACGAAATCTTCAAAGCTATCTAAATATCAACTTGCAGATTCTACTAAAGGAATGTCTCCAAAATGCTGTATCCAAACAAAGGTTCAGCTCTGTGAATTGAGGACATACAGCACAAAGAAGTTTCTGAGAATGCTCCTGTCTGGATTTTATATGAAGATAACCCGTTTCCAACGAAATCCTCAAAGCTCTCCAAATATCCACTTGCAGATTCTACCAAAAGAGTGTTTCAAAACTGCTCTGTCAAAAGGAAGGTTCAACACTGTTACTTGAGTACACACAACACAAAGAAGTTTCTGAGAATGCTTCTTTCTGGTTTTTATGAGAAGATATTTCCTTTTTCACCATAGGCCTCAAAGCGCCCGAAATGTCCGCTTCCAGGTAGTGCAGAAAGAGTGTTTCAAACCTGCTCTATGAAAGGAAGTGTTCAACTCTACTGAGTTGAATGCAAACATCACAGAGATGTTTCCGAGAATGCTTCTGTCTTGATTTTTTATGAAGATATTCCGGTTTCCAACGAAATCTTCAAAGCTATCCAAATATCCACCTGCAGATTCTACAAAAGGAGTGTTTCCAAAATGCTGTATCAAAACAAAGGTTCAACTCTGTTAGTTGAGGACACACATCACAAATAAGTTTCTGAGGATGCTTCTGTCTAGTTTTTATTTGAAGGTATTTCCTTTCTCTCCATAGGCCTGAAAGCGCTTGAAATGTCCACTTCCAGATACTAGAGAAAGAGTGTTTCATACCTGCTCTATGAAAGGGAATGTTCAATTCTGTGACTTGCATGCAAACATCACAAAGAAGTTCCTCAGAATGCTTCTCTCTAGATATTATATGTCATCCCGTTTCCAACGAAATCCTCAAAGCTATCCAAATATCCACTTGCAGATTCTACAAAAAGAGTGTTTCAAAACTGCTCTGTCAAAAGGATGGTTCAACACTGTTACATGAGTACACACAACACAAAGAAGTTTCTGAGAATGCTTCCTTCTGGTTTTTATGAGAAGATATTTCCTTTTTCACCATAGGCCTCAAAGCGCTCGAAATGTCCACTTCCAGGTAGTGCAGAAAGAGTGTTTCAAACCTGCTCTATGAAAGGAAGTGTTCAACTCCATGAGCTGAATGCAAACATCACAGAGAAGTTTCTGAGAATGCTTCTGTTTGATTTTATATGAAGAAATTCCCGTTTCCAACGAAATCTTCAAAGCTATCCACATATCCACCTGCAGATTCTTCAAAAGGAGTGTTTCCAAAATGCTGTATCAAAACCAAGGTTCAACTCTGTTAGTTGAGGACACACATCACAAATAAGTTTCTGAGAATGCTTCTGTCTAGATTTTATATGAAGATATCCCCTTTCCAACGAATCCCTCTAAGCTATCCAAATATCCACCTGCAGATTCTACAAAAAGAGTGTTTCCAAAATGCTGTATCAAAACAAAGTTTCAACTCTGTTAGTTGAGGACACACATCACAAATAAGTTTCTGAGAATGCTTCTGTCTAGTTTTTATTCGAAGATATTTCCTTTCCCACCATAGGCCTGAAAGCGCTTAAAATGTCCACTTCCAGATACTACAGAATGAGTGTTTCAATCCTGCTCTATCAAAGTGAATGTTCAATTCTGTGACTTCAATGCAAACATCACAAAGAAGTTCCTGAGAATGCTTCTCTCTAGCATTTTATATGTAATCCCGCTTCCAACGAAATCCTCAGAGCCATCCGAATATCCACTTTCTGATTCCACAAAAAGAGTGTTTTAAAACGGCTCTGTAAAAACAAAAGTTCAACTCTGTTAGTTGAATACACACATCACAAACAAGTTTCTGAGAATGCTTCTGTCTAGTTTTTATGGGAAGATATTTACTTTTTCACCATAGGCCTCAAAGCGCTCGAAATGTCCGCTTCCAGATAGTGCAGAAAGAGTGTTTCAAACGTGCTCTATAAAAGGGAATATTCAACTCTGTGACTTGAATGGAAACATCACAAAGCAGTTTCTGAGAATGCTTCCCTCTAGATTTTATATGGAGATATTCCCTTTTCCAACGAAATCTTCAAATCTATCTAAATATCAACTTGCAGATTCTACTCAAGGAATGTTTCCAAAATGCTGTATCCAAGCAATGGTTCAACTCTGTTAATTGAGGACATACAGCACAAAGAAGTTTCTGAGAATGCTTCTGTCTAGATTTTATATGAAGATATCCCGTTTCCAACGAAATCCTCAAAGCTATCCAAATATCCACTTGCAGATTCTACAAAAAGATTGTTTCAAAACTGCTGTGTCAAAAGGAAGGTTCAACTCTGTTACTTGAGTACACACATCAAAAAGCAGTTTCTGAGAATGCTTTGTTTCTGGTTTTTATGAGAAGATATTTCCTTTTTCACCATAGGCCTCAAAGCACTGCAAATGTCCACTTCCAAATATTACAAAAAGAGTGTTTCAAACCTGCTCTATGAAAGGAAGTTTTCAACTCTATGAGTGGAATGCAAACATTACAGAGAAGTTTCTGAGAATGCATTCTGTCTTGAGTTTATATGCAGAAATTCCCGTTTCCAACGAAATCTTAAAATCTATCCAAATATCCACCTGCAGATCCTACAAAAGGAGTGTTTCCAAAATGCTGTATCAAAACAAAGGTTCAACTGTGTTCGTTTAGGACACACATCACAAATAAGTTTCTGAGAATCCTTCTGTCTAGTTTTTATTTGAAGATATTTCCTTTCTCCCCGTAGGCCTGAAAGCGCTTGAAATGTCCACTTCCAGATACTACAGAAAGAGTGTTTCAAACCTGCACTCTGAAAAGGAATGTCAATTCTGTGACCTGAATGCAAACATCAGAAAGAAGTTCCTGAGAATGCTTCTCTCTAGATTTTATACGTCATCCCGTTTCCAACGAAATCCACAAAGCTATCCAATTATCCACTTTCAGATTCCACAAAAGAGTGTTTTAAAACTGCTCTGTAAAAAGAAATGTTCAACGCTCTTAGTTGAATACACACATCTCAAACAAGTTTCTGAGAAGGCTTCCGTCTAGTTTTTATGGGAAGATATTTCCTTTTTCACCATAGGCCTCAAAGCGCTCGAAATCTCCACTTCCAGGGAGTGCAGAAAGAGTGTTTCAAACCTGCTCTGTAAAAGAATATTTAACTCTGTGACTTGAATGCAAACATCACAAAGCAGTTTCTGACAATGCTTCCGTCTAGATTTTTTATGAAGATATTCCCGTTTCCAACGAAATCTTCAAAGCTATCTAAATATCAACTTGCAGATTCTACTAAAGGAATGTTTCCAAAATGCTGTATCCAAACAAAGGTTCAACTCTGTGAATTGAGGACATACAGCACAAAGAAGTTTCTGAGAATGCTTCTGTCTAGATTTAATATGAAGATAACCCGTTTCCAACGAAATCCTCAAAGCTATCCAAATATACACTTGCAGATTCTACAAAAAGAGTGTTTCAAAACTGCTCTGTCAAAAGGATGGTTCAACACTGTTACATGAGTACACACAACACAAAGAAGTTTCTGAGAACGCTTCTTTCTGGTTTTTATGAGAGGATATTTCCTTTTTCACCATAGGCCTCAAAGCGCTCGAAATGTCCACTTCCAGGTAGTGCAGAAAGAGTGTTTCAAACCTGCTCTATGAAAGGAAGTGTTCAACTCCATGAGCTGAATGCAAACATCACAGAGAAGTTCCTGAGAATGCTTCTGTTTGATTTTATATGAAGAAATTCCCGTTTCCAACGAAATCTTCAGAGCTATCCACATATCCACCTGCAGATTCTACAAAAGGAGTGTTTCCAAAATGCTGTATCAAAACCAAGGTTCAACTCTGTTAGTTGAGGACACACATCACAAATAAGTTTCTGAGAATGCTTCTGTCTAGATTTTATATGAAGATATCCCCTTTCCAACGAATCCCTCTAAGCTATCCAAATATCCACCTGCAGATTCTACAAAAAGAGTGTTTCCAAAATGCTGTATCAAAACAAAGTTTCAACTCTGTTAGTTGAGGACACACATCACAAATAAGTTTCTGAGGATGCTTCTGTCTAGTTTTTATTCGAAGATATTTCCTTTCTCACCATAGGCCTGAAAGCGCTTGAAATGTCCACTTCCAGATCCTACAGAATGAGTGTTTCAAACCTGCTCTATCAAAGTGAATGTTCAATTCTGTGACTTCAATGCAAACATCACAAAGAAGTTCCTGAGAATGCTTCTCTCTAGATTTTATATGTAATCCCGCTTCCAACGAAATCCTCCGAGCCATCCGAATATCCACTTTCTGATTCCACAAAAAGAGTGTTTTAAAACGGCTCTGTAAAAACAAAAGTTCAACTCTGTTAGTTGAATACACACATCACAAACAAGTTTCTGAGAATGCTTCTGTCTAGTTTTTATGGGAAGATATTTCCTTTTTCACCATAGGCCTCAAAGCGCTCGAAATGTCCACTTCCAGATAGTGCAGAAAGAGTGTTTCAAACGTGCTCTATAAAAGGGAATATTCAACTCTGTGACTTGAATGGAAACATCACAAAGCAGTTTCTGAGAATGCTTCCCTCTAGATTTTATATGGAGATATTCCCTTTTCCAACGAAATCTTCAAATCTATCTAAATATCAACTTGCAGATTCTACTCAAGGAATGTTTCCAAAATGCTGTATCCAAGCAATGGTTCAACTCTGTTAATTGAGGACATACAGCACAAAGAAGTTTCTGAGAATGCTTCTGTCTAGATTTTATATGAAGATATCCCGTTTCCAACGAAATCCTCAAAGCTATCCAAATATCCACTTGCAGATTCTACAAAAAGATTGTTTCAAAACTGCTGTGTCAAAAGGAAGGTTCAACTCTGTTACTTGAGTACACACATCAAAAAGAAGTTTCTGAGAATGCTTGTTTCTGGTTTTTATGAGAAGATATTTCCTTTTTCACCATAGGCCTCAAAGCGCTGCAAATGTCCACTTCCAAATATTACAAAAAGAGTGTTTCAAACCTGCTCTATGAAAGGAAGTTTTCAACTCTATGAGTGGAATGCAAACATCACAGAGAAGTTTCTGAGAATGCATCTGTCTTGAGTTTATATGAAGAACTTCCCGTTTCCAATGAAATCTTAAAATCTATCCAAATATCCCCCTGCAGATTCTACAAAAGGAGTGTTTCCAAAATGCTGTATCAAAACAAAGGTTCAAATGTGTTCGTTTAGGACACACATCACAAATAAGTTTCTGAGAATCCTCCTGTCTAGTTTTTATTTCAAGATATTTCCTTTCTCCCAATAGGCTTGAAAGCGCTTGAAATGTCCACTTCCAGATACTACAGAGTGTTTCACACCTGCACTATGAAAAGGAATGTTCAATTCTGTGACTTGAATGCAAACATCAGAAAGAAGTTCCTGAGAATGCTTCTCTCTAGATTTTAAACGTAATCCCGTTTCCAACGAAATCCACAAAGCTATCCAAATATCCACTTTCAGATTCCACCAAAAGAGTGTTTTAAAACTGCTCTGTAAAAAGAAATGTTCAACGCTCTTTGTTGAATACACACATCTCAAACAAGTTTCTGAGAAGGCTTCCGTCTAGTTTTTATGGGAAGATATTTCCTTTTTCACCATAGGCCTCAAAGCGCTGCAAATGTCCACTTCCAAATATTACAAAAAGAGTGTTTCAAACCTGCTCTATGAAAGGAAGTTTCCAACTCTGTGAGTGGAATGCAAACATCACAGAGAAGTTTCTGAGAATGCATCTGTCTTCAGTTTATATGAAGAAATTCCCGTTTCCAATGAAATCTTAAAATCTACCCAAATATCCACCTGCAGATTCTACAAAAGGAGTGTTTCCAAAATGCTGTATCAAAACAAAGGTTCAACTGTGTTCGTTTAGGACACACATCACAAATAAGTTTCTGAGAATCCTTCTGTCTAGTTTTTATTTCAAGATATTTCCTTTCTCCCCATAGGCCTGAAAGCGCTTGAAATGTCCACTTCCAGATACTACAGAGTGTTTCAAACCTGCACTATGAAAAGGAATGTTCAATTCTGTGACTTGAATGTAAACATCAGAAAGAATTTCCTGAGAATGCTTCTCTCTAGATTTTAAACGTAATCCCGTTTCCAACGAAATCCACAAAGCTATCCAATTATCCACTTTCAGATTCCACCAAAAGACTGTTTTAAAACTGCTCAGTAAAAAGAAATGTTCAACGCTCTTAGTTGAATACACACATCTCAAACATGTTTCTGAGAAGGCTTCCATCTAGTTTTTATGGGAAGATATTTCCTTTTTCACCATAGGCCTCAAAGCGCTCGAAATCTCCACTCCCAGGGAGTGCAGAAAGAGTGTTTCAAACCTGCTCTATAAAAGAATATTTAACTCTGTGACTTGAATGCAAACATCACAGAGCAGTTTCTGACAATGCTTCCGTCTAGATTTTTTATGAAGATATTCCCGTTTCCAACGAAATCTTCAAAGCTATCTAAATATCAACTTGCAGATTCTACTAAAGGAATGTTTCCAAAATGCTGTATCCAAACAAAGGTTCAACTCTGTGAATTGAGGACATACAGCACAAAGAAGTTTCTGAGAATGCTTCTGTCTAGATTTAATATGAAGATAACCCGTTTCCAACGAAATCCTCAAAGCTATCCAAATATCCACTTGCAGATTCTACAAAAAGAGTGTTTCAAAACTGCTCTGTCAAAAGGATGGTTCAACATTGTTACATGAGTACACACAACACAAAGAAGTTTCTGAGAACGCTTCTTTCTGGTTTTTATGAGAAGATATTTCCTTTTTCACCATAGGCCTCAAAGCGCTCGAAATCTCCACTTCCTGGTAGTGCAGAAAGAGTGTTTCAAACCTGCTCTATGAAAGGAAGTGTTCAACTCCATGAGCTGAATGCAAACATCACAGAGAAGTTTCTGAGAATGCTTCTGTTTGATTTTATATGAAGAAATTCCCGTTTCCAACGAAATCTTCAGAGCTATCCACATATCCACATGCAGATTCTACAAAAGGAGTGTTTCCAAAATGCTGTATCAAAACCAAGGTTCAACTCTGTTAGTTGAGGACACACATCACAAATAAGTTTCTGAGAATGCTTCTGTCTAGATTTTATATGAATTTATCCCCTTTCCAACGAATCCCTCTAAGCTATCCAAGTATCCACCTGCAGATTCTACAAAAAGAGTGTTTCCAAAATGCTGTATCAAAACAAAGTTTCAACTCTGTTAGTTGAGGACACACATCACAAATAAGTTTCTGAGGATGCTTCTGTCTAGTTTTAATTTGAAGATATTTCCTTTCTCCCCATAGGCCTGAAAGCGCTTGAAATGTCCACTTCCAGATACTACAGAATGAGTGTTTCAAACCTGCTCTATCAAAGTGAATGTTCAATTCTGTGACTTCAATGCAAACATCACAAAGTAGTTCCTGAGAATGCTTCTCTCTAGATTTTATATGTAATCCCGCTTCCAACGAAGTCCTCAAAGCCATCCGAATATCCACTTTCTGATTCCACAAAAAGATTGTCTTAAAACTGCTCTGTAAAAACAAAAGTTCAAGTCTGTTAGTTGAATACACACATCACAAACAAGTTTCTGAGAATGATTCTGTCTAGTTTTTATGGGAAGATATTTCCTTTTTCACCATAGGCCTCACAGCGCTTGAAATGTCCACTTCCAGATAGTGCAGAAAGAGTGTTTCAAACGTGCTCTATAAAAGAGAATATTCAACTCTGTGACTTGAATGGAAACATCACAAAGCAGTTTCTGAGAATGCCTCCGTCTAGATTTTATATGAAGATATTCCCGTTTCCAACGAAATCTTCAAATCTATCTAAATATCAACTTGCAGATTCTACTAAAGGAATGTTTCCAAAATGCTGTATCCAAGCAATGGTTCAACTCTGTTAATTGAGGACATACAGCACAAAGAAGTTTCTGAGAATGCTTCTGTCTAGATTTTATATGAAGATATCCCGTTTCCAACGAAATCCTCAAAGCTCTCCAAATATCCACTTGCAGATTCTACAAAAAGATTGTTTCAAAACTGCTGTGTCAAAAGGAAGGTTCAACTCTGTTACTTGAGTACACACATCAAAAAGCAGTTTCTGAGAATGCTTGTTTCTGGTTTTTATGAGAAGATATTTCCTTTTTCACCATAGGCCTCAAAGCGCTGCAAATGTCCACTTCCAAATATTACAAAAAGAGTGTTTCAAACCTGCTCTATGAAAGGAAGTTTTCAACTCTATGAGTGGAATGCAAACATCACAGAGAAGTTTCTGAGAATGCATCTGTCTTGAGTTTATATGAAGAAATTCCCGTTTCCAATGAAATCTTAAAATCTATCCAAATATCCACCTGCAGATTCTACAAAAGGAGTGTTTCCAAAATGCTGTATCAAAACAAAGGTTCAACTGTGTTCGTTTAGGACACACATCACCAATAAGTTTCTGAGAATACTTCTGTCTAGTTTTTATTTCAAGATATTTCCTTTCTCCCCATAGGCTTGAAAGCGCTTGAAATGTCCACTTCCAGATACTACAGAGTGTTTCAAACCTGCACTATGAAAAGGAATGTTCAATTCTGTGACTTGAATGCAAACATCAGAAAGAAGTTCCTGAGAATGCTTCTCTCTAGATTTTATACGTAATCCCGTTTCCAAAGAAATCCACAAAGCTATCCAATTATCCACTTTCAGATTCCACAAAAAGAGTGTTTTAAAACTGCTCTGTAAAAAGAAATGTTCAACGCTCTTAGTTGAATACACACATCTCAAACAAGTTTCTGAGAAGGCTTCCGTCTAGTTTTTATGGGAAGATATTTCCTTTTTCACCAAAGGCCTCAAAGCGCTCGAAATCTCCACTTCCAGGGAGTGCAGAAAGAGTGTTTCAAACCTGCTCTGTAAAAGAATATTTAACTCTGTGACTTGAATGCAAACATCACAAAGCAGTTTCTGACAATGCTTCCGTCTAGATTTTTTATGAAGATATTCCCGTTTCCAACGAAATCTTCAAAGCTATCTAAATATCAACTTGCAGATTCTACTAAAGGAATGTTTCCAAAATGCTGTATCCAAACAAAGGTTCAACTCTGTGAATTGAGGACATACAGCACAAAGAAGTTTCTGAGAATGCTCCTGTCTGGATTTTATAGGAAGATAACCCGTTTCCAACGAAATCCTCAAAGCTATCCAAATATCCACTTGCAGATTCTACCAAAAGAGTGTTTCAAAACTGCTCTGTCAAAAGGAAGGTTCAACACTGTTACTTGAGTACACACAACACAAAGAAGTTTCTGAGAATGCTTCTTTCTGGTTTTTATGAGAAGATATTTCCTTTTTCACCATAGGCCTCAAAGCGCTCGAAATGTCCGCTTCCAGGTAGTGCAGAAAGAGTGTTTCAAACCTGCTCTATGAAAGGAAGTGTTCAACTCTACTGAGTTGAATGCAAACATCACAGAGATGTTTCCGAGAATGCTTCTGTCTTGATTTTATATGAAGATATTCCGGTTTCCAACGAAATCTTCAAAGCTATCCAAATATCCACCTGCAGATTCTACAAAAGGAGTGTTTCCAAAATGCTGTATCAAAACAAAGGTTCAACTCTGTTAGTTGAGGACACACATCACAAATAAGTTTCTGAGAATGCTTCTGTCTAGTTTTTATTTGAAGGTATTTCCTTTCTCTCCATAGGCCTGAAAGCGCTTGAAATGCCCACTTCCAGATACTAGAGAAAGAGTGTTTCAAACCTGCTCTATGAAAGGGAATGTTCAATTCTGTGACTTGAATGCAAACATCACAAAGAAGTTCCTGAGAATGCTTCTGTCTAGATTTAATATGAAGATAACCCGTTTCCAACGAAATCCTCAAAGCTATCCAAATATCCACTTGCAGATTCTACAAAAAGAGTGTTTCAAAACTGCTCTGTCAAAAGGATGGTTCAACACTGTTACATGAGTACACACAACACAAAGAAGTTTCTGAGAACGCTTCTTTCTGGTTTTTATGAGAAGATATTTCTTTTTCACCATAGGCCTCAAAGTGCTCGAAATGTCCACTTCCTGGTAGTGCAGAAAGACTGTTTCAAAGCTGCTCTATGAAAGGAAGTGTTCAACTCCATGAGCTGAATGCAAACATCACAGAGAAGTTTCTGAGAATGCTTCTGTTTGATTTTATATGAAGAAATTCCCGTTTCCAACGAAATCTTCAAAGCTATCCACATATACACCTGCAGATTCTACAAAAGGAGTGTTTCCAAACTGCTGTATCAAAACCACGGTTCAACTCTGTTAGTTGAGGACACACATCACAAATAAGTTTCTGAGAATGCTTCTGTCTAGATTTTATATGAAGATATCCCCTTTCCAACGACTCCCTCTAAGCTATCCAAATATCCACCTGCAGATTCTACAAAAAGAGTGTTTCCAAAATGCTGTATCAAAACAAAGTTTCAACTCTGTTAGTTGAGGACACACATCACAAATAAGTTTCTGAGGATGCTTCTGTCTAGTTTTTATTCGAAGATATTTCCTTTCTCACCATAGGCCTGAAAGCGCTTGAAATGTCCACTTCCAGATCCTACAGAATGAGTGTTTCAAACCTGCTCTATCAAAGTGAATGTTCAATTCTGTGACTTCAATGCAAACATCACAAAGAAGTTCCTGAGAATGCTTCTCTCTAGATTTTATACGTAATCCCGCTTCCAACGAAATCCTCAGAGCCATCCGAATATCCACTTTCTGATTCCACAAAAAGAGTGTTTTAAAACGGCTCTGTAAAAACAAAAGTTCAACTCTGTTAGTTGAATACACACATCACAAACAAGTTTCTGAGAATGCTTCTGTCTAGTTTTTATGGGAAGATATTTCCTTTTTCACCATAGGCCTCAAAGCGCTCGAAATGTCCGCTTCCAGATAGTGCAGAAAGAGTGTTTCAAACGTGCTCTATAAAAGGGAATATTCAACTCTGTGACTTGAATGGAAACATCACAAAGCAGGTTCTGAGAATGCTTCCCTCTAGATTTTATATGGAGATATTCCCGTTTCCAACGAAATCTTCAAATCTATCTAAATATCAACTTGCAGATTCTACTCAAGGAATGTTTCCAAAATGCTGTATCCAGGCAATGGTTCAACTCTGTTAATTGAGGACATACAGCACAAAGAAGTTTCTGAGAATGCTTCTGTCTAGATTTTATATGAAGATATCCCGTTTCCAACGAAATCCTCAAAGCTATCCAAATATCCACTTGCAGATTCTACAAAAAGATTGTTTCAAAACTGCTGTGTCAAGAGGAAGGTTCAACTCTGTTACTTGAGTACACACATCAAAAAGAAGTTTCTGAGAATGCTTGTTTCTGGTTTTTATGAGAAGATATTTCCTTTTTCACCATAGGCCTCAAAGCGCTGCAAATGTCCACTTCCAAATATTACAAAAAGAGTGTTTCAAACCTGCTCTATGAAAGGAAGTTTTCAACTCTATGAGTGGAATGCAAACATCACAGAGAAGTTTCTGAGAATGCATCTGTCTTGAGTTTATATGAAGAAATTCCCGTTTCCAACGAAATCTTAAAATCTATCCAAATATCCACCTGCAGATTCTACAAAGGGAGTGTTTCCAAAATGCTGTATCAAAACAAAGGTTCAACTGTGTTCGTTTAGGACACACATCACCAATAAGTTTGCTGAAAATCCTTCTGTCTAGTTTTTATTTGAAGATATTTCCTTTCTCCCCATAGGCCTGAAAGCGCTTGAAATGTCCACTTCCAGATACTACAGAAAGAGTGTTTCAAACCTGCACTATGAAAAGGAATGGTCAATTCTGTGACTTGAATGCAAACATCAGAAAGAAGTTCCTGAGAATGCTTCTCTCTAGATTTTATACGTCATCCCGTTTCCAACGAAATCCAAAAAGCTATCCAATTATCCACTTTCAGATTCCACAAAAAGAGTGTTTTAAAACTGCTCTGTAAAAAGAAATGTTCAACGCTCTTAGTTGAATACACACATCTCAAACAAGTTTCTGAGAAGGCTTCCGTCTAGTTTTTATGGGAAGATATTTCCTTTTTCACCATAGGCCTCAAAGCGCTCGAAATCTCCATTTCCAGGGAGTGCAGAAAGAGTGTTTCAAACCTGCTCTGTAAAAGAATATTTAACTCTGTGACTTGAATGCAAACATCACAAAGCAGTTTCTGACAATGCTTCCGTCTAGATTTTTTATGAAGATATTCCCGTTTCCAACGAAATCTTCAAAGCTATCTAAATATCAACTTGCAGATTCTACTAAAGGAATGTTTCCAAAATGCTGTATCCAAACAAAGGTTCAACTCTGTGAATTGAGGACATACAGCACAAAGAAGTTTCTGAGAATGCTTCTGTCTAGATTTAATGTGAAGATAACCCGTTTCCAACGAAATCCTCAAAGCTATCCAAATATCCACTTGCAGATTCTACAAAAAGAGTGTTTCAAAACTGCTCTGTCAAAAGGATGGTTCAACACTGTTACATGAGTACACACAACACAAAGAAGTTTCTGAGAACGCTTCTTTCTGGTTTCTATGAGAAGATATTTCCTTTTTCACCATAGGACTCAAAGCGCTCGAAATGTCCTCTTCCAGGTAGTGCAGAAAGAGTGTTTCAAACCTGCTCTATGAAAGGAAGTGTACAACTCCATGAGCTGAATGCAAACATCACTGAGAAGTTTCTGAGAATGCTTCTGTTTGATTTTATATGAAGAAATTCCCGTTTCCAACGAAATCTTCAGAGCTATCCACATATCCACCTGCAGATTCTACAAAAGGAGTGTTTCCAAAATGCTGTATCAAAACCAAGGTTCAACTCTGTTAGTTGAGGACACACATCACAAATAAGTTTCTGAGAATGCTTCTGTCTAGATTTTATAAGAAGATATCCCCTTTCCAACGAATCCCTCTAAGCTATCCAAATATCCACCTGCAGATTCTACAAAAAGAGTGTTTCCAAAATGCTGTATCAAAACAAAGTTTCAACTCTGTTAGTTGAGGACACACATCACAAATAAGTTTCTGAGGATGCTTCTGTCTAGTTTCTATTTGAAGATATTTCCTTTCTCCCCATAGGCCTGAAAGCGCTTGAATTGTCGGCTTCCAGATACTACAGAATGAGTGTTTCAAACCTGCTCTATCAAAGTGAATGTTCAATTCTGTGACTTCAATGTAAACATCACAAAGTAGTTCCTGAGAATGCTTCTCTCTAGATTTTATATGTAATCCCGCTTCCAACGAAATCCTCAAAGCCATCCGAATATCCACTTTGTGATTCCACAAAAAGATTGTGTTAAAACTGCTCTGTAAAAACAAAAGTTCAAGTCTGTTAGTTGAATACACACATCACAAACAAGTTTCTGAGAATGCTTCTGTCTAGTTTTTATGGGAAGATATTTCCTTTTTCACCATAGGCCTCACAGCGCTTGAAATGTCCACTTCCAGATAGTGCAGAAAGAGTGTTTCAAACGTGCTCTATAAAAGAGAATATTCAACTCTGTGACTTGAATGGAAACATCACAAAGCAGTTTCTGAGAATGCCTCCGTCTAGATTTTATATGAAGATATTCCCGTTTCCAACGAAATCTTCAAATCTATCTAAATATCAACTTGCAGATTCTACTAAAGGAATGTTTCCAAAATGCTGTATGCAAGCAATGGTTCAACTCTGCTAATTGAGGACATACAGCACAAAGAAGTTTCTGAGAATGCTTCTGTCTAGATTTTATATGAAGATATCCCGTTTCCAACGAAATCCTCAAAGCTATCCAAATATCCACTTGCAGATTCTACAAAAAGATTGTTTCAAAACTGCTGTGTCAAAAGGAAGGTTCAACTCTGTTACTTGAGTACACACATCAAAAAGAAGTTTCTGAGAATGCTTGTTTCTGGTTTTTATGAGAAGATATTTCCTTTTTCACCATAGGCCTCAAAGCGCTGCAAATGTCCACTTCCAAATATTACAAAAAGAGTGTTTCAAACCTGCTCTATGAAAGGAAGTTTTCAACTCTATGAGTGGAATGCAAACATCACAGAGAAGTTTCTGAGAATGCATCTGTCTTGAGCTTCTATGAAGAAATTCCCGTTTCCAACGAAATCTTAAAATCTATCCAAATATCCACCTGCAGATCCTACAAAAGGAGTGTTTCCAAAATGCTGTATCAAAACAAAGGTTCAACTGTGTTCGTTTAGGACACACATCACAAATAAGTTTCTGAGAATCCTTCTCTCTAGTTTTTATTTGAAGATATTTCCTTTCTCCCTGTAGGCCTGAAAGCGCTTGAAATGTCCACTTCCAGATACTACAGAAAGAGTGTTTCAAACCTGCACTCTGAAAAGGAATGTTCAATTCTGTGACTTGAATGCAAACATCAGAAAGAAGTTCCTGAGAATGCTTCTCTCTAGATTTTATACGTCATCCCGTTTCCAACGAAATCCACAAAGCTATCCAATTATCCACTTTCAGATTCCACAAAGAGTGTTTTAAAATTGCTCTGTAACAGAAATGTTCAACTCTGTTAGTTGAATACACACATCACAAACAAGTTTCTGAGACGGCTTCTGTCTAGTTTTTATGGGAAGATATTTCCTTTTAACCATAGGCCTCAAAGAGCTCGAAATATCCACTTCCAGGTAGTGCCGAAAGAGTGTTTCAAACCTACTCTATAAAAGGGAATATTCAACTCTGTGACTTGAATGCAAACATCACAAAGCAGTTTCTGAGAATGCTTCCGTCTAGATTTTCTATGAAGATATTCCCGTTTCCAACGAAATCTTCAAAGCTATCTAAATATCAACTTGCAGATTCTACTAAAGGAATGTCTCCAAAATGCTGTATCCAAACAAAGGTTCAGCTCTGTGAATTGAGGACATACAGCACAAAGAAGTTTCTGAGAATGCTCCTGTCTGGATTTTATATGAAGATAACCCGTTTCCAACGAAATCCTCAAAGCTATCCAAATATCCACTTGCAGATTCTACCAAAAGAGTGTTTCAAAACTGCTCTGTCAAAAGGAAGGTTCAACACTGTTACTTGAGTACACACAACACAAAGAAGTTTCTGAGAATGCTTCTTTCTGGTTTTTATGAGAAGATATTTCCTTTTTCACCATAGGCCTCAAAGCGCTCGAAATGTCCGCTTCCAGGTAGTGCAGAAAGAGTGTTTCAAACCTGCTCTATGAAAGGAAGTGTTCAACTCTACTGAGTTGAATGCAAACATCACAGAGATGTTTCCGAGAATGCTTCTGTCTTGATTTTATATGAAGATATTCCGGTTTCCAACGAAATCTTCAAAGCTATCCAAATATCCACCTGCAGATTCTACAAAAGGAGTGTTTCCAAAATGCTGTATCAAAACAAAGGTTCAACTCTGTTAGTTGAGGACACACATCACAAATAAGTTTCTGAGAATGCTTCTGTCTAGTTTTTATTTGAAGGTATTTCCTTTCTCTCCATAGGCCTGAAAGCGCTTGAAATGCCCACTTCCAGATACTAGAGAAAGAGTGTTTCAAACCTGCTCTATGAAAGGGAATGTTCAATTCTGTGACTTGAATGCAAACATCACAAAGAAGTTCCTGAGAATGCTTCTCTCTAGATATTATATGTCATCCCGTTTCCAACGAAATCCTCAAAGCTATCCAAATATCCACTTGCAGATTCTACAAAAAGAGTGTTTCAAAACTGCTCTGTCAAAAGGATGGTTCAACACTGTTACATGAGTACACACAACACAAAGAAGTTTCTGAGAATGCTTCTTTCTGGTTTCTATGAGAAGATATTTCCTTTTTCACCATAGGACTCAAAGCGCTCGAAATGTCCTCTTCCAGGTAGTGCAGAAAGAGTGTTTCAAACCTGCTCTATGAAAGGAAGTGTACAACTCCATGAGCTGAATGCAAACATCACTGAGAAGTTTCTGAGAATGCTTCTGTTTGATTTTATATGAAGAAATTCCCGTTTCCAACGAAATCTTCAGAGCTATCCACATATCCACCTGCAGATTCTACAAAAGGAGTGTTTCCAAAATGCTGTATCAAAACCAAGGTTCAACTCTGTTAGTTGAGGACACACATCACAAATAAGTTTCTGAGAATGCTTCTGTCTAGATTTTATATGAAGATATCCCCTTTCCAACGAATCCCTCTAAGCTATCCAAATATCCACCTGCAGATTCTACAAAAAGAGTGTTTCCAAAATGCTGTATCAAAACAAAGTTTCAACTCTGTTAGTTGAGGACACACATCACAAATAAGTTTCTGAGGATGCTTCTGTCTAGTTTTTATTCGAAGATATTTCCTTTCTCACCATAGGCCTGAAAGCGCTTGAAATGTCCACTTCCAGATACTACAGAATGAGTGTTTCAAACCTGCTCTATCAAAGTGAATGTTCAATTCTGTGACTTCAATGCAAACATCAGAAAGAAGTTCCTGAGAATGCTTCTCTCTAGATTTTATACGTAATCCCGCTTCCAACGAAATCCTCAGAGCCATCCGAATATCCACTTTCTGATTCCACAAAAAGAGTGTTTTAAAACGGCTCTGTAAAAACAAAAGTTCAACTCTGTTAGTTGAATACACACATCACAAACAAGTTTCTGAGAATGCTTCTGTCTAGTTTTTATGGGAAGATATTTCCTTTTTCACCATAGGCCTCAAAGCGCTCGAAATGTCCGCTTCCAGATAGTGCAGAAAGAGTGTTTCAAACGTGCTCTATAAAAGGGAATATTCAACTCTGTGACTTGAATGGAAACATCACAAAGCAGTTTCTGAGAATGCTTCCCTCTAGATTTTATATGGAGATATTCCCTTTTCCAACGAAATCTTCAAATCTATCTAAATATCAACTTGCAGATTCTACTCAAGGAATGTTTCCAAAATGCTGTATCCAGGCAATGGTTCAACTCTGTTAATTGAGGACATACAGCACAAAGAAGTTTCTGAGAATGCTTCTGTCTAGATTTTATATGAAGATATCCCGTTTCCAACGAAATCCTCAAAGCTATCCAAATATCCACTTGCAGATTCTACAAAAAGATTGTTTCAAAACTGCTGTGTCAAAAGGAAGGTTCAACTCTGTTACTTGAGTACACACATCAAAAAGAAGTTTCTGAGAATGCTCGTTTCTGGTTTTTATGAGAAGATATTTCCTTTTTCACCATAGGCCTCAAAGCTCTGCAAATGTCCACTTCCAAATATTACAAAAAGAGTGTTTCAAACCTGCTCTATGAAAGGAAGTTTTCAACTCTATGAGTGGAATGCAAACATCACAGAGAAGTTTCTGAGAATGCATCTGTCTTGAGTTTCTATGAAGAAATTCCCGTTTCCAACGAAATCTTAAAATCTATCCAAATATCCACCTGCAGATTCTACAAAAGGAGTGTTTCCAAAATGCTGTATCAAAACAAAGGTTCAACTGTGTTCGTTTAGGACACACATCACAAATAAGTTTCTGAGAAGCCTTCTGTCTAGTTTTTATTTGAAGATATTTCCTTCCTCCCCAGAGGCCTGAAAGCGCTTGAAATGTCCCCTTCCAGATACTACAGAAAGAGTGTTTCAAACCTGCACTATGAAAAGGAATGTTCAATTCTGTGACTTGAATGCAAACATCAGAAAGAAGTTCCTGAGAATGCTTCTCTCTAGATTTTATACGTCATCCCGTTTCCAACGAAATCCACAAAGCTATCCAATTATCCACTTTCAGATTTCACAGAAAGAGTGTTTTAAAATTGCTCTGTAACAGAAATGTTCAACTCTGTTAGTTGAATACACACATCACAAACAAGTTTCTGAGACGGCTTCTGTCTAGTTTTTATGGGAAGATATTTCCTTTTAACCATAGGCCTCAAAGAGCTCGAAATATCCACTTCCAGGTAGTGCCGAAAGAGTGTTTCAAACCTACTCTATAAAAGGGAATATTCAACTCTGTGACTTGAATGCAAACATCACAAAGCAGTTTCTGAGAATGCTTCCGTCTAGATTTTTTATGAAGATATTCCCGTTTCCAACGAAATCGTCAAAGCTATCTAAATATCAACTTGCAGATTCTACTAAAGGAATGTTTCCAAAATGCTGTATCCAAACAAAGGATCAACTCTGTGAATTGAGGACATACAGCACAAAGAAGTTTCTGAGAATGCTTCTGTCTAGATTTAATATGAAGATAACCCGTTTCCAACGAAATCCTCAAAGCTATCCAAATATCCACTTGCAGATTCTACAAAAAGAGTGTTTCAAAACTGCTCTGTCAAAAGGATGGTTCAACACTGTTACATGAGTACACACAACACAAAGAAGTTTCTGAGAATGCTTCTTTCTGGTTTCTATGAGAAGATATTTCCTTTTTCACCATAGGACTCAAAGCGCTCGAAATGTCCTCTTCCAGGTAGTGCAGAAAGAGTGTTTCAAACCGGCTCTATGAAAGGAAGTGTTCAACTCCATGAACTGAATGCAAACATCACTGAGAAGTTTCTGAGAATGCTTCTGTTTGATTTTATATGAAGAAATTCCCGTTTCCAACGAAATCTTCAGAGCTATCCACATATCCACCTGCAGATTCTACAAAAGGAGTGTTTCCAAAATGCTGTATCAAAACCAAGGTTCAACTCTGTTAGTTGAGGACACACATCACAAATAAGTTTCTGAGAATGCTTCTGTCTAGATTCTATATGAAGATATCCCCTTTCCAACGAATCCCTCTAAGCTATCCAAATATCCACCTGCAGATTCTACAAAAAGAGTGTTTCCAAAATGCTGTATCAAAACAAAGTTTCAACTCTGTTAGTTGAGGACACACATCACAAATAAGTTTGAGGATGCTTCTGTCTAGTTTTAATTTGAAGATATTTCCTTTCTCCCCATAGGCCTGAAAGCGCTTGAAATGTCCACTTCCAGATACTACAGAATGAGTGTTTCAAACCTGCTCTATCAAAGTGAATGTTCAATTCTGTGACTTCAATGCAAACATCACAAAGTAGTTCCTGAGAATGCTTCTCTCTAGATTTTATATGTAATCCCGCTTCCAACGAAATCCTCAAAGCCATCCGAATATCCACTTTCTGATTCCACAAAAAGATTGTTTTAAAACTGCTCTGTAAAAACAAAAGTTCAAGTCTGTTAGTTGAATACACACATCACAAACAAGTTTCTGAGAATGCTTCTGTCTAGTTTTTATGGGAAGATATTTCCTTTTTCACCATAGGCCTCAAAGCGCTCGAAATGTCCACTTCCAGATAGTGCAGAAAGAGTGTTTCAAACGTGCTCTATAAAAGAGAATATTCAACTCTGTGACTTGAATGGAAACATCACAAAGCAGTTTCTGAGAATGCCTCCGTCTAGATTTTATATGAAGATATTCCCGTTTCCAACGAAATCTTCAAAGCTATCTAAATATCAACTTGCAGATTCTACTAAAGGAATGTTTCCAAAATGCTGTATCCAAGCCATGGTTCAACTCTGTTAATTGAGGACATACAGCACAAAGAAGTTTCTGAGAATGCTTCTGTCTAGATTTTATATGAAGATATCCCGTTTCCAACGAAATCCTCAAAGCTATCCAAATATCCACTTGCAGATTCTACAAAAAGATTGTTTCAAAACTGCTGTGTCAAAAGGAAGGTTCAACTCTGTTACTTGAGTACACACATCAAAAAGCAGTTTCTGAGAATGCTTGTTTCTGGTTTTTATGAGAAGATATTTCCTTTTTCACCATAGGCCTCAAAGCGCTGCAAATGTCCACTTCCAAATATTACAAAAAGAGTGTTTCAAACCTGCTCTATGAAAGGAAGTTTTCAACTCTATGAGTGGAATGCAAACATCACAGAGAAGTTTCTGAGAATGCATCTGTCTTGAGTTTATACGAAGAAATTCCCGTTTCCAACGAAATCTTAAAATCTATCCAAATATCCACCTGCAGATTCTACAAAGGGAGTGTTTCCAAAATGCTGTATCAAAACAAAGGTTCAACTGTGTTCGTTTAGGACACACATCACCAATAAGTTTCTGAGAATCCTTCTGTCTAGTTTTTATTTGAAGATATTTCCTTTCTCCCCATAGGCCTGAAAGCGCTGGAAATGTCCACTTCCAGATACTACAGAAAGAGTGTTTCAAACCTGCACTATGAAAAGGAATGTTCAATTCTGTGACTTGAATGCAAACATCAGAAAGAAGTTCCTGAGAATGCTTCTCTCTAGATTTTATACGTCATCCCGTTTCCAACGAAATCCACAAACTATCCAATTATCCACTTTCAGATTCCACAAAAAGAGTGTTTTAAAACTGCTCTGTAAAAAGAAATGTTCAACGCTCTTAGTTGAATACACACATCTCAAACAAGTTTCTGAGAAGGCTTCCGTCTAGTTTTTATGGGAAGATATTTCCTTTTTCACCATAGGCCTCAAAGCGCTCGAAATCTCCACTTCCAGGGAGTGCAGAAAGAGTGTTTCAAACCTGCTCTGTAAAAGAATATTTAACTCTGTGACTTGAATGCAAACATCACAAAGCAGTTTCTGACAATGCTTCCGTCTAGATTTTTTATGAAGATATTCCCGTTTCCAACGAAATCTTCAAAGCTATCTAAATATCAACTTGCAGATTCTACTAAAGGAATGTTTCCAAAATGCTGTATCCAAAGGTTCAACTCTGTGAATTGAGGACATACAGCACAAAGAAGTTTCTGAGAATGCTTCTGTCTAGATTTAATATGAAGATAATCCGTTTCCAACGAAATCCTCAAAGCTATCCAAATATCCACTTGCAGATTCTACAAAAAGAGTGTTTCAAAACTGCTCTGTCAAAAGGATGGTTCAACACTGTTACATGAGTACACACAACACAAAGAAGTTTCTGAGAACGCTTCTTTCTGGTTTTTATGAGAAGATATTTCCTTTTTCACCATAGGCCTCAAAGCGCTAGAAATGTCCACTTCCTGGTAGTGCAGAAAGAGTGTTTCAAAGCTGCTCTATGAAAGAAAGTGTTCAACTCCATGAGCTGAATGCAAACATCACAGAGAAGTTTCTGAGAATGATTCTGTTTGATTTTATATGAAGAAATTCCCGTTTCCAACGAAATCTTCAAAGCTATCCACATATCCACCTGCAGATTCTACAAAAGGAGTGTTTCCAAAATGCTGTATCAAAACCAAGGTTCCACTCTGTTAGTTGAGGACACACATCACAAATAAGTTTCTGAGAATGCTTCTGTCTAGATTTTATATGAAGATATCCCCTTTCCAACGAATCCCTCTAAGCTATCCAAATATCCACCTGCAGATTCTACAAAAAGAGTGTTTCCAAAATGCTGTATCAAAACAAAGTTTCAACTCTGTTAGTTGAGGACACACATCACAAATAAGTTTCTGAGAATGCTTCTGTCTAGTTTTTATTCGAAGATATTTCCTTTCTCACCATAGGCCTGAAAGCGCTTGAAATGTCCACTTCCAGATACTACAGAATGAGTGTTTCAAACCTGCTCTATCAAAGTGAATGTTCAATTCTGTGACTTCAATGCAAACATCACAAAGAAGTTCCTGAGAATGCTTCTCTCTAGATTTTATATGTAATCCCGCTTCCAACGAAATCCTCAAAGCCATCCGAATATCCACTTTCTGATTCCACAAAAAGATTGTTTTAAAACTGCTCTGTAAAAACAAAAGTTCAAGTCTGTTAGTTGAATACACACATCACAAACAAGTTTCTGAGAATGCTTCTGTCTAGTTTTTATGGGAAGATATTTCCTTTTTCACCATAGGCCTCAAAGCGCTCGAAATGTCCACTTCCAGATAGTGCAGAAAGAGTGTTTCAAACGTGCTCTATAAAAGAGAATATTCAACTCCGTGACTTGAATGGGAACGTCACAAAGCAGTTTCTGAGAATGCTTCCGTCTAGATTTTATATGAAGATATTCCCGTTTCCAACGAAATCTTCAAAGCTATCTACATATCAACTTGCAGATTCTACTCAAGGAATGTTTCCAAAATGCTGTATCCAAGCCATGGTTCAACTCTGTTAATTGAGGACATACAGCACAAAGAAGTTTCTGAGAATGCTTCTGTCTAGATTTTATATGAAGATATCCCGTTTCCAATGAAATCCTCAAAGCTATCCAAATATCCACTTGCAGATTCCACAAAAAGATTGTTTCAAAACTGCTGTGTCAAAAGGAAGGTTCAACTCTGTTACTTGAGTACACACATCAAAAAGAACTTTCTGAGAATGCTTGTTTCTGGTTTTTATGAGAAGATATTTCCTTTTTCACCATAGGCCTCAAAGCGCTGCAAATGTCCACTTCCAAATATTACAGAAAGAGTGTTTCAAACCTGCTCTATGAAAGGAAGTTTTCAACTCTATGAGTGGAATGCAAACATCACAGAGAAGTTTCTGAGAATGCATCTGTCTTGAGCTTCTATGAAGAAATTCCCGTTTCCAACGAAATTTTAAAATCTATCCAAATATCCACCTGCAGATCCTACAAAAGGAGTGTTTCCAAAATGCTGTATCAAAACAAAGGTTCAACTGTGTTCGTTTAGGACACACATCACAAATAAGTTTCTGAGAATCCTTCTGTCTGGTTTTTATTTGAAGAGATTTCCTTTCTCCCCGTAGGCCTGAAAGCGCTTGAAATGTCCACTTCCAGATACTACAGAAAGAGTGTTTCAAACCTGCACTCTGAAAAGGAATGTTCAATTCTGTGACTTGAATGCAAACATCAGAAAGAAGTTCCTGAGAATGCTTCTCTCTAGATTTTATACGTCATCCCGTTTCCAACGAAATCCACAAAGCTATCCAATTATCCACTTTCAGATTCCACAAAGAGTGTTTTAAAATTGCTCTGTAACAGAAATGTTCAACTCTGTTAGTTGAATACACACATCACAAACAAGTTTCTGAGACGGCTTCTGTCTAGTTTTTATGGGAAGATATTTCCTTTTAACCATAGGCCTCAAAGAGCTCGAAATATCCACTTCCAGGTAGTGCCGAAAGAGTGTTTCAAACCTACTCTATAAAAGGGAATATTCAACTCTGTGACTTGAATGCAAACATCACAAAGCAGTTTCTGAGAATGCTTCCGTCTAGCATTTTCTATGAAGATATTCCCGTTTCCAACGAAATCTTCAAAGCTATCTAAATATCAACTTGCAGATTCTACTAAAGGAATGTCTCCAAAATGCTGTATCCAAACAAAGGTTCAGCTCTGTGAATTGAGGACATACAGCACAAAGAAGTTTCTGAGAATGCTCCTGTCTGGATTTTATATGAAGATAACCCGTTTCCAACGAAATCCTCAAAGCTCTCCAAATATCCACTTGCAGATTCTACCAAAAGAGTGTTTCAAAACTGCTCTGTCAAAAGGAAGGTTCAACACTGTTACTTGAGTACACACAACACAAAGAAGTTTCTGAGAATGCTTCTTTCTGGTTTTTATGAGAAGATATTTCCTTTTTCACCATAGGCCTCAAAGCGCTCGAAATGTCCGCTTCCAGGTAGTGCAGAAAGAGTGTTTCAAACCTGCTCTATGAAAGGAAGTGTTCAACTCTACTGAGTTGAATGCAAACATCACAGAGATGTTTCCGAGAATGCTTCTGTCTTGATTTTATATGAAGATATTCCGGTTTCCAACGAAATCTTCAAAGCTATCCAAATATCCACCTGCAGATTCTACAAAAGGAGTGTTTCCAAAATGCTGTATCAAAACAAAGGTTCAACTCTGTTAGTTGAGGACACACATCACAAATAAGTTTCTGAGAATGCTTCTGTCTAGTTTTTATTTGAAGGTATTTCCTTTCTCTCCATAGGCCTGAAAGCGCTTGAAATGCCCACTTCCAGATACTAGAGAAAGAGTGTTTCAAACCTGCTCTATGAAAGGGAATGTTCAATTCTGTGACTTGAATGCAAACATCACAAAGAAGTTCCTGAGAATGCTTCTCTCTAGATATTATATGTCATCCCGTTTCCAACGAAATCCTCAAAGCTATCCAAATATCCACTTGCAGATTCTACAAAAAGAGTGTTTCAAAACTGCTCTGTCAAAAGGATGGTTCAACACTGTTACATGAGTACACACAACACAAAGAAGTTTCTGAGAATGCTTCTTTCTGGTTTCTATGAGAAGATATTTCCTTTTTCACCATAGGACTCAAAGCGCTCGAAATGTCCTCTTCCAGGTAGTGCAGAAAGAGTGTTTCAAACCGGCTCTATGAAAGGAAGTGTTCAACTCCATGAACTGAATGCAAACATCACTGAGAAGTTTCTGAGAATGCTTCTGTTTGATTTTATATGAAGAAATTCCCGTTTCCAACGAAATCTTCAAAGCTATCCACATATCCACCTGCAGATTCTACAAAAGGAGTGTTTCCAAAATGCTGTATCAAAACCAAGGTTCAACTCTGTTAGTTGAGGACACACATCACAAATAAGTTTCTGAGAATGCTTCTGTCTAGATTTTATATGAAGATATTCCCTTTCCAACGAATCCCTCTAAGCTATCCAAATATCCACCTGCAGATTCTACAAAAAGAGTGTTTCCAAAATGCTGTATCAAAACAAAGTTTCAACTCTGTTAGTTGAGGACACACATCACAAATAAGTTTCTGAGGATGCTTCTGTCTAGTTTTTATTTGAAGATATTTCCTTTCTCCCCATAGGCCTGAAAGCGCTTGAATTGTCCGCTTCCAGATACTACAGAATGATTGTTTCAAACCTGCTCTATCAAAGTGAATGTTCAATTCTGTGACTTCAATGCAAACATCACAAAGTAGTTCCTGAGAATGCTTCTCTCTAGATTTTATATGTAATCCCGCTTCCAACGAAATCCTCAGAGCCATCCGACTATGCACTTTATGAATCCACAAAAAGAGTGTTTTAAAACTGCTCTGTAAAAACAAAAGTTCAACTCTGTTAGTTGAATACACACATCACAAACAAGTTTCTGAGAATGCTTCTGTCTAGTTTTTACGGGAAGATATTTCCTTTTTCACCATAGGCCTCAAAGCGCTCGAAATGTCCACTTCCAGATAGTGCAGAAAGAGTGTTTCAAACGTGCTCTATAAAAGAGAATATTCAACTCTGTGACTTGAATGGAAACATCACAAAGCAGTTTCTGAGAATGCTTCCGTCTAGATTTTATATGAAGATATTCCCGTTTCCAACGAAATCTTCAAATCTATCTAAATATCAACTTGCAGATTCTACTAAAGGAATGTTTCCAAAATGCTGTATCCAAGCAATGGTTCAACTCTGTTAATTGAGGACATATAGCACAAAGAAGTTTCTGACAATGCTTCTGTCTAGATTTTATATGAAGATATCCCGTTTCCAACGAAATCCTCAAAGCTATCCAAATATCCACTTGCAGATTCTACAAAAAGATTGTTTCAAAACTGCTGTGTCAAAAGGAAGGTTCAACTCTGATATTTGAGTACACACATCAAAAAGAAGTTTCTGAGAATGCTTGTTTCTGGTTTTTATGAGAAGATATTTCCTTTTTCACCATAGGCCTCAAAGCGCTGCAAAGGTCCACTTCCAAATATTACAAAAAGAGTGTTTCAAACCTGCTCTATGAAAGGAAGTTTTCAACTCTATGAGTGGAATGCAAACATCACAGAGAAGTTTCTGAGAATGCATCTGTCTTGAGTTTCTATGCAGAAATTCCCGTTTCCAATGAAATCTTAAAATCTATCCAAATATCCACCTGCAGATTCTACAAAAGGAGTGTTTCCAAAATGCTGTATCAAAACAAAGGTTCAACTGTGTTCACTTAGGACACACATCACAAATAAGTTTCTGAGAATCCTTCTGTCTAGTTTTTATTTGAAGATATTTCCTTTCTCCCCGTAGGCCTGAAAGCGCTTGAAATGTCCACTTCCAGATACTACAGAAAGAGTGTTTCAAACCTGCACTCTGAAAAGGAATGTCAATTCTGTGACCTGAATGCAAACATCAGAAAGAAGTTCCTGAGAATGCTTCTCTCTAGATTTTATACGTCATCCCGTTTCCAACGAAATCCACAAAGCTACCCAATTATCCACTTTCAGATTCCACAAAAAGAGTGTTTTAAAATTGCTCTGTAACAGAAATGTTCAACTCTGTTAGTTGAATACACACATCACAAACAAGTTTCTGAGACGGCTTCTGTCTAGTTTTTATGGGAAGATATTTCCTTTTAACCATAGGCCTCAAAGAGCTCGAAATATCCACTTCCAGGTAGTGCCGAAAGAGTGTTTCAAACCTACTCTATAAAAGGGAATATTCAACTCTGTGACTTGAATGCAAACATCACAAAGCAGTTTCTGAGAATGCTTCCGTCTAGTATTTTTTATGAAGATATTCCCGTTTCCAACGAAATCTTCAAAGCTATCTAAATATCAACTTGCAGATTCTACTAAAGGAATGTTTCCAAAATGCTGTATCCAAACAAAGGTTCAACTCTGTGAATTGAGGACATACAGCACAAAGAAGTTTCTGAGAATGCTCCTGTCTGGATTTTATAGGAAGATAACCCGTTTCCAACGAAATCCTCAAAGCTATCCAAATATCCACTTGCAGATTCTACCAAAAGAGTGTTTCAAAACTGCTCTGTCAAAAGGAAGGTTCAACACTGTTACTTGAGTACACACAACACAAAGAAGTTTCTGAGAATGCTTCTTTCTGGTTTTTATGAGAAGATATTTCCTTTTTCACCATAGGCCTCAAAGCGCTCGAAATGTCCGCTTCCAGGTAGTGCAGAAAGAGTGTTTCAAACCTGCTCTATGAAAGGAAGTGTTCAACTCTACTGAGTTGAATGCAAACATCACAGAGATGTTTCCGAGAATGCTTCTGTCTTGATTTTATATGAAGATATTCCGGTTTCCAACGAAATCTTCAAAGCTATCCAAATATCCACCTGCAGATTCTACAAAAGGAGTGTTTCCAAAATGCTGTATCAAAACAAAGGTTCAACTCTGTTAGTTGAGGACACACATCACAAATAAGTTTCTGAGAATGCTTCTGTCTAGTTTTTATTTGAAGGTATTTCCTTTCTCTCCATAGGCCTGAAAGCGCTTGAAATGCCCACTTCCAGATACTAGAGAAAGAGTGTTTCAAACCTGCTCTATGAAAGGGAATGTTCAATTCTGTGACTTGAATGCAAACATCACAAAGAAGTTCCTGAGAATGCTTCTCTCTAGATATTATATGTCATCCCGTTTCCAACGAAATCCTCAAAGCTATCCAAATATCCACTTGCAGATTCTACAAAAAGAGTGTTTCAAAACTGCTCTGTCAAAAGGATGGTTCAACACTGTTACATGAGTACACACAACACAAAGAAGTTTCTGAGAATGCTTCTTTCTGGTTTCTATGAGAAGATATTTCCTTTTTCACCATAGGACTCAAAGCGCTCGAAATGTCCTCTTCCAGGTAGTGCAGAAAGAGTGTTTCAAACCTGCTCTATGAAAGGAAGTGTACAACTCCATGAGCTGAATGCAAACATCACTGAGAAGTTTCTGAGAATGCTTCTGTTTGATTTTATATGAAGAAATTCCCGTTTCCAACGAAATCTTCAAAGCTATCCACATATCCACCTGCAGATTCTTCAAAAGGAGTGTTTCCAAAATGCTGTATCAAAACCAAGGTTCAACTCTGTTAGTTGAGGACACACATCACAAATAAGTTTCTGAGAATGCTTCTGTCTAGATTTTATATGAAGATATCCCCTTTCCAACGAATCCCTCTAAGCTATCCAAATATCCACCTGCAGATTCTACAAAAAGAGTGTTTCCAAAATGCTGTATCAAAACAAAGTTTCAACTCTGTTAGTTGAGGACACACATCACAAATAAGTTTCTGAGGATGCTTCTGTCTAGTTTTTATTCGAAGATATTTCCTTTCTCACCATAGGCCTGAAAGCGCTTGAAATGTCCACTTCCAGATACTACAGAATGAGTGTTTCAAACCTGCTCTATAAAAGTGAATGTTCAATTCCGTGACTTCAATGCAAACATCAGAAAGAAGTTCCTGAGAATGCTTCTCTCTAGATTTTATACGTAATCCCGCTTCCAACGAAATCCTCAGTAGCCATCCGAATATCCACTTTCTGATTCCACAAAAAGAGTGTTTTAAAACGGCTCTGTAAAAACAAAAGTTCAACTCTGTTAGTTGAATACACACATCACAAACAAGTTTCTGAGAATGCTTCCGTCTAGTTTTTATGGGAAGATATTTCCTTTTTCACCATAGGCCTCAAAGCGCTCGAAATCGCCACTTCCAGGGAGTGCAGAAAGAGTGTTTCAAACCTGCTCTGTAAAAGAATATTTAACTCTGTGACTTGAATGCAAACATCACAGAGCAGTTTCTGACAATGCTTCCGTCTAGATTTTTTATGAAGATATTCCCGTTTCCAACGAAATCTTCAAAGCTATCTAAATATCAACTTGCAGATTCTACTAAAGGAATGTTTCCAAAATGCTGTATCCAAACAAAGGTTCAACTCTGTGAATTGAGGACATACAGCACAAAGAAGTTTCTGAGAATGCTCCTGTCTGGATTTTATATGAAGATAACCCGTTTCCAACGAAATCCTCAAAGCTATCCAAATATCCACTTGCAGATTCTACCAAAAGAGTGTTTCAAAACTGCTCTGTCAAAAGGAAGGTTCAACACTGTTACTTGAGTACACACAACACAAAGAAGTTTCTGAGAATGCTTCTTTCTGGTTTTTATGAGAAGATATTTCCTTTTTCACCATAGGCCTCAAAGAGCTCGAAATGTCCGCTTCCAGGTAGGGCAGAAAGAGTGTTTCAAACCTGCTCTAGGAAAGGAAGTGTTCAACTCTACTGAGTTGAATGCAAACATCACAGAGATGTTTCCGAGAATGCTTCTGTCTTGATTTTATATGAAGATATTCCGGTTTCCAACGAAATCTTCAAAGCTATCCAAATATCCACCTGCAGATTCTACAAAAGGAGTGTTTCCAAAATGCTGTATCAAAACAAAGGTTCAACTCTGTTAGTTGAGGACACACATCACAAATAAGTTTCTGAGAATGCTTCTGTCTAGTTTTTATTTGAAGGTATTTCCTTTCTCTCCATAGGCCTGAAAGCGCTTGAAATGCCCACTTCCAGATACTAGAGAAAGAGTGTTTCAAACCTGCTCTATGAAAGGGAATGTTCAATTCTGTGACTTGAATGCAAACATCACAAAAAGTTCCTGAGAATGCTTCTCTCTAGATATTATATGTCATCCCGTTTCCAACAAAATCCTCGAAGCTATCCAAATATCCACTTGCAGATTCTACAAAAAGAGTGTTTCAAAACTCCTCTGTCAAAAGGATGGTTCAACACTGTTACATGAGTACACACAACACAAAGAAGTTTCTGAGAATGCTTCTTTCTGGTTTCTATGAGAAGATATTTCCTTTTTCACCATAGGACTCAAAGCGCTTGAAATGTCCTCTTCCAGGTAGTGCAGAAAGAGTGTTTCAAACCTGCTCTATGAAAGGAAGTGTACAACTCCATGAGCTGAATGCAAACATCACTGAGAAGTTTCTGAGAATGCTTCTGTTTGATTTTATATGAAGAAATTCCCGTTTCCAACGAAATCTTCAGAGCTATCCACATATCCACCTGCAGATTCTACAAAAGGAGTGTTTCCAAAATGCTGTATCAAAACCAAAGTTCAACTCTGTTAGTTGAGGACACACATCACAAATAAGTTTCTGAGAATGCTTCTGTCTAGATTTTATATGAAGATATCCCCTTTCCAACGAATACCTCTAAGCTATCCAAATAGCCACCTGCAGATTCTACAAAAGGAGTGTTTCCAAAATGCTGTATCAAAACAAAGTTTCAACTCTGTTAGTTGAGGACACACATCACAAATAAGTTTCTGAGGATGCTTCTGTCTAGTTTTTATTTGAAGATATCTCCTTTCTCACCATAGGCCTGAAAGCGCTTGAAATGTCCACTTCCAGATACTACAGAATGAGTGTTTCAACCCTGCTCTATAAAAGTGAATGTTCAATTCTGTGACTTCAATGCAAACATCACAAAGAAGTTCCTGAGAATGCTTCTCTCTAGATTTTATACGTAATCCCGCTTCCAACGAAATCCTCAGAGCCATCCGAATATCCACTTTCTGATTCCACAAAAAGAGTGTTTTAAAACGGCTCTGTAAAAACAAAAGTTCAACTCTGTTAGTTGAATACACACATCACAAACAAGTTTCTGAGAATGCTTCCGTCTAGTTTTTATGGGAAGATATTTCCTTTTTCACCATAGGCCTCAAAGCGCTCGAAATCTCCACTTCCAGGGAGTGCAGAAAGAGTGTTTCAAACCTGCTCTATAAAAGAATATTTAACTCTGTGACTTGAATGCAAACATCACAGAGCAGTTTCTGACAATGCTTCCGTCTAGATATTTTATGAAGATATTCCCGTTTCCAACGAAATCTTCAAAGCTATCTACATATCAACTTGCAGATTCTACTAAAGGAATGTTTCCAAAATGCTGTATCCAAACAAAGGTTCAACTCTGTGAATTGAGGACATACAGCACAAAGAAGTTTCTGAGAATGCTTCTGTCTAGATTTAATATGAAGATAACCCGTTTCCAACGAAATCCTCAAAGCTATCCAAATATCCACTTGCAGATTCTACAAAAAAAGTGTTTCAAAACTGCTCTGTCAAAAGGATGGTTCAACACTGTTACATGAGTACACACAACACAAAGAAGTTTCTGAGAACTCTTCTTTCTGGTTTCTATGAGAAGATATTTCCTTTTTCACCATAGGACTCAAAGGGCTCGAAATGTCCTCTTCCAGGTAGTGCAGAAAGAGTGTTTCAAACCTGCTCTATGACAGGAAGTGTACAACTCCATGAGCTGAATGCAAACATCACTGAGAAGTTTCTGAGAATGCTTCTGTTTGATTTTATATGAAGAAATACCCGTTTCCAACGAAATCTTCAGAGCTATCCACATATCCACCTGCAGATTCTACAAAAGGAGTGTTTCCAAAATGCTGTATCAAAACCAAGGTTCAACTCTGTTAGTTGAGGACACACATCACAAATAAGTTTCTGAGAATGCTTCTGTCTAGATTTTATATGAAGATATCCCCTTTCCAACGAATCCCTCTAAGCTATCAAAATATCCACCTGCAGATTCTACAAAAAGAGTGTTTCCAAAATGCTGTATCAAAACAAAGTTTCAACTCTGTTAGTTGAGGACACACATCACAAATAAGTTTCTGAGGATGCTTCTGTCTAGTTTTTATTCGAAGGATATTTCCTTTCTCACCATAGGCCTGAAAGCGCTTGAAATGTCCACTTCCAGATACTACAGAATGAGTGTTTCAAACCTGCTCTATCAAAGTGAATGTTCAATTCTGTGACTTCAATGCAAACATCACAAAGAAGTTCCTGAGAATGCTTCTCTCTAGATTTTATATGTAATCCCGCTTCCAACGAAATCCTCAAAGCCATCCGAATATCCACTTTCTGATTCCACAAAAAGATTGTTTTAAAACTGCTCTGTAAAAACAAAAGTTCAAGTCTGTTAGTTGAATACACACATCACAAACAAGTTTCTGAGAATGCTTCTGTCTAGTTTTTATGGGAAGATATTTCCTTTTTCACCATAGGCCTCAAAGCGCTCGAAATGTCCACTTCCAGATAGTGCAGAAAGATTGTTTCAAACGTGCTCTATAAAAGGGAATATTCAACTCTGTGACTTGAATGGAAACATCATAAAGCAGTTTCTGAGAATGCTTCCCTCTAGATTTTATATGGAGATATTCCGTTTTCGAACGAAATCTTCAAATCTATCTAAATATCAACTTGCAGATTCTACTCAAGGAATGTTTCCAAAATGCTGTATCCAAGCAATGGTTCAACTCTGTTAATTGAGGACATACAGCACAAAGAAGTTTCTGAGAATGCTTCTGTCTAGATTTTATATGAAGATATCCCGTTTCCAACGAAATCCTCAAAGCTATCCAAATATCCACTTGCAGATTCTACAAAAAGATTGTTTCAAAACTGCTGTGTCAAAAGGAAGGTTCAACTCTGTTACTTGAGTACACACATCAAAAAGAAGTTTCTGAGAATGCTTGTTTCTGGTTTTTATGAGAAGATATTTCCTTTTTCACCATAGGCCTCAAAGCGCTGCAAATGTCCACTTCCAAATATTACAAAAAGAGTGTTTCAAACCTGCTCTATGAAAGGAAGTTTTCAACTCTATGAGTGGAATGCAAACATCACAGAGAAGTTTCTGAGAATGCATCTGTCTTGAGTTTATGTGAAGAAATTCCCGTTTCCAACGAAATCTTAAAATCTATCCAAATATCCACCTGCAGATTCTACAAAAGGAGTGTTTCCAAAATGCTGTATCAAAACAAAGGTTCAACTGTGTTCGTTTAGGACACACATCACAAATAAGTTTCTGAGAATCCTTCTGTCTAGTTTTTATTTGAAGATATTTCCTTTCTCCCCGTAGGCCTGAAAGCGCTTGAAATGTCCACTTCCAGATACTACAGAAAGAGTGTTTCAAACCTGCACTCTGAAAAGGAATGTTCAATTCTGTGACTTGAATGCAAACATCAGAAAGAAGTTCCTGAGAATGCTTCTCTCTAGATTTTATTCGTAATCCCGTTTCCAACGAAATCCACAAAGCTATCCAGTTATCCACTTTCAGATTCCACAAAAAGAGTGTTTTAAAACTGCTCTGTAAAAGGAAATGTTCAACGCTCTTAGTTGAATACACACATCTCAAACAAGTTTCTGAGAAGGCTTCCGTCTAGTTTTTATGGGAAGATATTTCCTTTTTCACCATAGGCCTCAAAGCGCTCGAAATCTCCACTTCCAGGTAGTGCAGAAAGAGTGTTTCAAACCTGCTCTATAAAAGACTATTTAACTCTGTGACTTGAATGCAAACATCACAAAGCAGTTTCTGACAATGCTTCCGTCCAGATTTTTTATGAAGATATTCCCGTTTCCAACGAAATCTTCAAAGCTATCTAAATATCCACTTGCAGATTCTACTAAAGGAATGTTTCCAAAATGCTGTATCCAAACAAAGGTTCAACTCTGTGAATTGAGGACATACAGCACAAGGAAGTTTCTGAGAATGCTTCTGTCTAGATTTAATATGAAGATAACCCGTTTCCAACGAAATCCTCAAAGCTATCCAAATATCCACTTGCAGATTCTACAAAAAGAGTGTTTCAAAACTGCTCTGTCAAAAGGATGGTTCAACACTGTTACATGAGTACACACAACACAAAGAAGTTTCTGAGAATGCTTCCTTCTGGTTTTTATGAGAAGATATTTCCTTTTACACCATAGGCCTCAAAGCGCTCGAAATGTCCACTTCCAGGTAGTGCAGAAAGAGTGTTTCAAACCTGCTCTATGAAAGGAAGTGTTCAACTCCATGAGCTGAATGCAAACATCACAGAGAAGTTTCTGAGAATGCTTCTGTTTGATTTTATATGAAGAAATTCCCGATTCCAACGAAATCTTCAAAGCTATCCACATATCCACCTGCAGATTCTACAAAAGGAGTGTTTCCAAAATGCTGTATCAAAACCAAGGTTCAACTCTGTTAGTTGAGGGCACACATCACAAATAAGTTTCTGAGAATGCTTCTGTCTAGATTTTATATGAAGATATCCCCTTTCCAACGAATCCCTCTAAGCTATCCAAATATCCACCTGCAGATTCTACAAAAAGAGTGTTTCCAAAATGCTGTATCAAAACAAAGTTTCAACTCTGTTAGTTGAGGACACACATCACAAATAAGTTTGAGGATGCTTCTGTCTAGTTTTTATTCGAAGATATTTCCTTTCTCACCATAGGCCTGAAAGCGCTTGAAATGTCCACTTCCAGATACTACAGAATGAGTGTTTCAAACCTGCTCTATCAAAGTGAATGTTCAATTCTGTGACTTCAATGCAAACATCACAAAGAAGTTGCCTGAGAATGCTTCTCTCTAGATTTTATATGTAATCCCGCTTCCAACGAAATCCTCAAAGCCATCCGAATATCCACTTTCTGATTCCACAAAAAGATTGTTTTAAAACTGCTCTGTAAAAACAAAAGTTCAAGTCTGTTAGTTGAATACACACATCACAAACAAGTTTCTGAGAATGCTTCTGTCTAGTTTTTATGGGAAGATATTTCCTTTTTCACCATAGGCCTCAAAGCGCTCGAAATGTCCACTTCCAGATAGTGCAGAAAGAGTGTTTCAAGCGTGCTCTATAAAAGAGAATATTCAACTCTGTGACTTGAATGGAAACATCACAAAGCAGTTTCTGAGAATGCCTCCGTCTAGATTTTATATGAAGATATTCCCGTTTCCAACGAAATCTTCAAATCTATCTAAATATCAACTTGCAGATTCTACTAAAGGAATGTTTCCAAAATGCTGTATCCAAGCAATGGTTCAACTCTGTTAATTGAGGACATACAGCACAAAGAAGTTTCTGAGAATGCTTCTGTCTAGATTTTATATGAAGATATCCCGTTTCCAACGAAATCCTCAAAGCTATCCAAATATCCACTTGCAGATTCTACAAAAAGATTGTTTCAAAACTGCTGTGTCAAGAGGAAGGTTCAACTCTGTTACTTGAGTACACACATCAAAAAGAAGTTTCTGAGAATGCTTGTTTCTGGTTTTTATGAGAAGATATTTCCTTTTTCACCATAGGCCTCAAAGCGCTGCAAATGTCCACTTCCAAATATTACAAAAAGAGTGTTTCAAACCTGCTCTATGAAAGGAAGTTTTCAACTCTATGAGTGGAATGCAAACATCACAGAGAAGTTTCTGAGAATGCATCTGTCTTGAGTTTATATGAAGAAATTCCCGTTTCCAATGAAATCTTAAAATCTATCCAAATATCCACCTGCAGATTCTACAAAAGGAGTGTTTCCAAAATGCTGTATCAAAACAAAGGTTCAACTGTGTTCGTTTAGGACACACATCACAAATAAGTTTACTGAGAATCCTCTCTGTCTAGTTTTTATTTGAAGATATTTCCTTTCTCCCCATAGGCCTGAAAGCGCTTGAAATGTCCACTTCCAGATACTACAGAAAGAGTGTTTCAAACCTGCACTATGAAAAGGAATGTTCAATTCTGTGACTTGAATGCAAACATCAGAAAGAAGTTCCTGAGAATGCTTCTCTCTAGATTTTATACGTCATCCCGTTTCCAACGAAATCCACAAAGCTATCCAATTATCCACTTTCAGATTCCACAAAAAGAGTGTTTTAAAACTGCTCTGTAAAAAGAAATGTTCAACGCTCTTAGTTGAATACACACATCTCAAACAAGTTTCTGAGAAGGCTTCCGTCTAGTTTTTATGGGAAGATATTTCCTTTTTCACCATAGGCCTCAAAGCGCTCGAAATCTCCACTTCCAGGGAGTGCAGAAAGAGTGTTTCAAACGTGCTCTGCAAAAGAATATTTAACTCTGTGACTTGAATGCAAACATCACAAAGCAGTTTCTGACAATGCTTCCGTCTAGATTTTTTATGAAGATATTCCCGTTTCCAACGAAATCTTCAAAGCTATCTAAATATCAACTTGCAGATTCTACTAAAGGAATGTTTCCAAAATGCTGTATCCAAACAAAGGTTCAACTCTGTGAATTGAGGACATACAGCACAAAGAAGTTTCTGAGAATGCTTCTGTCTAGATTTAATATGAAGATAACCCGTTTCCAACGAAATCCTCAAAGCTATCCAAATATCCACTTGCAGATTCTACAAAAAGAGTGTTTCAAAACTGCTCTGTCAAAAGGATGGTTCAACACTTTTATATGAGTACACACAACACAAAGAAGTTTCTGAGAACGCTTCTTTCTGGTTTTTATGAGAAGATATTTCCTTTTTCACCATAGGCCTCAAAGCTCTCGAAATGTCCACTTCCTGGTAGTGCAGAAAGAGTGTTTCAAACCTGCTCTATGAAAGGAAGTGTTCAACTCCATGAGCTGAATGCAAACATCACAGAGAAGTTTCTGAGAATGCTTCTGTTTGATTTTATGTGAAGATATCCCCTTTCCAACGAATCCCTGTAAGCTATCCAAATATCCACCTGCAGATCCTACAAAAGGAGTGTTTCCAAAATGCTGTATCAAAACGAAGTTTCAACTCTGTTACTTGAGGACACACATCACAAATAAGTTTCTGAGGATGGTTCTGTCTAGTTTTTATTCGAAGGATATTTCCTTTCTCACCATAGGCCTGAAAGCGCTTGAAATGTCCACTTCCAGATACTACAGAATGAGTGTTTCAAACCTGCTCTATCAAAGTGAATGTTCAATTCTGTGACTTCAATGCAAACATCACAAAGAAGTTCCTGAGAATGC
Organism: Homo sapiens; assembly: GCF_000001405.40. NCBI lineage: Eukaryota > Metazoa > Chordata > Mammalia > Primates > Hominidae > Homo > Homo sapiens. The sequence goes on along the minus strand of NC_000004.12, from coordinate 51,262,792 downwards.
TTCTCTCTAGATTTTATACGTAATCCCGCTTCCAACGAAATCCTCAGAGCCATCCGAATATCCACTTTCTGATTCCACAAAAAGAGTGTTTTAAAACGGCTCTGTAAAAACAAAAGTTCAACTCTGTTAGTTGAATACACACATCACAAACAAGTTTCTGAGAATGCTTCTGTCTAGTTTTTATGGGAAGATATTTCCTTTTTCACCATAGGCCTCAAAGCGCTCGAAATGTCCGCTTCCAGATAGTGCAGAAAGAGTGTTTCAAACGTGCTCTATAAAAGGGAATATTCAACTCTGTGACTTGAATGGAAACATCACAAAGCAGTTTCTGAGAATGCTTCCCTCTAGATTTTATATGGAGATATTCCGTTTTCGAACGAAATCTTCAAATCTATCTAAATATCAACTTGCAGATTCTACTCAAGGAATGTTTCCAAAATGCTGTATGCAAGCAATGGTTCAACTCTGTTAATTGAGGTCATACAGCACAAAGAAGTTTCTGAGAATGCTTCTGTCTAGATTTTATATGAAGATATCCCGTTTCCAACGAAATCCTCAAAGCTATCCAAATATCCACTTGCAGATTCTACAAAAAGATTGTTTCAAAACTGCTGTGTCAAAAGGAAGGTTCAACTCTGTTACTTGAGTACACACATCAAAAAGAAGTTTCTGAGAATGCTTGTTTCTGGTTTTTATGAGAAGATATTTCCTTTTTCACCATAGGCCTCAAAGCGCTGCAAATGTCCACTTCCAAATATTACAAAAAGAGTGTTTCAAACCTGCTCTATGAAAGGAAGTTTTCAACTCTATGAGTGGAATGCAAACATCACAGAGAAGTTTCTGAGAATGCATCTGTCTTGAGTTTATATGAAGAAATTCCCGTTTCCAATGAAATCTTAAAATCTATCCAAATATCCACCTGCAGATTCTACAAAAGGAGTGTTTCCAAAATGCTGTATCAAAACAAAGGTTCAACTGTGTTCGTTTAGGACACACATCACAAATAAGTTTCTGAGAATCCTTCTGTCTAGTTTTTATTTCAAGATATTTCCTTTCTCCCCATAGGCCTGAAAGCCCTTGAAATGTCCACTTCCAGATACTACAGAGTGTTTCAAACCTGCACTATGAAAAGGAATGTTCAATTCTGTGACTTGAATGCAAACATCAGAAAGAAGTTCCTGAGAATGCTTCTCTCTAGATTTTAAACGTAATCCCGTTTCCAACGAAATCCACAAAGCTATCCAATTATCCACTTTCAGATTCCACCAAAAGACTGTTTTAAAACTGCTCTGTAAAAAGAAATCTTCAACGCTCTTAGTTGAATACACACATCTCAAACAAGTTTCTGAGAAGGCTTCCGTCTAGTTTTTACGGGAAGATATTTCCTTTTTCACCATAGGCCTCAAAGCGCTCGAAATCTCCACTTCCAGGGAGTGCAGAAAGAGTGTTTCAAACCTGCTCTATAAAAGAATATTTAACTCTGTGACTTGAATGCAAACATCACAGAGCAGTTTCTGACAATGCTTCCGTCTAGATTTTTTATGAAGATATTCCCGTTTCCAACGAAATCTTCAAAGCTATCTAAATATCAACTTGCAGATTCTAGTAAAGGAATGTTTCCAAAATGCTGTATCCAAACAAAGGTTCAACTCTGTGAATTGAGGACATACAGCACAAAGAAGTTTCTGAGAATGCTTCTGTCTAGATTTTATATGAAGATATCCCGTTTCCAACGAAATCCTCAAAGCTATCCAAATATCCACTGGCAGATTCTACAAAAAGATTGTTTCAAAACTGCTGTGTCAAAAGGAAGGTTCAACTGTGTTACTTGAGTACACACATCAAAAAGAAGTTTCTGAGAATGCTTCTTTCTGGTTTTTATGAGAAGATATTTCCTTTCTCACCAAAGGCCTCAAAGCGCTCGAAATGTCCACTTCCTGGTAGTGCAGAAAGAGTGTTTCAAACCTGCTCTATGAAAGGAAGTGTTCAACTCCATGAGCTGAATGCAAACATCACAGAGAAGTTTCTGAGAATGCTTCTGTTTGATTTTATATGAAGAAATTCCCGTTTCCAACGAAATCTTCAAAGCTATCCACATATCCACCTGCAGATTCTACAAAAGGAGTGTTTCCAAAATGCTGTATCAAAACCAAGGTTCCACTCTGTTAGTTGAGGACACACATCACAAATAAGTTTCTGAGAATGCTTCTGTCTAGATTCTATATGAAGATATCCCCTTTCCAACGAATCCCTCTAAGCTATCCAAATATCCACCTGCAGATTCTACAAAAAGAGTGTTTCCAAAATGCTGTATCAAAACAAAGTTTCAACTCTGTTAGTTGAGGACACACATCACAAATAAGTTTGAGGATGCTTCTCTCTAGTTTTTATTTGAAGATATTTCCTTTCTCCCCATAGGCCTGAAAGCGCTTGAATTGTCCGCTTCCAGATACTACAGAATGAGTGTTTCAAACCTGCTCTATCAAAGTGAATGTTCAATTCTGTGACTTCAATGCAAACATCACAAAGTAGTTCCTGAGAATGCTTCTCTCTAGACTTTATATGTAATCCCGCTTCCAACGAAGTCCTCAAAGCCATCCGAATATCCACTTTCTGATTCCACAAAAAGATTGTCTTAAAACTGCTCTGTAAAAACAAAAGTTCAAGTCTGTTTGTTGAATACACACATCATAAACAAGTTTCTGAGAATGCTTCTGTCTAGTTTTTATGGGAAGATATTTCCTTTTTCACCATAGGCCTCACAGCGCTCGAAATGTCCACTAACAGATACTACAGAAAGAGTGTTTCAAACTTGCTCTACAAAAGAGAATATTCAACTCTGTGACTTGAATGGAAACATCACAAAGCAGTTTCTGAGAATGCCTCCGTCTAGATTTTATATGAAGATATTCCCGTTTCCAACGAAATCTTCAAATCTATCTAAATATCAACTTGCAGATTCTACTAAAGGAATGTTTCCAAAATGCTGTATCCAAGCAATGGTTCAACTCTGTTAATTGAGGACATACAGCACAAAGAAGTTTCTGAGAATGCTTCTGTCTAGATTTTATATGAAGATATCCCGTTTGCAACGAAATCCTCAAAGCTATCCAAATATCCACTTGCAGATTCTACAAAAAGATTGTTTAAAAACTGCTGTGTCAAAAGGAAGGTTCAACTCTGTTACTTGAGTACACACATCAAAAAGAAGTTTCTGAGAATGCTTGTTTCTGGTTTTTATGAGAAGATATTTCCTTTTTCACCATAGGCCTCAAAGCGCTGCAAATGTCCACTTCCAAATATTACAAAAAGAGTGTTTCAAACCTGCTCTATGAAAGGAAGTTTTCAACTCTATGAGTGGAATGCAAACATCACAGAGAAGTTTCTGAGAATGCATCTGTCTTGAGCGTCTATGAAGAAATTCCCGTTTCCAACGAAATTTTAAAATCTATCCAAATATCCACCTGCAGATCCTACAAAAGGAGTGTTTCCAAAATGCTGTATCAAAACAAAGGTTCAACTGTGTTCGTTTAGGACACACATCACAAATAAGTTTCTGAGAATCCTTCTGTCTAGTTTTTATTTGAAGATATTTCCTTTCTCCCCGTAGGCCTGAAAGCGCTTGAAATGTCCACTTCCAGATACTACAGAAAGAGTGTTTCAAACCTGCACTCTGAAAAGGAATGTTCAATTCTGTGACTTGAATGCAAACATCAGAAAGAAGTTCCTGAGAATGCTTCTCTCTAGATTTTAAACGTAATCCCGTTTCCAACGAAATCCACAAAGCTATCCAATTATCCACTTTCAGATTCCACCAAAAGAGTGTTTTAAAACTGCTCTGTAAAAAGAAATGTTCAACGCTCTTAGTTGAATACACACATCTCAAACAAGTTTCTGAGAAGGCTTCTGTCTAGTTTTTATGGGAAGATATTTCCTTTTAACCATAGGCCTCAAAGAGCTCGAAATATCCACTTCCAGGTAGTGCCGAAAGAGTGTTTCAAACCTACTCTATAAAAGGGAATATTCAACTCTGTGACTTGAATGCAAACATCACAAAGCAGTTTCTGAGAATGCTTCCGTCTAGATTTTCTATGAAGATATTCCCGTTTCCAAGGAAATCTTCAAAGCTATCTAAATATCAACTTGCAGATTCTACTAAAGGAATGTCTCCAAAATGCTGTATCCAAACAAAGGTTCAGCTCTGTGAATTGAGGACATACAGCACAAAGAAGTTTCTGAGAATGCTCCTGTCTGGATTTTATAGGAAGATAACCCGTTTCCAACGAAATCCTCAAAGCTCTCCAAATATCCACTTGCAGATTCTACCAAAAGAGTGTTTCAAAACTGCTCTGTCAAAAGGAAGGTTCAACACTGTTACTTGAGTACACACAACACAAAGAAGTTTCTGAGAATGCTTCTTTCTGGTTTTTATGAGAAGATATTTCCTTTTTCACCATAGGCCTCAAAGCGCTCGAAATGTCCGCTTCCAGGTAGTGCAGAAAGAGTGTTTCAAACCTGCTCTATGAAAGGAAGTGTTCAACTCTACTGAGTTGAATGCAAACATCACAGAGATGTTTCCGAGAATGCTTCTGTCTTGATTTTATATGAAGATATTCCGGTTTCCAACGAAATCTTCAAAGCTATCCAAATATCCACCTGCAGATTCTACAAAAGGAGTGTTTCCAAAATGCTGTATCAAAACAAAGGTTCAACTCTGTTAGTTGAGGACACACATCACAAATAAGTTTCTGAGAATGCTTCTGTCTAGTTTTTATTTGAAGGTATTTCCTTTCTCTCCATAGGCCTGAAAGCGCTTGAAATGCCCACTTCCAGATACTAGAGAAAGAGTGTTTCAAACCTGCTCTATGAAAGGGAATGTTCAATTCTGTGACTTGAATGCAAACATCACAAAGAAGTTCCTGAGAATGCTTCTCTCTAGATATTATATGTCATCCCGTTTCCAACGAAATCCTCAAAGCTATCCAAATATCCACTTGCAGATTCTACAAAAAGAGTGTTTCAAAACTGCTCTGTCAAAAGGATGGTTCAACACTGTTACATGAGTACACACAACACAAAGAAGTTTCTGAGAATGCTTCTTTCTGGTTTCTATGAGAAGATATTTCCTTTTTCACCATAGGACTCAAAGCGCTCGAAATGTCCTCTTCCAGGTAGTGCAGAAAGAGTGTTTCAAACCGGCTCTATGAAAGGAAGTGTTCAACTCCATGAACTGAATGCAAACATCACTGAGAAGTTTCTGAGAATGCTTCTGTTTGATTTTATATGAAGAAATTCCCGTTTCCAACGAAATCTTCAGAGCTATCCACATATCCACCTGCAGATTCTACAAAAGGAGTGTTTCCAAAATGCTGTATCAAAACCAAGGTTCAACTCTGTTAGTTGAGGACACACATCACAAATAAGTTTCTGAGAATGCTTCTGTCTAGATTCTATATGAAGATATCCCCTTTCCAACGAATCCCTCTAAGCTATCCAAATATCCACCTGCAGATTCTACAAAAAGAGTGTTTCCAAAATGCTGTATCAAAACAAAGGTTCAACTCTGTTAGTTGAGGACACACATCACAAATAAGTTTGAGGATGCTTCTGTCTAGTTTTTATTCGAAGATATTTCCTTTCTCACCATAGGCCTGAAAGCGCTTGAAATGTCCACTTCCAGATACTACAGAATGAGTGTTTCAAACCTGCTCTATCAAAGTGAATGTTCAATTCTGTGACTTCAATGCAAACATCACAAAGAAGTTCCTGAGAATGCTTCTCTCTAGATTGTATATGTAATCCCGCTTCCAACGAAATCCTCAGAGCCATCCGAATATCCACTTTCTGATTCCACAAAAAGAGTGTTTTAAAACGGCTCTGTAAAAACAAAAGTTCAACTCTGTTAGTTGAATACACACATCACAAACAAGTTTCTGAGAATGCTTCTGTCTAGTTTTTATGGGAAGATATTTCCTTTTTCACCATAGGCCTCAAAGCGCTCGAAATGTCCACTTCCAGATAGTGCAGAAAGAGTGTTTCAAACGTGCTCTATAAAAGGGAATATTCAACTCTGTGACTTGAATGGAAACATCACAAAGCAGTTTCTGAGAATGCTTCCCTCTAGATTTTATATGGAGATATTCCCTTTTCCAACGAAATCTTCAAATCTATCTAAATATCAACTTGCAGATTCTACTCAAGGAATGTTTCCAAAATGCTGTATCCAAGCAATGGTTCAACTCTGTTAATTGAGGACATACAGCACAAAGAAGTTTCTGAGAATGCTTCTGTCTAGATTTTATATGAAGATATCCCGTTTCCAACGAAATCCTCAAAGCTATCCAAATATCCACTTGCAGATTCTACAAAAAGATTGTTTCAAAACTGCTGTGTCAAAAGGAAGGTTCAACTCTGTTACTTGAGTACACACATCAAAAAGAAGTTTCTGAGAATGCTTCTTTCTGGTTTTTATGAGAAGATATTTCCTTTTTCACCATAGGCCTCAAAGCGCTGCAAATGTCCACTTCGAAATATTACAAAAAGAGTGTTTCAAACCTGCTCTATGAAAGGAAGTTTTCAACTCTATGAGTGGAATGCAAACATCACAGAGAAGTTTCTGAGAATGCATCTGTCTTGGGTTTATATGAAGAAATTCCCGTTTCCAACGAAATCTTAAAATCTATCCAAATATCCACCTGCAGATCCTACAAAAGGAGTGTTTGCAAAATGCTGTATCAAAACAAAGGTTCAACTGTGTTCGTTTAGGACACACATCACAAATAAGTTTCTGAGAATCCTTCTGTCTAGTTTTTATTTGAAGATATTTCCTTTCTCCCCGTAGGCCTGAAAGCGCTTGAAATGTCCACTTCCAGATACTACAGAAAGAGTGTTTCAAACCTGCACTCTGAAAAGGAATGTTCAATTCTGTGACTTGAATGCAAACATCAGAAAGAAGTTCCTGAGAATGCTTCTCTCTAGATTTTATACGTAATCCCGTTTCCAACGAAATCCACAAAGCTATCCAATTATCCACTTTCAGATTCCACAAAAAGAGTGTTTTAAAACTGCTCTCTAAAAAGAAATGTTCAACGGTCTTAGTTGAATACACACATCTCAAACAAGTTTCTGAGAAGGCTTCTGTCTAGTTTTTATGGGAAGATATTTCCTTTTAACCATAGGCCTCAAAGAGCTCGAAATATCCACTTCCAGGTAGTGCCGAAAGAGTGTTTCAAACCTACTCTATAAAAGGGAATATTCAACTCTGTGACTTGAATGCAAACATCACAAAGCAGTTTCTGAGAATGCTTCCGTCTAGATTTTCTATGAAGATATTCCCGTTTCCAACGAAATCTTCAAAGCTATCTAAATATCAACTTGCAGATTCTACTAAAGGAATGTCTCCAAAATGCTGTATCCAAACAAAGGTTCAGCTCTGTGAATTGAGGACATACAGCACAAAGAAGTTTCTGAGAATGCTCCTGTCTGGATTTTATATGAAGATAACCCATTTCCAACGAAATCCTCAAAGCTATCCAAATATCCACTTGCAGATTCTACCAAAAGAGTGTTTCAAAACTGCTCTGTCAAAAGGAAGGTTCAACACTGTTACTTGAGTACACACAACACAAAGAAGTTTCTGAGAATGCTTCTTTCTGGTTTTTATGAGAAGATATTTCCTTTTTCACCATAGGCCTCAAAGCGCTCGAAATGTCCGCTTCCAGGTAGGGCAGAAAGAGTGTTTCAAACCTGCTCTATGAAAGGAAGTGTTCAACTCTACTGAGTTGAATGCAAACATCACAGAGATGTTTCCGAGAATGCTTCTGTCTTGATTTTATATGAAGATATTCCGGTTTCCAACGAAATCTTCAAAGCTATCCAAATATCCACCTGCAGATTCTACAAAAGGAGTGTTTCCAAAATGCTGTATCAAAACAAAGGTTCAACTCTGTTAGTTGAGGACACACATCACAAATAAGTTTCTGAGAATGCTTCTGTCTAGTTTTTATTTGAAGGTATTTCCTTTCTCTCCATAGGCCTGAAAGCGCTTGAAATGCCCACTTCCAGATACTAGAGAAAGAGTGTTTCAAACCTGCTCTATGAAAGGGAATGTTCAATTCTGTGACTTGAATGCAAACATCACAAAGAAGTTCCTGAGAATGCTTCTCTCTAGATATTATATGTCATCCCGTTTCCAACGAAATCCTCAAAGCTATCCAAATATCCACTTGCAGATTCTACAAAAAGAGTGTTTCAAAACTGCTCTGTCAAAAGGATGGTTCAACACTGTTACATGAGTACACACAACACAAAGAAGTTTCTGAGAATGCTTCTTTCTGGTTTCTATGAGAAGATATTTCCTTTTTCACCATAGGACTCAAAGCGCTCGAAATGTCCTCTTCCAGGTAGTGCAGAAAGAGTGTTTCAAACCGGCTCTATGAAAGGAAGTGTTCAACTCCATGAACTGAATGCAAACATCACTGAGAAGTTTCTGAGAATGCTTCTGTTTGATTTTCTATGAAGAAATTCCCGTTTCCAACGAAATCTTCAGAGCTATCCACATATCCACCTGCAGATTCTACAAAAGGAGTGTTTCCAAAATGCTGTATCAAAACCAAAGTTCAACTCTGTTAGTTGAGGACACACATCACAAATAAGTTTCTGAGAATGCTTCTGTCTAGATTCTATATGAAGATATCCCCTTTCCAACGAATCCCTCTAAGCTATCCAAATATCCACCTGCAGATTCTACAAAAAGAGTGTTTCCAAAATGCTGTATCAAAACAAAGGTTCAACTCTGTTAGTTGAGGACACACATCACAAATAAGTTTGAGGATGCTTCTGTCTAGTTTTTATTCGAAGATATTTCCTTTCTCACCATAGGTCTGAAAGCGCTTGAAATGTCCACTTCCAGATACTACAGAATGAGTGTTTCAAACCTGCTCTATAAAAGTGAATGTTCAATTCCGTGACTTCAATGCAAACATCAGAAAGAAGTTCCTGAGAATGCTTCTCTCTAGATTTTATACGTAATCCCGCTTCCAACGAAATCCTCAGAGCCATCCGAATATCCACTTTCTGATTCCACAAAAAGAGTGTTTTAAAACGGCTCTGTAAAAACAAAAGTTCAACTCTGTTAGTTGAATACACACATCACAAACAAGTTTCTGAGAATGCTTCTGTCTAGTTTTTATGGGAAGATATTTCCTTTTTCACCATAGGCCTCAAAGCGCTCGAAATGTCCGCTTCCAGATAGTGCAGAAAGAGTGTTTCAAACGTGCTCTATAAAAGGGAATATTCAACTCTGTGACTTGAATGGAAACATCACAAAGCAGTTTCTGAGAATGCTTCCCTCTAGATTTTATATGGAGATATTCCCTTTTCCAACCGAAATCTTCAAATCTATCTAAATATCAACTTGCAGATTCTACTCAAGGAATGTTTCCAAAATGCTGTATCCAAGCAATGGTTCAACTCTGTTAATTGAGGACATACAGCACAAAGAAGTTTCTGAGAATGCTTCTGTCTAGATTTTATATGAAGATATCCCGTTTCCAACGAAATCCTCAAAGCTATCCAAATATCCACTTGCAGATTCTACAAAAAGATAGTTTCAAAACTGCTGTGTCAAAAGGAAGGTTCAACTCTGTTACTTGAGTACACACATCAAAAAGAAGTTTCTGAGAATGCTTGTTTCTGGTTTTTATGAGAAGATATTTCCTTTTTCACCATAGGCCTCAAAGTGCTGCAAATGTCCACTTCCAAATATTACAAAAAGAGTGTTTCAAACCTGCTCTATGAAAGGAAGTTTTCAACTCTATGAGTGGAATGCAAACATCACAGAGAAGTTTCTGAGAATGCATCTGTCTTGAGCTTCTATGAAGAAATTCCCGTTTCCAACGAAATCTTAAAATCTATCCAAATATCCACCTGCAGATCCCACAAAAGGAGTGTTTCCAAAATGCTGTATCAAAACAAAGGTTCAACTGTGTTCGTTTAGGACACACATCACAAATAAGTTTCTGAGAATCCTTCTGTCTAGTTTTTATTTGAAGATATTTCCTTTCTCCCCATAGGCCTGAAAGTGCTTGAAATGTCCACTTCCAGATACTACAGAAAGAGTGTTTCAAACCTGCACTATGAAAAGGAATGTTCAATTCTGTGACTTGAATGGAAACATCAGAAAGAAGTTCCTGAGAATGCTTCTCTCTAGATTTTATACGTCATCCCGTTTCCAACGAAATCCACAAAGCTATCCAATTATCCACTTTCAGATTCCACAAAAAGAGTGTTTTAAATTGCTCTGTAACAGAAATGTTCAACTCTGTTAGTTGAATACACACATCACAAACAAGTTTCTGAGACGGCTTCTGTCTAGTTTTTATGGGAAGATATTTCCTTTTAACCATAGGCCTCAAAGAGCTCGAAATATCCACTTCCAGGTAGTGCCGAAAGAGTGTTTCAAACCTACTCTATAAAAGGGAATATTCAACTCTGTGACTTGAATGCAAACATCACAAAGCAGTTTCTGAGAATGCTTCCGTCTAGATTTTCTATGAAGATATTCCCGTTTCCAACGAAATCTTCAAAGCTATCTAAATATCAACTTGCAGATTCTACTAAAGGAATGTCTCCAAAATGCTGTATCCAAACAAAGGTTCAGCTCTGTGAATTGAGGACATACAGCACAAAGAAGTTTCTGAGAATGCTCCTGTCTGGATTTTATATGAAGATAACCCGTTTCCAACGAAATCCTCAAAGCTATCCAAATATCCACTTGCAGATTCTACCAAAAGAGTGTTTCAAAACTGCTCTGTCAAAAGGAAGGTTCAACACTGTTACTTGAGTACACACAACACAAAGAAGTTTCTGAGAATGCTTCTTTCTGGTTTTTATGAGAAGATATTTCCTTTTTCACCATAGGCCTCAAAGAGCTCGAAATGTCCGCTTCCAGGTAGGGCAGAAAGAGTGTTTCAAACCTGCTCTAGGAAAGGAAGTGTTCAACTCTACTGAGTTGAATGCAAACATCACAGAGATGTTTCCGAGAATGCTTCTGTCTTGATTTTATAGGAAGATATTCCGGTTTCCAACGAAATCTTCAAAGCTATCCACATATCCACCTGCAGATTCTACAAAAGGAGTGTTTCCAAAATGCTGTATCAAAACAAAGGTTCAACTCTGTTAGTTGAGGACACACATCACAAATAAGTTTCTGAGAATGCTTCTGTCTAGTTTTTATTTGAAGGTATTTCCTTTCTCTCCATAGGCCTGAAAGCGCTTGAAATGCCCACTTCCAGATACTAGAGAAAGAGTGTTTCAAACCTGCTCTATGAAAGGGAATGTTCAATTCTGTGACTTGAATGCAAACATCACAAAGAAGTTCCTGAGAATGCTTCTCTCTAGATATTATATGTCATCCCGTTTCCAACGAAATCCTCAAAGCTATCCAAATATCCACTTGCAGATTCTACAAAAAGAGTGTTTCAAAACTCCTCTGTCAAAAGGATGGTTCAACACTGTTACATGAGTACACACAACACAAAGAAGTTTCTGAGAATGCTTCTTTCTGGTTTCTATGAGAAGATATTTCCTTTTTCACCATAGGACTCAAAGCTCTCGAAATGTCCTCTTCCAGGTAGTGCAGAAAGAGTGTTTCAAACCTGCTCTATGAAAGGAAGTGTTCAACTCCATGAGCTGAATGCAAACATCACTGAGAAGTTTCTGAGAATGCTTCTGTTTGATTTTATATGAAGAAATTCCCGTTTCCAACGAAATCTTCAGTAGCTATCCACATATCCACCTGCAGATTCTACAAAAGGAGTGTTTCCAAAATGCTGTATCAAAACCAAGGTTCAACTCTGTTAGTTGAGGACACACATCACAAATAAGTTTCTGAGAATGCTTCTGTCTAGATTTTATATGAAGATATCCCCTTTCCAACGAATCCCTCTAAGCTATCCAAATATCCACCTGCAGATTCTACAAAAAGAGTGTTTCCAAAATGCTGTATCAAAACAAAGTTTCCACTCTGTTAGTTGAGGACACACATCACAAATAAGTTTCTGAGGATGCTTCTGTCTAGTTTTTATTTGAAGATATTTCCTTTCTCACCATAGGCCTGAAAGCGCTTGAAATGTCCACTTCCAGATACTACAGAATGAGTGTTTCAAACCTGCTCTATCAAAGTGAATGTTCAATTCTGTGACTTCAATGCAAACATCACAAAGTAGTTCCTGAGAATGCTTCTCTCTACATTTTATATGTAATCCCGCTTCCAACGAAATCCTCAAAGCCATCCGAATATCCACTTTCTGATTCCACAAAAAGATTGTTTTCAAACTGCTCTGTAAAAACAAAAGTTCAAGTCTGTTAGTTGAATACACACATCACAAACAAGTTTCTGAGAATGATTCTGTCTAGTTTTTATGGGAAGATATTTCCTTTTTCACCATAGGCCTCAAAGCGCTCGAAATGTCCACTTCCAGATAGTGCAGAAAGAGTGTTTCAAACGTGCTCTATAAAAGGGAATATTCAACTCTGTGACTTGAATGGAAACATCACAAAGCAGTTTCTGAGAATGCTTCCCTCTAGATTTTATATGGAGATATTCCCTTTTCCAACGAAATCTTCAAATCTATCTAAATATCAACTTGCAGATTCTACTCAAGGAATGTTTCCAAAATGCTGTATCCAAGCAATGGTTCAACTCTGTTAATTGAGGACATACAGCACAAAGAAGTTTCTGAGAATGCTTCTGTCTAGATTTTATATGAAGATATCCCGTTTCCAACGAAATCCTCAAAGCTATCCAAATATCCACTTGCAGATTCTACAAAAAGATTGTTTCAAAACTGCTGTGTCAAAAGGAAGGTTCAACTCTGTTACTTGAGTACACACATCAAAAAGAAGTTTCTGAGAATGCTTGTTTCTGGTTTTTATCACAAGATATTTCCTTTTTCACCATAGGCCTCAAAGCGCTGCAAATGTCCACTTCCAAATATTACAAAAAGAGTGTTTCAAACCTGCTCTATGAAAGGAAGTTTTCAGCTCTATGAGTGGAATGCAAACATCACAGAGAAGTTTCTGAGAATGCATCTGTCTTGAGCTTCTATGCAGAAATTCCCGTTTCCAAAGAAATCTTAAAATCTATCCAAATATCCACCTGCAGATCCTACAAAAGGAGTGTTTCCAAAATGCTGTATCAAAACAAAGGTTCAACTGTGTTCGTTTAGGACACACATCACAAATAAGTTTCTGAGAATCCTTCTGTCTAGTTTTTATTTGAAGATATTTCCTTTCTCCCCATAGGCCTGAAAGCGCTTGAAATGTCCACTTCCAGATAGTACAGAAAGAGTGTTTCAAACCTGCACTATGAAAAGGAATGTTCAATTCTGTGACTTGAATGCAAACATCAGAAAGAAGTTTCTGAGAATGCTTCTCTCTAGATTTTATACGTAATCCCGTTTCCAACGAAATCCACAAAGCTATCCAATTATCCACTTTCAGATTCCACAAAAAGAGTGTTTTAAAACTGCTCTGTAGAAAGAAATGTTCAACGCTCTTAGTTGAATACACACATCTCAAACAAGTTTCTGAGAAGGCTTCTGTCTAGTTTTTATGGGAAGATATTTCCTTTTAACCATAGGCCTCAAAGAGCTCGAAATATCCACTTCCAGGTAGTGCCGAAAGAGTGTTTCAAACCTACTCTATAAAAGGGAATATTCAACTCTGTGACTTGAATGCAAACATCACAAAGCAGTTTCTGAGAATGCTTCCGTCTAGATTTTCTATGAAGATATTCCCGTTTCCAACGAAATCTTCAAAGCTATCTAAATATCAACTTGCAGATTCTACTAAAGGAATGTCTCCAAAATGCTGTATCCAAACAAAGGTTCAGCTCTGTGAATTGAGGACATACAGCACAAAGAAGTTTCTGAGAATGCTCCTGTCTGGATTTTATAGGAAGATAACCCGTTTCCAACGAAATCCTCAAAGCTCTCCAAATATCCACTTGCAGATTCTACCAAAAGAGTGTTTCAAAACTGCTCTGTCAAAAGGAAGGTTCAACACTGTTACTTGAGTACACACAACACAAAGAAGTTTCTGAGAATGCTTCTTTCTGGTTTTTATGAGAAGATATTTCCTTTTTCACCATAGGCCTCAAAGCGCTCGAAATGTCCGCTTCCAGGTAGTGCAGAAAGAGTGTTTCAAACCTGCTCTATGAAAGGAAGTGTTCAACTCTACTGAGTTGAATGCAAACATCACAGAGATGTTTCCGAGAATGCTTCTGTCTTGATTTTATATGAAGATATTCCGGTTTCCAACGAAATCTTCAAAGCTATCCAAATATCCACCTGCAGATTCTACAAAAGGAGTGTTTCCAAAATGCTGTATCAAAACAAAGGTTCAACTCTGTTAGTTGAGGACACACATCACAAATAAGTTTCTGAGAATGCTTCTGTCTATATTTTATATGAAGATATCCCCTTTCCAACGAATCCCTCTAAGCTATCTAAATATCCACCTGCAGATTCTACAAAAAGAGTGTTTCCAAAATGCTGTATCAAAACAAAGTTTCAACTCTGTTAGTTGAGGACACACATCACAAGTAAGTTTCTGAGGATGCTTCTGTCTAGTTTTTATTTGAAGATATTTCCTTTCTCCCCATAGGCCTGAAAGCACTAGAATTGTCCGCTTCCAGATACTACAGAATGAGTGTTTCAAACCTGCTCTATCAAAGTGAATGTTCAATTCTGTGACTTCAATGCAAACATCACAAAGTAGTTCCTGAGAATGCTTCTCTCTAGATTTTATATGTAATCCCGCTTCCAACGAAATCCTCAAAGCCATCCGAATATCCACTTTCTGATTCCACAAAAAGATTGTTTTAAAACTGCTCTGTAAAAACAAAAGTTCAAGTCTGTTAGTTGAATACACACATCACAAACAAGTTTCTGAGAATGCTTCTGTCTAGTTTTTATGGGAAGATACTTCCTTTTTCACCATAGGCCTCAAAGCGCTCGAAATGTCCACTTCCAGATAGTGCAGAAAGAGTGTTTCAAACGTGCTCTATAAAAGAGAATATTCAACTCTGTGACTTGAATGGAAACATCACAAAGCAGTTTCTGAGAATGCCTCCGTCTAGATTTTATATGAAGATATTCCCCTTTCCAACGAATTCTTCAAATCTATCTAAATATCAACTTGCAGATTCTACTAAAGGAATGTTTCCAAAATGCTGTATCCAAGCAATGGTTCAACTCTGTTAATTGAGGACATACAGCACAAAGAAGTTTCTGAGAATGCTTCTTTCTAGATTTTATATGAAGATATCCCGTTTCCAACGAAATCCTCAAAGCTATCCAAATATCCACTTGCAGATTCTACAAAAAGATTGTTTCAAAACTGCTGTGTCAAAAGGAAGGTTCAACTCTGTTACTTGAGTACACACATCAAAAAGCAGTTTCTGAGAATGCTTGTTTCTGGTTTTTATGAGAAGATATTTCCTTTTTCACCATAGGCCTCAAAGCGCTGCAAATGTCCACTTCCAAATATTACAAAAAGAGTGTTTCAAACCTGCTCTATGAAAGGAAGTTTTCAACTCTATGAGTGGAATGCAAACATCACAGAGAAGTTTCTGAGAATGCATCTGTCTTGAGTTTATATGCAGAAATTCCCGTTTCCAACGAACATCTTAAAATCTATCCAAATATCCACCTGCAGATCCTACAAAAGGAGTGTTTCCAAAATGCTGTATCAAAACAAAGGTTCAACTGTGTTCGTTTAGGACACACATCACAAATAAGTTTCTGAGAATCCTTCTGTCTAGTTTTTATTTGAAGATATTTCCTTTCTCCCCGTAGGCCTGAAAGCGCTTGAAATGTCCACTTCCAGATACTACAGAAAGAGTGTTTCAAACCTGCACTCTGAAAAGGAATGTTCAATTCTGTGACTTGAATGCAAACATCAGAAAGAAGTTCCTGAGAATGCTTCTCTCTAGATTTTAAACGTAATCCCGTTTCCAACGAAATCCACAAAGCTATCCAATTATCCACTTTCAGATTCCACCAAAAGACTGTTTTAAAACTGCTCTGTAAAAAGAAATGTTCAACGCTCTTAGTTGAATACACACATCTCAAACAAGTTTCTGAGAAGGCTTCTGTCTAGTTTTTATGGGAAGATATTTCCTTTTAACCATAGGCCTCAAAGAGCTCGAAATATCCACTTCCAGGTAGTGCCGAAAGAGTGTTTCAAACCTACTCTATAAAAGGGAATATTCAACTCTGTGACTTGAATGCAAACATCACAAAGCAGTTTCTGAGAATGCTTCCGTCCAGATTTTTTATGAAGATATTCCCGTTTCCAACGAAATCTTCAAAGCTATCTAAATATCCACTTGCAGATTCTACTAAAGGAATGTTTCCAAAATGCTGTATCCAAACAAAGGTTCAACTCTGTGAATTGAGGACATACAGCACAAAGAAGTTTCTGAGAATGCTCCTGTCTGGATTTTATAGGAAGATAACCCGTTTCCAACGAAATCCTCAAAGCTATCCAAATATCCACTTGCAGATTCTACCAAAAGAGTGTTTCAAAACTACTCTGTCAAAAGGAAGGTTCAACACTGTTACTTGAGTACACACAACACAAAGAAGTTTCTGAGAATGCTTCTTTCTGGTTTTTATGAGAAGATATTTCCTTTTTCACCATAGGCCTCAAAGCGCTCGAAATGTCCGCTTCCAGGTAGTGCAGAAAGAGTGTTTCAAACCTGCTCTATGAAAGGAAGTGTTCAACTCTACTGAGTTGAATGCAAACATCACAGAGATGTTTCCGAGAATGCTTCTGTCTTGATTTTATATGAAGATATTCCGGTTTCCAACGAAATCTTCAAAGCTATCCAAATATCCACCTGCAGATTCTACAAAAGGAGTGTTTCCAAAATGCTGTATCAAAACAAAGGTTCAACTCTGTTAGTTGAGGACACACATCACAAATAAGGTTACTGAGAATGCTTCTGTCTAGTTTTTATTTGAAGGTATTTCCTTTCTCTCCATAGGCCTGAAAGCGCTTGAAATGCCCACTTCCAGATACTAGAGAAAGAGTGTTTCAAACCTGCTCTATGAAAGGCAATGTTCAATTCTGTGACTTGAATGCAAACATCACAAAGAAGTTCCTGAGAATGCTTCTCTCTAGATATTATATGTCATCCCGTTTCCAACGAAATCCTCAAAGCTATCCAAATATCCACTTGCAGATTCTACAAAAAGAGTGTTTCAAAACTCCTCTGTCAAAAGGATGGTTCAACACTGTTACATGAGTACACACAACACAAAGAAGTTTCTGAGAATGCTTCTTTCTGGTTTCTATGAGAAGATATTTCCTTTTTCACCATAGGACTCAAAGCGCTCGAAATGTCCTCTTCCAGGTAGTGCAGAAAGAGTGTTTCAAACCTGCTCTATGAAAGGAAGTGTACAACTCCATGAGCTGAATGCAAACATCACTGAGAAGTTTCTGAGAATGCTTCTGTTTGATTTTATATGAAGAAATTCCCGTTTCCAACGAAATCTTCAGAGCTATCCACATATCCACCTGCAGATTCTACAAAAGGAGTGTTTCCAAAATGCTGTATCAAAACCAAGGTTCAACTCTGTTAGTTGAGGACACACATCACAAATAAGTTTCTGAGAATGCTTCTGTCTAGATTCTATATGAAGATATCTCCTTTCCAACGAATCCCTCTAAGCTATCCAAATATCCACCTGCAGATTCTACAAAAAGAGTGTTTCCAAAATGCTGTATCAAAACAAAGTTTCAACTCTGTTAGTTGAGGACACACATCACAAATAAGTTTGAGGATGCTTCTGTCTAGTTTTTATTCGAAGATATTTCCTTTCTCACCATAGGCCTGAAAGCGCTTGAAATGTCCACTTCCAGATACTACAGAATGAGTGTTTCAAACCTGCTCTATCAAAGTGAATGTTCAATTCTGTGACTTCAATGCAAACATCACAAAGAAGTTCCTGAGAATGCTTCTCTCTAGATTTTATACGTAATCCCGCTTCCAACGAAATCCTCAGAGCCATCCGAATATCCACTTTCTGATTCCACAAAAAGAGTGTTTTAAAACGGCTCTGTAAAAACAAAAGTTCAACTCTGTTAGTTGAATACACACATCACAAATAAGTTTCTGAGAATGCTTCTGTCTAGTTTTTATGGGAAGATATTTCCTTTTTCACCATAGGCCTCAAAGCGCTCGAAATGTCCGCTTCCAGATAGTGCAGAAAGAGTGTTTCAAACGTGCTCTATAAAAGGGAATATTCAACTCTGTGACTTGAATGGAAACATCACAAAGCAGTTTCTGAGAATGCTTCCGTCTAGGATTTTATATGAAGATATTCCCGTTTCCAACGAAATCTTCAAATCTATCTAAATATCAACTTGCAGATTCTACTAAAGGAATGTTTCCAAAATGCTGTATCCAAGCAATGGTTCAACTCTGTTAATTGAGGACATACAGCACAAAGAAGTTTCTGAGAATGCTTCTGTCTAGATTTTATATGAAGATATCCCGTTTCCAACGAAATCCTCAAAGCTATCCAAATATCCACTTGCAGATTCTACAAAAAGATTGTTTCAAAACTGCTGTGTCAAAAGGAAGGTTCAACTCTGTTACTTGAGTACACACATCAAAAAGCAGTTTCTGAGAATGCTTGTTTCTGGTTTTTATGAGAAGATATTTCCTTTTTCACCATAGGCCTCAAAGCGCTGCAAATGTCCACTTCCAAATATTACAAAAAGAGTGTTTCAAACCTGCTCTATGAAAGGAAGTTTTCAACTCTATGAGTGGAATGCAAACATCACAGAGAAGTTTCTGAGAATGCATCTGTCTTGAGTTTATATGCAGAAATTCCCGTTTCCAACGAAATCTTAAAATCTATCCAAATATCCACCTGCAGATCCTACAAAAGGAGTGTTTCCAAAATGCTGTATCAAAACAAAGGTTCAACTGTGTTCGTTTAGGACACACATCACAAATAAGTTTCTGAGAATCCTTCTGTCTAGTTTTTATTTCAAGATATTTCCTTTCTCCCCATAGGCTTGAAAGCGCTTGAAATGTCCACTTCCAGATACTACAGAGTGTTTCAAACCTGCACTATGAAAAGGAATGTTCAATTCTGTGACTTGAATGCAAACATCAGAAAGAAGTTCCTGAGAATGCTTCTCTCTAGATTTTAAACGTCATCCCGTTTCCAACGAAATCCACAAAGCTATCCCGTTAACCACTTTCAGATTCCACCAAAAGAGTGTTTTAAAACAGCTCTGTAAAAAGAAATGTTCAACGCTCTTAGTTGAATACACACATCTCAAACAAGTTTCTGAGAAGGCTTCTGTCTAGTTTTTATGGGAAGATATTTCCTTTTAACCATAGGCCTCAAAGAGCTCGAAATATCCACTTCCAGGTAGTGCCGAAAGAGTGTTTCAAACCTACTCTATAAAAGGGAATATTCAACTCTGTGACTTGAATGCAAACATCACAAAGCAGTTTCTGAGAATGCTTCCGTCTAGATTTTCTATGAAGATATTCCCGTTTCCAACGAAATCTTCAAAGCTATCTAAATATCAACTTGCAGATTCTACTAAAGGAATGTCTCCAAAATGCTGTATCCAAACAAAGGTTCAGCTCTGTGAATTGAGGACATACAGCACAAAGAAGTTTCTGAGAATGCTCCTGTCTGGATTTTATATGAAGATAACCCGTTTCCAACGAAATCCTCAAAGCTATCCAAATATCCACTTGCAGATTCTACCAAAAGAGTGTTTCAAAACTGCTCTGTCAAAAGGAAGGTTCAACACTGTTACTTGAGTACACACAACACAAAGAAGTTTCTGAGAATGCTTCTTTCTGGTTTTTATGAGAAGATATTTCCTTTTTCACCATAGGCCTCAAAGAGCTCGAAATGTCCGCTTCCAGGTAGGGCAGAAAGAGTGTTTCAAACCTGCTCTAGGAAAGGAAGTGTTCAACTCTACTGAGTTGAATGCAAACATCACAGAGATGTTTCCGAGAATGCTTCTGTCTTGATTTTATATGAAGATATTCCGGTTTCCAACGAAATCTTCAAAGCTATCCAAATATCCACCTGCAGATTCTACAAAAGGAGTGTTTCCAAAATGCTGTATCAAAACAAAGGTTCAACTCTGTTAGTTGAGGACACACATCACAAATAAGTTTCTGAGAATGCTTCTGTCTAGTTTTTATTTGAAGGTATTTCCTTTCTCTCCATAGGCCTGAAAGCGCTTGAAATGCCCACTTCCAGATACTAGAGAAAGAGTGTTTCAAACCTGCTCTATGAAAGGGAATGTTCAATTCTGTGACTTGAATGCAAACATCACAAAGAAGTTCCTGAGAATGCTTCTGTCCAGATTTAATATGAAGATAACCCGTTTCCAACGAAAACCTCAAAGCTATCCAAATATGCACTGGCAGATTCTACAAAAAGAGTGTTTCAAAACTGCTCTGTCAAAAGGATGGTTCAACACTGTTACATGAGTACACACAACACAAAGAAGTTTCTGAGAACGCTTCTTTCTGGTTTCTATGAGAAGATATTTCCTTTTTCACCATAGGACTCAAAGCGCTCGAAATGTCCTCTTCCAGGTAGTGCAGAAAGAGTGTTTCAAACCTGCTCTATGAAAGGAAGTGTACAACTCCATGAGCTGAATGCAAACATCACTGAGAAGTTTCTGAGAATGCTTCAGTTTGATTTTATATGAAGAAATTCCCGTTTCCAACGAAATCTTCAAAGCTATCCACATATCCACCTGCAGATTCTACAAAAGGAGTGTTTCCAAAATGCTGTATCAAAACCAAGGTTCAACTCTGTTAGTTGAGGACACACATCACAAATAAGTTTCTGAGAATGCTTCTGTCTAGATTTTATATGAAGATATCCCCTTTCCAACGAATCCCTCCAAGCTATCCAAATATCCACCTGCAGATTCTACAAAAGGAGTGTTTCCAAAATGCTGTATCAAAACAAAGGTTCAACTGTGTTCGTTTAGGACACACATCACCAATATGTTTCTGAGAATCCTTCTGTCTAGTTTTAATTTGAAGATATTTCCTTTCTCACCATAGGCCTGAAAGCGCTTGAAATGTCCACTTCCAGATACTACAGAATGAGTGTTTCAAACCTGCTCTATCAAAGTGAATGTTCAATTCTGTGACTTCAATGCAAACATCACAAAGTAGTTCCTGAGAATGCTTCTCTCTAGATTTTATATGTAATCCCGCTTCCAACGAAATCCTCAAAGCCATCCGAATATCCACTTTCTGATTCCACAAAAAGATTGTTTTAAAACTGCTCTGTAAAAACAAAAGTTCAAGTCTGTTAGTTGAATACACACATCACAAACAAGTTTCTGAGAATGCTTCTGTCTAGTTTTTATGGGAAGATATTTCCTTTTTCACCATAGGCCTCAAAGCGCTCGAAATGTCCACTTCCAGATAGTGCAGAAAGAGTGTTTCAAACGTGCTCTATAAAAGAGAATATTCAACTGCTGTGACTTGAATGGAAACATCACAAAGCAGTTTCTGAGAATGCCTCCGTCTAGATTTTATATGAAGATATTCCCGTTTCCAACGAAATGTTCAAATCTATCTAAATATCAACTTGCAGATTCTACTAAAGGAATGTTTCCAAAATGCTGTATCCAAGCAATGGTTCAACTCTGTTAATTGAGGACATACAGCACAAAGAAGTTTCTGAGAATGCTTCTGTCTAGATTTTATATGAAGATATCCCGTTTCCAACGAAATCCTCAAAGCTATCCAAATATCCACTTGCAGATTCTACAAAAAGATTGTTTCAAAACTGCTGTGTCAAAAGGAAGGTTCAACTCTGTTACTTGAGTACACACATCAAAAAGCAGTTTCTGAGAATGCTTGTTTCTGGTTTTTATGAGAAGATATTTCCTTTTTCACCATAGGCCTCAAAGCGCTGCAAATGTCCACTTCCAAATATTACAAAAAGAGTGTTTCAAACCTGCTCTATGAAAGGAAGTTTTCAACTCTATGAGTGGAATGCAAACATCACAGAGAAGTTTCTGAGAATGCATCTGTCTTGAGTTTCTATGCAGAAATTCCCGTTTCCAACGAAATCTTAAAATCTATCCAAATATCCACCTGCAGATCCTACAAAAGGAGTGTTTCCAAAATGCTGTATCAAAACAAAGGTTCAACTGTGTTCGTTTAGGACACACATCACAAATAAGTTTCTGAGAACCCTTCTGTCTAGTTTTTATTTGAAGATATTTCCTTTCTCCCCGTAGGCCTGAAAGCGCTTGAAATGTCCACTTCCAGATACTACAGAAAGAGTGTTTCAAACCTGCACTCTGAAAAGGAATGTCAATTCTGTGACCTGAATGCAAACATCAGAAAGAAGTTCCTGAGAATGCTTCTCTCTAGATTTTATACGTCATCCCGTTTCCAACGAAATCCACAAAGCTATCCAATTATCCACTTTCAGATTCCACAAAAAGAGTGTTTTAAAATTGCTCTGTAACAGAAATGTTCAACTCTGGTAGTTGAATACACACATCACAAACAAGTTTCTGAGACGGCTTCTGTCTAGTTTTTATGGGAAGATATTTCCTTTTAACCATAGGCCTCAAAGAGCTCGAAATATCCACTTCCAGGTAGTGCCGAAAGAGTGTTTCAAACCTACTCTATAAAAGGGAATATTCAACTCTGTGACTTGAATGCAAACATCACAAAGCAGTTTCTGAGAATGCTTCCGTCTAGATTTTCTATGAAGATATTCCCGTTTCCAACGAAATCTTCAAAGCTATCTAAATATCAACTTGCAGATTCTACTAAAGGAATGTCTCCAAAATGCTGTATCCAAACAAAGGTTCAGCTCTGTGAATTGAGGACATACAGCACAAAGAAGTTTCTGAGAATGCTCCTGTCTGGATTTTATATGAAGATAACCCGTTTCCAACGAAATCCTCAAAGCTATCCAAATATCCACTTGCAGATTCTACCAAAAGAGTGTTTCAAAACTGCTCTGTCAAAAGGAAGGTTCAACACTGTTACTTGAGTACACACAACACAAAGAAGTTTCTGAGAATGCTTCTTTCTGGTTTTTATGAGAAGATATTTCCTTTTTCAACATAGGCCTCAAAGCGCTCGAAATGTCCGCTTCCAGATAGTGCAGAAAGAGTGTTTCAAACCTGCTCTATGAAAGGAAGTGTTCAACTCTACTGAGTTGAATGCAAACATCACAGAGATGTTTCCGAGAATGATTCTGTCTTGATTTTTTATGAAGATATTCCGGTTTCCAACGAAATCTTCAAAGCTATCCAAATATCCACCTGCAGATTCTACAAAAGGAGTGTTTCCAAAATGCTGTATCAAAACAAAGGTTCAACTCTGTTAGTTGAGGACACACATCACAAATAAGTTTCTGAGGATGCTTCTGTCTAGTTTTTATTTGAAGGTATTTCCTTTCTCTCCATAGGCCTGAAAGCGCTTGAAATGCCCACTTCCAGATACTAGAGAAAGAGTGTTTCAAACCTGCTCTATGAAAGGGAATGTTCAATTCTGTGACTTGAATGCAAACATCACAAAGAAGTTCCTGAGAATGCTTCTCTCTAGATATTATATGTCATCCCGTTTCCAACGAAATCCTCAAAGCTATCCAAATATCCACTTGCAGATTCTACAAAAAGAGTGTTTCAAAACTCCTCTGTCAAAAGGATGGTTCAACACTGTTACATGAGTACACACAACACAAAGAAGTTTCTGAGAATGCTTCTTTCTGGTTTCTATGAGAAGATATTTCCTTTTTCACCATAGGACTCAAAGCGCTCGAAATGTCCTCTTCCAGGTAGTGCAGAAAGAGTGTTTCAAACCTGCTCTATGAAAGGAAGTGTTCAACTCCATGAGCTGAATGCAAACATCACTGAGAAGTTTCTGAGAATGCTTCTGTTTGATTTTATATGAAGAAATTCCCGTTTCCAACGAAATCTTCAGAGCTATCCACATATCCACCTGCAGATTCTACAAAAGGAGTGTTTCCAAAATGCTGTATCAAAACCAAAGTTCAACTCTGTTAGTTGAGGACACACATCACAAATAAGTTTCTGAGAATGCTTCTGTCTAGATTCTATATGAAGATATCCCCTTTCCAACGAATCCCTCTAAGCTATCCAAATATCCACCTGCAGATTCTACAAAAAGAGTGTTTCCAAAATGCTGTATCAAAACAAAGTTTCAACTCTGTTAGTTGAGGACACACATCACAAATAAGTTTGAGGATGCTTTCTGTCTAGTTTTAATTTGAAGATATTTCCTTTCTCCCCATAGGCCTGAAAGCGCTTGAATTGTCCACTTCTAGATACTACAGCATGAGTGTTTCAAACCTGCTCTATCAAAGTGAATGTTCAATTCTGTGACTTCAATGCAAACATCACAAAGTAGTTCCTGAGAATGCTTCTCTCTAGATTTTATATGTAATCCCGCTTCCAACGAAATCCTCAAAGCCATCCGAATATCCACTTTCTGATTCCACAAAAAGATTGTTTTAAAACTGCTCTGTAAAAACAAAAGTTCAAGTCTGTTAGTTGAATACACACATCACAAACAAGTTTCTGAGAATGCTTCTGTCTAGTTTTTATGGGAAGATATTTCCTTTTTCACCATAGGCCTCAAAGCGCTCGAAATGTCCGCTTCCAGATAGTGCAGAAAGAGTGTTTCAAACGTGCTCTATAAAAGGGAATATTCAACTCTGTGACTTGAATGGAAACATCACAAAGCAGTTTCTGAGAATGCTTCCCTCTAGATTTTATATGGAGATATTCCCTTTTCCAACGAAATCTTCAAATCTATCTAAATATCAACTTGCGGATTCTACTCAAGGAATGTTTCCAAAATGCTGTATCCAGGCAATGGTTCAACTCTGTTAATTGAGGACATACAGCACAAAGAAGTTTCTGAGAATGCTTCTGTCTAGATTTTATATGAAGATATCCCGTTTCCAACGAAATCCTCAAAGCTATCCAAATATCCACTTGCAGATTCTACAAAAAGATTGTTTCAAAACTGCTGTGTCAAAAGGAAGGTTCAACTCTGTTACTTGAGTACACACATCAAAAAGAAGTTTCTGAGAATGCTTGTTTCTGGTTTTTATGAGAAGATATTTCCTTTTTCACCATAGGCCTCAAAGCGCTGCAAAGGTCCACTTCCAAATATTACAAAAAGAGTGTTTCAAACCTGCTCTATGAAAGGAAGTTTTCAACTCTATGAGTGGAATGCAAACATCACAGAGAAGTTTCTGAGAATGCATCTGTCTTGAGTTTCTATGCAGAAATTCCCGTTTCCAACGAAATCTTAAAATCTATCCAAATATCCACCTGCAGATCCTACAAAAGGAGTGTTTCCAAAATGCTGTATCAAAACAAAGGTTCAACTGTGTTCGTTTAGGACACACATCACAAATAAGTTTCTGAGAATCCTTCTGTCTAGTTTTTATTTGAAGATATTTCCTTTCTCCCCGTAGGCCTGAAAGCGCTTGAAATGTCCACTTCCAGATACTACAGAAAGAGTGTTTCAAACCTGCACTCTGAAAAGGAATGTTCAATTCTGTGACTTGAATGAAAACATCAGAAAGAAGTTCCTGAGAATGCTTCTCTCTAGATTTTATACGTCATCCCGTTTCCAACGAAATCCACAAAGCTATCCAATTATCCACTTTCAGATTCCACAGAAAGAGTGTTTTAAAATTGCTCTGTAACAGAAATGTTCAACTCTGGTAGTTGAATACACACATCACAAACAAGTTTCTGAGACGGCTTCTGTCTAGTTTTTATGGGAAGATATTTCCTTTTAACCATAGGCCTCAAAGAGCTCGAAATATCCACTTCCAGGTAGTGCCGAAAGAGTGTTTCAAACCTACTCTATAAAAGGGAATATTCAACTCTGTGACTTGAATGCAAACATCACAAAGCAGTTTCTGAGAATGCTTCCGTCTAGATTTTCTATGAAGATATTCCCGTTTCCAACGAAATCTTCAAAGCTATCTAAATATCAACTTGCAGATTCTACTAAAGGAATGTCTCCAAAATGCTGTATCCAAACAAAGGTTCAGCTCTGTGAATTGAGGACATACAGCACAAAGAAGTTTCTGAGAATGCTCCTGTCTGGATTTTATATGAAGATAACCCGTTTCCAACGAAATCCTCAAAGCTATCCAAATATCCACTTGCAGATTCTACCAAAAGAGTGTTTCAAAACTGCTCTGTCAAAAGGATGGTTCAACACTGTTACTTGAGTACACACAACACAAAGAAGTTTCTGAGAATGCTTCTTTCTGGTTTTTATGAGAAGATATTTCCTTTTTCACCATAGGCCTCAAAGCGCTCGAAATGTCCGCTTCCAGGTAGTGCAGAAAGATTGTTTCAAACCTGCTCTATGAAAGGAAGTGTTCAACTCTACTGAGTTGAATGCAAACATCACAGAGATGTTTCCGAGAATGCTTCTGTCTTGATTTTATATGAAGATATTCCGGTTTCCAACGAAATCTTCAAAGCTATCCAAATATCCACCTGCAGATTCTACAAAAGGAGTGTTTCCAAAATGCTGTATCAAAACAAAGGTTCAACTCTGTTAGTTGAGGACACACATCACAAATAAGTTTCTGAGAATGCTTCTGTCTAGTTTTTATTTGAAGGTATTTCCTTTCTCTCCATAGGCCTGAAAGCGCTTGAAATGCCCACTTCCAGATACTAGAGAAAGAGTGTTTCAAACCTGCTCTATGAAAGGGAATGTTCAATTCTGTGACTTGAATGCAAACATCACAAAGAAGTTCCTGAGAATGCTTCTCTCTAGATATTATATGTCATCCCGTTTCCAACGAAATCCTCAAAGCTATCCAAATATCCACTTGCAGATTCTACAAAAAGAGTGTTTCAAAACTGCTCTGTCAAAAGGATGGTTCAACACTGTTACATGAGTACACACAACACAAAGAAGTTTCTGAGAATGCTTCTTTCTGGTTTCTATGAGAAGATATTTCCTTTTTCACCATAGGACTCAAAGCGCTCGAAATGTCCTCTTCCAGGTAGTGCAGAAAGAGTGTTTCAAACCGGCTCTATGAAAGGAAGTGTTCAACTCCATGAACTGAATGCAAACATCACTGAGAAGTTTCTGAGAATGCTTCTGTTTGATTCTATATGAAGAAATTCCCGTTTCCAACGAAATCTTCAAAGCTATCCACATATCCACCTGCAGATTCTTCAAAAGGAGTGTTTCCAAAATGCTGTATCAAAACCAAGGTTCAACTCTGTTAGTTGAGGACACACATCACAAATAAGTTTCTGAAAATGCTTCTGTCTAGATTTTATATGAATTTATCCCCTTTCCAACGAATCCCTCTAAGCTATCCAAGTATCCACCTGCAGATTCTACAAAAAGAGTGTTTCCAAAATGCTGTATCAAAACAAAGTTTCAACTCTGTTAGTTGAGGACACACATCACAAATAAGTTTCTGAGGATGCTTCTGTCTAGTTTTTATTCGAAGATATTTCCTTTCTCACCATAGGCCTGAAAGCGCTTGAAATATCCACTTCCAGATACTACAGAATGAGTGTTTCAAACCTGCTCTATAAAAGTGAATGTTCAATTCCGTGACTTCAATGCAAACATCAGAAAGAAGTTCCTGAGAATGCTTCTCTCTAGATTTTATACGTAATCCCGCTTCCAACGAAATCCTCAGAGCCATCCGAATATCCACTTTCTGATTCCACAAAAAGAGTGTTTTAAAACGGCTCTGTAAAAACAAAAGTTCAACTCTGTTAGTTGAATACACACATCACAAACAAGTTTCTGAGAATGCTTCTGTCTAGTTTTTATGGGAAGATATTTCCTTTTTCACCATAGGCCTCAAAGCGCTCGAAATGTCCACTTCCAGATAGTGCAGAAAGAGTGTTTCAAACGTGCTCTATAAAAGAGAATATTCAACTCTGTGACTTGAATGGAAACATCACAAAGCAGTTTCTGAGAATGCCTCCCTCTAGATTTTATATGGAGATATTCCCTTTTCCAACGAAATCTTCAAATCTATCTAAATATCAACTTGCAGATTCTACTCAAGGAATGTTTCCAAAATGCTGTATCCAAGCAATGGTTCAACTCTGTTAATTGAGGACATACAGCACAAAGAAGTTTCTGAGAATGCTTCTGTCTAGATTTTATATGAAGATATCCCGTTTCCAACGAAATCCTCAAAGCTATCCAAATATCCACTTGCAGATTCTACAAAAAGATTGTTTCAAAACTGCTGTGTCAAAAGGAAGGTTCAACTCTGTTACTTGAGTACACACATCAAAAAGCAGTTTCTGAGAATGCTTGTTTCTGGTTTTTATGAGAAGATATTTCCTTTTTCACCATAGGCCTCAAAGCGCTGCAAATGTCCACTTCCAAATATTTCAAAAAGAGTGTTTCAAACCTGCTCTATGAAAGGAAGTTTTCAACTCTATGAGTGGAATGCAAACATCACAGAGAAGTTTCTGAGAATGCATCTGTCTTGAGTTTATATGCAGAAATTCCCGTTTCCAACGAAATCTTAAAATCTATCCAAATATCCACCTGCAGATCCTACAAAAGGAGTGTTTCCAAAATGCTGTATCAAAACAAAGGTTCAACTGTGTTCGTTTAGGACACACATCACAAATAAGTTTCTGAGAATCCTTCTGTCTAGTTTTTATTTGAAGATATTTCCTTTCTCCCCATAAGGCCTGAAAGCGCTTGAAATGTCCACTTCCAGATACTACAGAAAGAGTGTTTCAAACCTGCACTATGAAAAGGAATGTTCAATTCTGTGACTTGAATGCAAACATCAGAAAGAAGTTCCTGAGAATGCTTCTCTCTAGATTTTAAACGTAATCCCGTTTCCAACGAAATCCACAAAGCTATCCCATTAACCACTTTCAGATTCCACCAAAAGAGTGTTTGAAAACTGCTCTGTAAAAAGAAATGTTCAACGCTCTTAGTTGAATACACACATCCCAAACAAGTTTCTGAGAAGGCTTCTGTCTAGTTTTTATGGGAAGATATTTCCTTTTAACCATAGGCCTCAAAGAGCTCGAAATATCCACTTCCAGGTAGTGCCGAAAGAGTGTTTCAAACCTACTCTATAAAAGGGAATATTCAACTCTGTGACTTGAATGCAAACATCACAAAGCAGTTTCTGAGAATGCTTCCGTCTAGATTTTCTATGAAGATATTCCTGTTTCCAACGAAATCTTCAAAGATATCTAAATATCAACTTGCAGATTCTACTAAAGGAATGTTTCCAAAATGCTGTATCCAAACAAAGGTTCAGCTCTGTGAATTGAGGACATACAGCACAAAGAAGTTTCTGAGAATGCTCCTGTCTGGATTTTATATGAAGATAACCCGTTTCCAACGAAATCCTCAAAGCTATCCAAATATCCACTTGCAGATTCTACCAAAAGAGTGTTTCAAAACTGCTCTGTCAAAAGGAAGGTTCAACACTGTTACTTGAGTACACACAACACAAAGAAGTTTCTGAGAATGCTTCTTTCTGGTTTTTATGAGAAGATATTTCCTTTTTCACCATAGGCCTCAAAGAGCTCGAAATGTCCGCTTCCAGGTAGGGCAGAAAGAGTGTTTCAAACCTGCTCTATGAAAGGACGTGTTCAACTCTACTGAGTTGAATGCAAACATCACAGAGATGTTTCCGAGAATGCTTCTGTCTTGATTTTATATGAAGATATTCCGGTTTCCAACGAAATCTTCAAAGCTATCCACATATCCACCTGCAGATTCTACAAAAGGAGTGTTTCCAAAATGCTGTATCAAAACAAAGGTTCAACTCTGTTAGTTGAGGACACACATCACAAATAAGTTTCTGAGAATGCTTTCTGTCTAGTTTTTATTTGAAGGTATTTCCTTTCTCTCCATAGGCCTGAAAGCGCTTGAAATGCCCACTTCCAGATACTAGAGAAAGAGTGTTTCAAACCTGCTCTATGAAAGGGAATGTTCAATTCTGTGACTTGAATGCAAACATCACAAAGAAGTTCCTGAGAATGCTTCTGTCTAGATTTAATATGAAGATAACCCGTTTCCAACGAAATCCTCAAAGCTATCCAAATATCCACTTGCAGATTCTACAAAAAGAGTGTTTCAAAACTGCTCTGTCAAAAGGATGGTTCAACACTGTTACATGAGTACACACAACACAAAGAAGTTTCTGAGAACGCTTCTTTCTGGTTTTTATGAGAAGATATTTCCTTTTTCACCATAGGCCTCAAAGCGCTCGAAATGTTCACTTCCTGGTAGTGCAGAAAGAGTGTTTCAAAGCTGCTCTCTGAAAGGAAGTGTTCAACTCCATGAGCTGAATGGATACATCACAGAGATGTTTCTGAGAATGCTTCTGTTTGATTTTATATGAAGAAATTCCCGTTTCCAACGAAATCTTCAAAGCTATCCACATATCCACCTGCAGATTCTACAAAAGGAGTGTTTCCAAAATGCTGTATCAAAACCAAGGTTCAACTCTGTTAGTTGAGGACACACATCACAAATAAGTTTCTGAGAATGCTTCTGTCTAGATTTTATATGAAGATATTCCCTTTCCAACAAATCCCTCTAAGCTATCCAAATATCCACCTGCAGATTTTACAAAAAGTGTGTTTCCAAAATGCTGTATCAAAACAAAGTTTCAACTCTGTTAGTTGAGGACACACATCACAAATAAGTTTCTGAGGATGCTTCTGTCTAGTTTCTATTTGAAGATATTTCCTTTCTCCCCATAGGCCTGAAAGCGCTTGAATTGTCGGCTTCCAGATACTACAGAATGAGTGTTTCAAACCTGCTCTATCAAAGTGAATGTTCAATTCTGTGACTTCAATGCAAACATCACAAAGTAGTTCCTGAGAATGCTTCTCTCTAGATTTTATATGTAATCCCGCTTCCAACGAAATCCTCAAAGCCATCCGAATATCCACTTTCTGATTCCACAAAAAGATTGTTTTAAAACTGCTCTGTAAAAACAAAAGTTCAAGTCTGTTAGTTGAATACACACATCACAAACAAGTTTCTGAGAATGCTTCTGTCTAGTTTTTATGGGAAGATATTTCCTTTTTCACCATAGGCCTCAAAGCGCTCGAAATGTCCACTTCCAGATAGTGCAGAAAGAGTGTTTCAAACGTGCTCTATAAAAGGGAATATTCAACTCTGTGACTTGAATGGAAACATCACAAAGCAGTTTCTGAGAATGCTTCCGTCTAGATTTTCTATGAAGATATTCCCTTTTCCAACGAAATCTTCAAATCTATCTAAATATCAACTTGCAGATTCTACTCAAGGAATGTTTCCAAAATGCTGTATCCAAGCCATGGTTCAACTCTGTTAATTGAGGACATA
The DNA here is from genome assembly GCF_000001405.40 of Homo sapiens. Taxonomy (NCBI): domain Eukaryota; kingdom Metazoa; phylum Chordata; class Mammalia; order Primates; family Hominidae; genus Homo; species Homo sapiens. Next base: position 51,231,348 of record NC_000004.12, on the reverse strand, counting down.
CAGCACAAAGAAGTTTCTGAGAATGCTTCTGTCTAGATTTTATATGAAGATATCCCGTTTCCAACGAAATCCTCAAAGCTATCCAAATATCCACTTGCAGATTCTACAAAAAGATTGTTTGAAAACTGCTGTGTCAAAAGGAAGGTTCAACTCTGTTACTTGAGTACACACATCAAAAAGAAGTTTCTGAGAATGCTTGTTTCTGGTTTTTATGAGAAGATATTTCCTTTTTCACCATAGGCCTCAAAGCGCTGCAAATGTCCACTTCCAAATATTACAAAAAGAGTGTTTCAAACCTGCTCTATGAAAGGAAGTTTTCAACTCTATGAGTGGAATGCAAACATCACAGAGAAGTTTCTGAGAATGCATCTGTCTTGAGTTTCTATGCAGAAATTCCCGTTTCCAATGAAATCTTAAAATCTATCCAAATATCCACCTGCAGATCCTACAAAAGGAGTGTTTCCAAAATGCTGTATCAAAACAAAGGTTCAACTGTGTTCGTTTAGGACACACATCACAAATAAGTTTCTGAGAATCCTTCTGTCTAGTTTTTATTTGAAGATATTTCCTTTCTCCCCGTAGGCCTGAAAGCGCTTGAAATGTCCACTTCCAGATACTACAGAAAGAGTGTTTCAAACCTGCACTCTGAAAAGGAATGTTCAATTCTGTGACTTGAATGCAAACATCAGAAAGAAGTTCCTGAGAATGCTTCTCTCTAGATTTTATACGTCATCCCGTTTCCAACGAAATCCACGAAGCTATCCAATTATCCACTTTCAGATTCCACAAAAGAGTGTTTTAAAACTGCTCTGTAAAAAGAAATGTTCAACACTCTTAGTTGAATACACACATCTCAAACAAGTTTCTGAGAAGGCTTCCGTCTAGTTTTTACGGGAAGATATTTCCTTTTTCAAAATAAGCCTCAAAGCGCTCGAAATCTCCACTTCCAGGGAGTGCAGAAAGAGTGTTTCAAACCTGCTCTATAAAAGAATATTTAACTCTGTGACTTGAATGCAAACATCACAGAGCAGTTTCTGACAATGCTTCCGTCTAGATTTTTTATGAAGATATTCCCGTTTCCAACGAAATCTTCAAAGCTATCTCAATATCAACTTGCAGATTCTACTAAAGGAATGTTTCCAAAATGCTGTATCCAAACAAAGGTTCAACTCCTGTGAATTGAGGACATACAGCACAAAGAAGTTTCTGAGAATGCTTCTGTCTAGATTTAATATGAAGATAACCCGTTTCCAACGAAATCCTCAAAGCTATCCAAATATCCACTGGCAGATTCTACAAAAAGAGTGTTTCAAAACTGCTCTGTCAAAAGGATGGTTCAACACTGTTACATGAGTACACACAACACAAAGAAGTTTCTGAGAACGCTTCTTTCTGGTTTTTATGAGAGGATATTTCCTTTTTCACCATAGGCCTCAAAGCGCTCGAAATGTCCACTTCCAGGTAGTGCAGAAAGAGTGTTTCAAACCTGCTCTATGAAAGGAAGTGTTCAACTCCATGAGCTGAATGCAAACATCACAGAGAAGTTCCTGAGAATGCTTCTGTTTGATTTTATATGAAGAAATTCCCGTTTCCAAAGAAATCTTCAAAGCTATCCACATATCCACCTGCAGATTCTTCAAAAGGAGTGTTTCCAAAATGCTGTATCAAAACCAAGGTTCAACTCTGTTAGTTGAGGACACACATCACAAATAAGTTTCTGAGAATGCTTCTGTCTAGATTTTATATGAATTTATCCCCTTTCCAACGAATCCCTCTAAGCTATCCAAGTATCCACCTGCAGATTCTACAAAAAGAGTGTTTCCAAAATGCTGTATCAAAACAAAGTTTCAACTCTGTTAGTTGAGGACACACATCACAAATAAGTTTCTGAGGATGCTTCTGTCTAGTTTTAATTTGAAGATATTTCCTTTCTCCCCATAGGCCTGAAAGCACTTGAAATGTCCACTTCCAGATACTACAGAATGAGTGTTTCAAACCTGCTCTATCAAAGTGAATGTTCAATTCTGTGACTTCAATGCAAACATCACAAAGTAGTTCCTGAGAATGCTTCTCTCTACATTTTATATGTAATCCCGCTTCCAACGAAATCCTCAAAGCCATCCGAATATCCACTTTCTGATTCCACAAAAAGATTGTTTTAAAACTGCTCTGTAAAAACAAAAGTTCAAGTCTGTTAGTTGAATACACACATCACAAACAAGTTTCTGAGAATGCTTCTGTCTAGTTTTTATGGGAAGATATTTCCTTTTTCACCATAGGCCTCAAAGCGCTCGAAATGTCCACTTCCAGATAGTGCCGAAAGAGTGTTTCAAACGTGCTCTATAAAAGGGAATATTCAACTCCTGTGACTTGAATGGAAACATCACAAAGCAGTTTCTGAGAATGCCTCCCTCTAGATTTTATATGGAGATATTCCCTTTTCCAACGAAATCTTCAAATCTATCTAAATATCAACTTGCAGATTCTACTCAAGGAATGTTTCCAAAATGCTGTATCCAGGCAATGGTTCAACTCTGTTAATTGAGGACATACAGCACAAAGAAGTTTCTGAGAATGCTTCTTTCTGGTTTCTATGAGAAGATATTTCCTTTTTCACCATAGGACTCAAAGCGCTCGAAATGTCCTCTTCCAGGTAGTGCAGAAAGAGTGTTTCAAACCTGCTCTATGAAAGGAAGTGTTCAACTCCATGAGCTGAATGCAAACATCACTGAGAAGTTTCTGAGAATGCTTCTGTTTGATTTTATATGAAGAAATTCCCGTTTCCAACGAAATCTTCAGAGCTATCCACATATCCACATGCAGATTCTACAAAAGGAGTGTTTCCAAAATGCTGTATCAAAACCAAGGTTCAACTCTGTTAGTTGAGGACACACATCACAAATAAGTTTCTGAGAATGCTTCTGTCTAGGTTTTATATGAAGATATCCCCTTTCCAACGAATCCCTCTAAGCTATCCAAATATCCACCTGCAGATTCTACAAAAAGAGTGTTTCCAAAATGCTGTATCAAAACAAAGTTTCAACTCTGTTAGTTGAGGACACACATCACAAATAAGTTTCTGAGGATGCTTCTCTCTAGTTTTTATTTGAAGATACTTCCTTTCTCCCCATAGGCCTGAAAGCGCTTGAATTGTCCGCTTCCAGATACTACAGAATGAGTGTTTCAAACCTGCTCTATCAAAGTGAATGTTCAATTCTGTGACTTCAATGCAAACATCACAAAGTAGTTCCTGAGAATGCTTCTCTCTAGATTTTATATGTAATCCCGCTTCCAACGAAGTCCTCAAAGCCATCCGAATATCCACTTTCTGATTCCACAAAAAGATTGTCTTAAAACTGCTCTGTAAAAACAAAAGTTCAAATCTGTTAGTTGAATACACACATCATAAACAAGTTTCTGAGAATGCTTCTGTCTAGTTTTTATGGGAAGATATTTCCTTTTTCACCATAGGCCTCAAAGCGCTCGAAATGTCCACTTCCAGATAGTGCAGAAAGAGTGTTTCAAACGTGCTCTATAAAAGAGAATATTCAACTCTGTGACTAGAATGGAAACATCACAAAGCAGTTTCTGAGAATGCCTCCGTCTAGATTTTTTATGAAGATATTCCCGTTTCCAACGAAATCTTCAAAGCTATCTAAATATCAACTTGCAGATTCTACTAAAGGAATGTTTCCAAAATGCTGTATCCAAACAAAGGTTCAACTCTGTGAATTGAGGACATACAGCACAAAGAAGTTTCTGAGAATGCTCCTGTCTGGATTTTATATGAAGATAACCCGTTTCCAACGAAATCCTCAAAGCTATCCAAATATCCACTTGCAGATTCTACCAAAAGAGTGTTTCAAAACTGCTCTGTCAAAAGGAAGGTTCAACACTGTTACTTGAGTACACACAACACAAAGAAGTTTCTGAGAATGCTTCTTTCTGGTTTTTATGAGAGGATATTTCCTTTTTCACCATAGGCCTCAAAGCGCTCGAAATGTCCACTTCCAGGTAGTGCAGAAAGAGTGTTTCAAACCTGCTCTATGAAAGGAAGTTTTCAACTCTGTGAGTGGAATGCAAACATCACAGAGAAGTTTCTGAGAATGCATCTGTCTTGATTTTATATGAAGATATTCCGGTTTCCAACGAAATCTTCAAAGCTATCCAAATATCCACCTGCAGATTCTACAAAAGGAGTGTTTCCAAAATGCTGTATCAAAACAAAGGTTCAACTCTGTTAGTTGAGGACACACATCACAAATAAGTTTCTGAGAATGCTTCTGTCTAGTTTTTATTTGAAGGTATTTCCTTTCTCTCCATAGGCCTGAAAGCGCTTGAAATGCCCACTTCCAGATACTAGAGAAAGAGTGTTTCAAACCTGCTCTATGAAAGGGAATGTTCAATTCTGTGACTTGAATGCAAACATCACAAAGAAGTTCCTGAGAATGCTTCTCTCTAGATATTATATGTCATCCCGTTTCCAACGAAATCCTCAAAGCTATCCAAATATCCACTTGCAGATTCTACAAAAAGAGTGTTTCAAAACTGCTCTGTCAAAAGGATGGTTCAACACTGTTACATGAGTACACACAACACAAAGAAGTTTCTGAGAATGCTTCTTTCTGGTTTCTATGAGAAGATATTTCCTTTTTCACCATAGGACTCAAAGCGCTCGAAATGTCCTCTTCCAGGTAGTGCAGAAAGAGTGTTTCAAACCGGCTCTATGAAGGGAAGTGTTCAACTCCATGAACTGAATGCAAACATCACTGAGAAGTTTCTGAGAATGCTTCTGTTTGATTTTATATGAAGAAATTCCCGTTTCCAACGAAATCTTCAGAGCTATCCACATATCCACCTGCAGATTCTACAAAAGGAGTGTTTCCAAAATGCTGTATCAAAACCAAGGTTCAACTCTGTTAGTTGAGGACACACATCACAAATAAGTTTCTGAGAATGCTTCTGTCTAGATTTTATATGAAGATATCCCCTTTCCAACGAATCCCTCTAAGCTATCCAAATATCCACCTGCAGATTCTACAAAAAGAGTGTTTCCAAAATGCTGTATCAAAACAAAGTTTCAACTCTGTTAGTTGAGGACACACATCACAAATAAGTTTCTGAGGATGCTTCTGTCTAGTTTTTATTCGAAGATATTTCCTTTCTCACCATAGGCCTGAAAGCGCTTGAAATGTCCACTTCCAGATACTACAGAATGAGTGTTTCAAACCTGCTCTATAAAAGTGAATGTTCAATTCCGTGACTTCAATGCAAACATCAGAAAGAAGTTCCTGAGAATGCTTCTCTCTAGATTTTATACGTAATCCCGCTTCCAACGAAATCCTCAGAGCCATCCGAATATCCACTTTCTGATTCCACAAAAAGAGTGTTTTAAAATGGCTCTGTAAAAACAAAAGTTCAACTCTGTTAGTTGAATACACACATCACAAACAAGTTTCTGAGAATGCTTCTGTCTAGTTTTTATGGGAAGATATTTCCTTTTTCACCATAGGCCTCAAAGCGCTCGAAATGTCCGCTTCCAGATAGTGCAGAAAGAGTGTTTCAAACGTGCTCTATAAAAGGGAATATTCAACTCTGTGACTTGAATGGAAACATCACAAAGCAGTTTCTGAGAATGCTTCCCTCTAGATTTTATATGGAGATATTCCCTTTTCCAACGAAATCTTCAAATCTATCTAAATATCAACTTGCAGATTCTACTCAAGGAATGTTTCCAAAATGCTGTATCCAGGCAATGGTTCAACTCTGTTAATTGAGGACATCCAGCACAAAGAAGTTTCTGAGAATGCTTCTGTCTAGATTTTATATGAAGATATCCCGTTTCCAACGAAATCCTCAAAGCTATCCAAATATCCACTTGCAGATTCTACAAAAAGATTGTTTCAAAACTGCTGTGTCAAGAGGAAGGTTCAACTCTGTTACTTGAGTACACACATCAAAAAGAAGTTTCTGAGAATGCTTGTTTCTGGTTTTTATGAGAAGATATTTCCTTTTTCACCATAGGCCTCAAAGCGCTGCGAATGTCCACTTCCAAATATTACAAAAAGAGTGTTTCAAACCTGCTCTATGAAAGGAAGTTTTCAACTCTATGAGTGGAATGCAAACATCACAGAGAAGTTTCTGAGAATGCATCTGTCTTGAGCTTGTATGAAGAAATTCCCGTTTCCAACGAAATCTTAAAATCTATCCAAATATCCACCTGCAGATCCTACAAAAGGAGTGTTTCCAAAATGCTGTATCAAAACAAAGGTTCAACTGTGTTCGTTTAGGACACACATCACAAATAAGTTTCTGAGAATCCTTCTGTCTAGTTTTTATTTGAAGATATTTCCTTTCTCCCCGTAGGCCTGAAAGCGCTTGAAATGTCCACTTCCAGATACTACAGAAAGAGTGTTTCAAACCTGCACTCTGAAAAGGAATGTTCAATTCTGTGACTTGAATGCAAACATCAGAAAGAAGTTCCTGAGAATGCTTCTCTCTAGATTTTATACGTCATCCCGTTTCCAACGAAATCCACAAAGCTATCCAATTATCCACTTTCAGATTCCACAAAGAGTGTTTTAAAATTGCTCTGTAACAGAAATGTTCAACTCTGTTAGTTGAATACACACATCACAAACAAGTTTCTGAGACGGCTTCTGTCTAGTTTTTATGGGAAGATATTTCCTTTTAACTATAGGCCTCAAAGAGCTCGAAATATCCACTTCCAGGTAGTGCCGAAAGAGTGTTTCAAACCTACTCTATAAAAGGGAATATTCAACTCTGTGACTTGAATGCAAACATCACAAAGCAGTTTCTGAGAATGCTTCCGTCTAGATTTTCTATGAAGATATTCCCGTTTCCATCGAAATCTTCAAAGCTATCTAAATATCAACTTGCAGATTCTACTAAAGGAATGTCTCCAAAATGCTGTATCCAAACAAAGGTTCAGCTCTGTGAATTGAGGACATACAGCACAAAGAAGTTTCTGAGAATGCTCCTGTCTGGATTTTATATGAAGATAACCCGTTTCCAACGAAATCCTCAAAGCTCTCCAAATATCCACTTGCAGATTCTACCAAAAGAGTGTTTCAAAACTGCTCTGTCAAAAGGAAGGTTCAACACTGTTACTTGAGTACACACAACACAAAGAAGTTTCTGAGAATGCTTCTTTCTGGTTTTTATGAGAAGATATTTCCTTTTTCACCATAGGCCTCAAAGCGCTCGAAATGTCCGCTTCCAGGTAGTGCAGAAAGAGTGTTTCAAACCTGCTCTATGAAAGGAAGTGTTCAACTCTACTGAGTTGAATGCAAACATCACAGAGATGTTTCCGAGAATGCTTCTGTCTTGATTTTATATGAAGATATTCCGGTTTCCAACGAAATCTTCAAAGCTATCCAAATATCCACCTGCAGATTCTACAAAAGGAGTGTTTCCAAAATGCTGTATCAAAACAAAGGTTCAACTCTGTTAGTTGAGGACACACATCACAAATAAGTTTCTGAGAATGCTTCTGTCTAGTTTTTATTTGAAGGTATTTCCTTTCTCTCCATAGGCCTGAAAGCGCTTGAAATGCCCACTTCCAGATACTAGAGAAAGAGTGTTTCAAACCTGCTCTATGAAAGGGAATGTTGAATTCTGTGACTTGAATGCAAACATCACAAAGAAGTTCCTGAGAATGCTTCTCTCTAGATATTATATGTCATCCCGTTTCCAACAAAATCCTCAAAGCTATCCAAATATCCACTTGCAGATTCTACAAAAAGAGTGTTTCAAAACTCCTCTGTCAAAAGGATGGTTCAACACTGTTACATGAGTACACACAACACAAAGAAGTTTCTGAGAATGCTTCTTTCTGGTTTCTATGAGAAGATATTTCCTTTTTCACCATAGGACTCAAAGCGCTCGAAATGTCCTCTTCCAAGTAGTGCAGAAAGAGTGTTTCAAACCTGCTCTATGAAAGGAAGTGTACAACTCCATGAGCTGAATGCAAACATCACTGAGAAGTTTCTGAGAATGCTTCTGTTTGATTTTATATGAAGAAATTCCCGTTTCCAACGAAATCTTCAGAGCTATCCACATATCCACATGCAGATTCTACAAAAGGAGTGTTTCCAAAATGCTGTATCAAAACCAAGGTTCAACTCTGTTAGTTGAGGACACACATCACAAATAAGTTTCTGAGAATGCTTCTGTCTAGATTTTATATGAATTTATCCCCTTTCCAACGAATCCCTCTAAGCTATCCAAGTATCCACCTGCAGATTCTACAAAAAGAGTGTTTCCAAAATGCTGTATCAAAACAAAGTTTCAACTCTGTTAGTTGAGGACACACATCACAAATAAGTTTCTGAGGATGCTTCTGTCTAGTTTTAATTTGAAGATATTTCCTTTCTCCCCATAGGCCTGAAAGCGCTTGAATTGTCCACTTCCAGATACTACAGCATGAGTGTTTCAAACCTGCTCTATCAAAGTGAATGTTCAATTCTGTGACTTCAATGCAAACATCACAAAGTAGTTCCTGAGAATGCTTCTCTCTAGATTTTATATGTAATCCCGCTTCCAACGAAATCCTCAAAGCCATCCGAATATCCACTTTCTGATTCCACAAAAAGATTGTTTTAAAACTGCTCTGTAAAAACAAAAGTTCAAGTCTGTTAGTTGAATACACACATCACAAACAAGTTTCTGAGAATGCTTCTGTCTAGTTTTTATGGGAAGATATTTCCTTTTTCACCATAGGCCTCAAAGCGCTCGAAATGTCCACTTCCAGATAGTGCAGAAAGAGTGTTTCAAACGTGCTCTATAAAAGGGAATATTCAACTCTGTGACTTGAATGGAAACATCACAAAGCAGTTTCTGAGAATGCTTCCCTCTAGATTTTATATGGAGATATTCCGTTTTCGAACGAAATCTTCAAATCTATCTAAATATCAACTTACAGATTCTACTCAAGGAATGTTTCCAAAATGCTGTATGCAAGCAATGGTTCAACTCTGTTAATTGAGGTCATACAGCACAAAGAAGTTTCTGAGAATGCTTCTGTCTAGATTTTATATGAAGATATCCCGTTTCCAACGAAATCCTCAAAGCTATCCAAATATCCACTTGCAGATTCTACAAAAAGATTGTTTCAAAACTGCTGTGTCAAAAGGAAGGTTCAACTCTGTTACTTGAGTACACACATCAAAAAGAAGTTTCTGAGAATGCTTGTTTCTGGTTTTTATGAGAAGATATTTCCTTTTTCACCATAGGCCTCAAAGCGCTGCAAATGTCCACTTCCAAATATTACAAAAAGAGTGTTTCAAACCTGCTCTATGAAAGGAAGTTTTCAACTCTATGAGTGGAATGCAAACATCACAGTAGAAGTTTCTGAGAATGCATCTGTCTTGAGCTTCTATGAAGAAATTCCCGTTTCCAACGAAATCTTAAAATCTATCCAAATATCCACCTGCAGATCCTACAAAAGGAGTGTTTCCAAAATGCTGTATCAAAACAAAGGTTCAACTGTGTTCGTTTAGGACACACATCACAAATAAGTTTCTGAGAATCCTTCTGTCTAGTTTTTATTTGAAGATATTTCCTTTCTCCCCGTAGGCCTGAAAGCGCTTGAAATGTCCACTTCCAGATACTACAGAAAGAGTGTTTCAAACCTGCACTCTGAAAAGGAATGTTCAATTCTGTGACTTGAATGCAAACATCAGAAAGAAGTTCCTGAGAATGCTTCTCTCTAGATTTTATACGTCATCCCGTTTCCAACGAAATCCACAAAGCTATCCAATTATCCACTTTCAGATTCCACAAAGAGTGTTTTAAAATTGCTCTGTAACAGAAATGTTCAACTCTGTTAGTTGAATACACACATCACAAACAAGTTTCTGAGACGGCTTCTGTCTAGTTTTTATGGGAAGATATTTCCTTTTAACCATAGGCCTCAAAGAGCTCGAAATATCCACTTCCAGGTAGTGCCGAAAGAGTGTTTCAAACCTACTCTATAAAAGGGAATATTCAACTCTGTGACTTGAATGCAAACATCACAAAGCAGTTTCTGAGAATGCTTCCGTCTAGATTTTCTATGAAGATATTCCCGTTTCCAACAAAATCTTCAAAGCTATCTAAATATCAACTTGCAGATTCTACTAAAGGAATGTCTCCAAAATGCTGTATCCAAACAAAGGTTCAGCTCTGTGAATTGAGGACATACAGCACAAAGAAGTTTCTGAGAATGCTCCTGTCTGGATTTTATATGAAGATAACCCGTTTCCAACGAAATCCTCAAAGCTCTCCAAATATCCACTTGCAGATTCTACCAAAAGAGTGTTTCAAAACTGCTCTGTCAAAAGGAAGGTTCAACACTGTTACTTGAGTACACACAACACAAAGAAGTTTCTGAGAATGCTTCTTTCTGGTTTTTATGAGAAGATATTTCCTTTTTCACCATAGGCCTCAAAGCGCTCGAAATGTCCGCTTCCAGGTAGTGCAGAAAGAGTGTTTCAAACCTGCTCTATGAAAGGAAGTGTTCAACTCTACTGAGTTGAATGCAAACATCACAGAGATGTTTCCGAGAATGCTTCTGTCTTGATTTTATATGAAGATATTCCGGTTTCCAACGAAATCTTCAAAGCTATCCAAATATCCACCTGCAGATTCTACAAAAGGAGTGTTTCCAAAATGCTGTATCAAAACAAAGGTTCAACTCTGTTAGTTGAGGACACACATCACAAATAAGTTTCTGAGAATGCTTCTGTCTAGTTTTTATTTGAAGGTATTTCCTTTCTCTCCATAGGCCTGAAAGCGCTTGAAATGCCCACTTCCAGATACTAGAGAAAGAGTGTTTCAAACCTGCTCTATGAAAGGGAATGTTCAATTCTGTGACTTGAATGCAAACATCACAAAGAAGTTCCTGAGAATGCTTCTGTCTAGATTTAATATGAAGATAACCCGTTTCCAACGAAATCCTCAAAGCTATCCAAATATCCACTTGCAGATTCTACAAAAAGAGTGTTTCAAAACTGCTCTGTCAAAAGGATGGTTCAACACTGTTACATGAGTACACACAACACAAAGAAGTTTCTGAGAACGCTTCTTTCTGGTTTCTATGAGAAGATATTTCCTTTTTCACCATAGGACTCAAAGCGCTCGAAATGTCCTCTTCCAGGTAGTGCAGAAAGAGTGTTTCAAACCTGCTCTATGAAAGGAAGTGTACAACTCCATGAGCTGAATGCAAACATCACTGAGAAGTTTCTGAGAATGCTTCTGTTTGATTTTATATGAAGAAATTCCCGTTTCCAACGAAATCTTCAAAGCTATCCACATATCCACCTGCAGATTCTTCAAAAGGAGTGTTTCCAAAATGCTGTATCAAAACCAAGGTTCAACTCTGTTAGTTGAGGACACACATCACAAATAAGTTTCTGAGAATGCTTCTGTCTAGATTCTATATGAAGATATCCCCTTTCCAACGAATCCCTCTAAGCTATCCAAATATCCACCTGCAGATTCTACAAAAAGAGTGTTTCCAAAATGCTGTATCAAAACAAAGTTTCAACTCTGTTAGTTGAGGACACACATCACAAATAAGTTTGAGGATGCTTCTGTCTAGTTTTTATTCGAAGATATTTCCTTTCTCACCATAGGCCTGAAAGCGCTTGAAATGTCCACTTCCAGATACTACAGAATGAGTGTTTCAAACCTGCTCTATCAAAGTGAATGTTCAATTTCTGTGACTTCAATGCCAACATCACAAAGAAGTTCCTGAGAATGCTTCTCTCTAGATTTTATACGTAATCCCGCTTCCAACGAAATCCTCAGAGCCATCCGAATATCCACTTTCTGATTCCACAAAAAGAGTGTTTTAAAACGGCTCTGTAAAAACAAAAGTTCAACTCTGTTAGTTGAATACACACATCACAAACAAGTTTCTGAGAATGCTTCTGTCTAGTTTTTATGGGAAGATATTTCCTTTTTCACCATAGGCCTCAAAGCGCTCGAAATGTCCGCTTCCAGATAGTGCAGAAAGAGTGTTTCAAACGTGCTCTATAAAAGGGAATATTCAACTCTGTGACTTGAATGGAAACATCACAAAGCAGTTTCTGAGAATGCTTCCCTCTAGATTTTATATGGAGATATTCCCTTTTCCAACGAAATCTTCAAATCTATCTAAATATCAACTTGCAGATTCTACTCAAGGAATGTTTCCAAAATGCTGTATCCAGGCAATGGTTCAACTCTGTTAATTGAGGACATACAGCACAAAGAAGTTTCTGAGAATGCTTCTGTCTAGATTTTATATGAAGATATCCCGTTTCCAACGAAATCAACAAAGCTATCCAAATATCCACTTGCAGATTCTACAAAAAGATTGTTTCAAAACTGCTGTGTCAAAAGAAAGGTTCAACTCTGTTATTTGAGTACACACATCAAAAAGAAGTTTCTGAGAATGCTTGTTTCTGGTTTTTATGAGAAGATATTTCCTTTTTCACCATAGGCCTCAAAGCGCTGCAAATGTCCACTTCCAAATATTACAAAAAGAGTGTTTCAAACCTGCTCTATGAAAGGAAGTTTTCAACTCTATGAGTGGAATGCAAACATCACAGAGAAGTTTCTGAGAATGCATCTGTCTTGAGCTTCTATGAAGAAATTCCCGTTTCCAACGAAATCTTAAAATCTATCCAAATATCCACCTGCAGATCCTACAAAAGGAGTGTTTCCAAAATGCTGTATCAAAACAAAGGTTCAACTGTGTTCGTTTAGGACACACATCACAAATAAGTTTCTGAGAATCCTTCTGTCCAGTTTTTATTTGAAGATATTTCCTTTCTCCCCATAGGCCTGAAAGCGCTTGAAATGTCCACTTCCAGATACTACAGAAAGAGTGTTTCAAACCTGCACTATGAAGAGGAATGTTCAATTCTGTGACTTGAATGCAAACATCAGAAAGAAGTTACCTGAGAATGCTTCTCTCTAGATTTTATACGTAATCCCGTTTCCAACGAAATCCACAAAGCTAACCAATTATCCACTTTCAGATTCCACAAAAAGAGTGTTTTAAAATTGCTCTGTAATACAAATGTTCAACTCTGTTAGTTGAATACACACATCACAAACAAGTTTCTGAGACGGCTTCTGTCTGGTTTTTATGGGAAGATATTTCCTTTTAAGCATAGGCCTCAAAGAGCTCGAAATATCCATTTCCAGGTAGTGCAGAAAGAGTGTTTCAAACCTACTCTATAAAAGGGAATATTCAACTCTGTGACTTGAATGCAAACATCACAAAGCAGTTTCTGAGAATGCTTCCGTCTAGATTTTTTATGAAGTTATTCCCGTTTCCAACGAAATCTTCAAAGCTATCTAAATATCAACTTGCAGATTCTACTAAAGGAATGTTTCCAAAATGCTGTATCCAAACAAAGGTTCAACTCTGTGAATTGAGGACATACAGCACAAAGAAGTTTCTGAGAATGCTCCTGTCTGGATTTTATATGAAGATAACCCGTTTCCAACGAAATCCTCAAAGCTATCCAAATATCCACTTGCAGATTCTACCAAAAGAGTGTTTCAAAACTGCTCTGTCAAAAGGAAGGTTCAACACTGTTACTTGAGTACACACAACACAAAGAAGTTTCTGAGAATGCTTCTTTCTGGTTTTTATGAGAAGATATTTCCTTTTTCACCATAGGCCTCAAAGCGCTCGAAATGTCCGCTTCCAGGTAGTGCAGAAAGAGTGTTTCAAACCTGCTCTATGAAAGGAAGTGTTCAACTCTACTGAGTTGAATGCAAACATCACAGAGATGTTTCCGAGAATGCTTCTGTCTTGATTTTATATGAAGATATTCCGGTTTCCAACGAAATCTTCAAAGCTATCCAAATATCCACCTGCAGATTCTACAAAAGGAGTGTTTCCAAAATGCTGTATCAAAACAAAGGTTCAACTCTGTTAGTTGAGGACACACATCACAAATAAGTTTCTGAGAATGCTTCTGTCTAGTTTTTATTTGAAGGTATTTCCTTTCTCTCCATAGGCCTGAAAGCGCTTGAAATGCCCACTTCCAGATACTAGAGAAAGAGTGTTTCAAACCTGCTCTATGAAAGGGAATGTTCAATTCTGTGACTTGAATGCAAACATCACAAAGAAGTTCCTGAGAATGCTTCTCTCTAGATATTATATGTCATCCCGTTTCCAACGAAATCCTCAAAGCTATCCAAATATCCACTTGCAGATTCTACAAAAAGAGTGTTTCAAAACTGCTCTGTCAAAAGGATGGTTCAACACTGTTACATGAGTACACACAACACAAAGAAGTTTCTGAGAATGCTTCTTTCTGGTTTCTATGAGAAGATATATCCTTTTTCACCATAGGACTCAAAGCGCTCGAAATGTCCTCTTCCAGGTAGTGCAGAAAGAGTGTTTCAAACCTGCTCTATGAAAGGAAGTGTACAACTCCATGAGCTGAATGCAAACATCACTGAGAAGTTTCTGAGAATGCTTCTGTTTGATTTTATATGAAGAAATTCCCGTTTCCAACGAAATCTTCAAAGCTATCCACATATCCACCTGCAGATTCTACAAAAGGAGTGTTTCCAAAATGCTGTATCAAAACCAAGGTTCAACTCTGGTAGTTGAGGACACACATCACAAATAAGTTTCTGAGAATGCTTCTGTCTAGATTTTATATGAAGATATCCCCTTTCCAACGAATCCCTCTAAGCTATCCAAATATCCACCTGCAGATTCTACAAAAAGAGTGTTTCCAAAATGCTGTATCAAAACAAAGTTTCAACTCTGTTAGTTGAGGACACACATCACAAATAAGTTTCTGAGAATGCTTCTGTCTAGTTTTTATTTGAAGATATTTCCTTTCTCCCCATAGGCCTGAAAGCGCTTGAATTGTCCGCTTCCAGATACTACAGAATGAGTGTTTCAAACCTGCTCTATCAAAGTGAATGTTCAATTCTGTGACTTCAATGCAAACATCACAAAGAAGTTGCTGAGAATGCTTCTCTCTAGATTTTATATGTAATCCCGCTTCCAACGAAGTCCTCAAAGCCATCCGAATATCCACTTTCTGATTCCACAAAAAGATTGTCTTAAAACTGCTCTGTAAAAACAAAAGTTCTAGTCTGTTAGTTGAATACACACATCACAAACAAGTTTCTGAGAATGCTTCTGTCTAGTTTTTATGGGAAGATATTTCCTTTTTCACCATAGGCCTCACAGCGCTCGAAATGTCCACTTCCAGATGGTGCAGAAAGAGTGTTTCAAACGTGCTCTATAAAAGAGAATATTCAACTCTGTGACTTGAATGGAAACATCACAAAGCAGTTTCTGAGAATGCCTCCGTCTAGATTTTATATGAAGATATTCCCGTTTCCAACGAAATCTTCAAATCTATCTAAATATCAACTTGCAGATTCTACTAAAGGAATGTTTCCAAAATGCTGTATCCAAGCAATGGTTCAACTCTGTTAATTGAGGACATACAGCAGAAAGAAGTTTCTGAGAATGCTTCTGTCTAGATTTTATATGAAGATATCCCGTTTGCAACGAAATCCTCAAAGCTATCCAAATATCCACTTGCAGATTCTACAAAAAGATTGTTTCAAAACTGCTGTGTCAAAAGGAAGGTTCAACTCTGTTACTTGAGTACACACATCAAAAAGAAGTTTCTGAGAATGCTTGTTTCTGGTTTTTATGAGAAGATATTTCCTTTTTCACCATAGGCCTCAAAGCGCTGCAAATGTCCACTTCCAAATATTACAAAAAGAGTGTTTCAAACCTGCTCTATGAAAGGAAGTTTTCAACTCTATGAGTGGAATGCAAACAGCACAGAGAAGTTCCTGAGAATGCATCTGTCTTGAGTTTATGTGAAGAAATTCCCGTTTCCAACGAAATCTTAAAATCTATCCAAATATCCACCTGCAGATCCTTCAAAAGGAGTGTT
Source organism: Homo sapiens (assembly GCF_000001405.40). Taxonomy (NCBI): domain Eukaryota; kingdom Metazoa; phylum Chordata; class Mammalia; order Primates; family Hominidae; genus Homo; species Homo sapiens. The sequence continues at coordinate 51,215,407 of NC_000004.12, read as the reverse complement.
TCCAAAATGCTGTATCAAAACAAAGGTTCAACTGTGTTCGTTTAGGACACACATCACAAATAAGTTTCTGAGAATCCTTCTGTCTAGTTTTTATTTGAAGATATTTCCTTTCTCCCCGTAGGCCTGAAAGCGCTTGAAATGTCCACTTCCAGATACTACAGAAAGAGTGTTTCAAACCTGCACTCTGAAAAGGAATGTTCAATTCTGTGACTTGAATGCAAACATCAGAAAGAAGTTCCTGAGAATGCTTCTCTCTAGATTTTAAACGTAATCCCGTTTCCAACGAAATCCACAAAGCTATCCAATTATCCACTTTCAGATTCCACCAAAAGACTGTTTCAAAACTGCTCTGTAAAAAGAAATGTTCAACGCTCTTAGTTGAATACACACATCTCAAACAAGTTTCTGAGAAGGCTTCCGTCTAGTTTTTATGGGAAGATATTTCCTTTTTCACCATAGGCCTCAAAGCGCTCGAAATCTCCACTTCCAGGGAGTGCAGAAAGAGTGTTTCAAACCTGCTCTGTAAAAGAATATTTAACTCTGTGACTTGAATGGAAACATCACAGAGCAGTTTCTGACAATGCTTCCATCTAGATTTTCTATGGAGATATTCCCTTTTCCAACGAAATCTTCAAATCTATCTAAATATCAACTTGCAGATTCTACTAAAGGAATGTTTCCAAAATGCTGTATCCAAGCAATGGTTCAACTCTGTTAATTGAGGACATACAGCACAAAGAAGTTTCTGAGAATGCTTCTGTCTAGATTTTATATGAAGATATCCCGTTTCCAACGAAATCCTCAAAGCTATCCAAATATCCACTTGCAGATTCTACAAAAAGATTGTTTCAAAACTGCTGTGTCAAAAGGAAAGTTCAACTCTGTTACTTGAGTACACACATCAAAAAGAAGTTTCTGAGAATGCTTGTTTCTGGTTTTTATGAGAAGATATTTCCTTTTTCACCATAGGCCTCAAAGCGCTGCAAATGTCCACTTCCAAATATTACAAAAAGAGTGTTTCAAACCTGCTCTATGAAAGGAAGTTTTCAACTCTATGAGTGGAATGCAAACATCACAGAGAAGTTTCTGAGAATGCATCTGTCTTGAGTTTATATGAAGAAATTCCCGTTTCCAATGAAATCTTAAAATCTATCCAAATATCCACCTGCAGATTCTACAAAAGGAGTGTTTCCAAAATGCTGTATCAAAACAAAGGTTCAACTGTGTTCGTTTAGGACACACATCACAAATAAGTTTCTGAGAATCCTTCTGTCTAGTTTTTATTTCAAGATATTTCCTTTCTCCCCATAGGCCTGAAAGCGCTTGAAATGTCCACTTCCAGATACTACAGAGTGTTTCAAACCTGCACTATGAAAAGGAATGTTCAATTCTGTGACTTGAATGCAAACATCAGAAAGAAGTTCCTGAGAATGCTTCTCTCTAGATTTTAAACGTAATCCCGTTTCCAACGAAATCCACAAAGCTATCCAATTATCCACTTGCAGATTGCACCAAAAAGAGTGTTTTAAAACTGCTCTGTAAAAAGAAATGTTCAACGCTCTTAGTTGAATACACACATCTCAAACAAGTTTCTGAGAAGGCTTCCGTCTAGTTTTTATGGGAAGATATTTCCTTTTTCACCATAGGCCTCAAAGCGCTCGAAATCTCCACTTCCAGGGAGTGCAGAAAGAGTGTTTCAAACCTGCTCTATAAAAGAACATTTAACTCTGTGACTTGAATGCAAACATCACAGAGCAGTTTCTGACAATGCTTCCGTCTAGATTTTTTATGAAGATATTCCCGTTTCCAACGAAATCTTCAAAGCTATCTCAATATCAACTTGCAGATTCTACTAAAGGAATGTTTCCAAAATGCTGTATCCAAACAAAGGTTCAACTCTGTGAATTGAGGACATACAGCACAAAGATGTTTCTGAGAATGCTCCTGTCTGGATTTTATAGGAAGATAACCCGTTTCCAACGAAATCCTCAAAGCTCTCCAAATATCCACTTGCAGATTCTACCAAAAGAGTGTTTCAAAACTGCTCTGTCAAAAGGAAGGTTCAACACTGTTACTTGAGTACACACAACACAAAGAAGTTTCTGAGAATGCTTTCTTCTGGTTTTTATGAGAAGATATTTCCTTTTTCACCATAGGCCTCAAAGCGCTCGAAATGTCCGCTTCCAGGTAGTGCAGAAAGAGTGTTTCAAACCTGCTCTATGAAAGGAAGTGTTCAACTCTACTGAGTTGAATGCAAACATCACAGAGATGTTTCTGAGAATGCTTCTGTCTTGATTTTATATGAAGATATTCCGGTTTCCAACGAAATCTTCAAAGCTATCCAAATATCCACCTGCAGATTCTACAAAAGGAGTGTTTCCAAAATGCTGTATCAAAACAAAGGTTCAACTCTGTTAGTTGAGGACACACATCACAAATAAGTTTCTGAGAATGCTTCTGTCTAGTTTTTATTTGAAGGTATTTCCTTTCTCTCCATAGGCCTGAAAGCGCTTGAAATGCCCACTTCCAGATACTAGAGAAAGAGTGTTTCAAACCTGCTCTATGAAAGGGAATGTTCAATTCTGTGACTTGAATGCAAACATCACAAAGAAGTTCCTGAGAATGCTTCTGTCTAGATTTAATATGAAGATAACCCGTTTCCAACGAAATCCTCAAAGCTATCCAAATATCCACTTGCAGATTCTACAAAAAGAGTGTTTCAAAACTGCTCTGTCAAAAGGATGGTTCAACACTGTTACATGAGTACACACAACACAAAGAAGTTTCTGAGAACGCTTCTTTCTGGTTTTTATGAGAAGATATTTCCCTTTTCACCATAGGCCTCAAAGCGCTCGAAATGTCCACTTCCTGGTAGTGCAGAAAGAGTGTTTCAAAGCTGCTCTATGAAAGGAAGTGTTCAACTCCATGAGCTGAATGCAAACATCACAGAGAAGTTTCTGAGAATGCTTCTGTTTTATTTTATATGAAGAAATTCCCGTTTCCAACGAAATCTTCAAAGCTATCCACATATCCACCTGCAGATTCTACAAAAGGAGTGTTTCCAAAATGCTGTATCAAAACCAAGGTTCAACTCTGTTAGTTGAGGACACACATCACAAATAAGTTTCTGAGAATGCTTCTGTCTAGATTCTATATGAAGATATCCCCTTTCCAACGAATCCCTCTAAGCTATCCAAATATCCACCTGCAGATTCTACAAAAAGAGTGTTTCCAAAATGCTGTATCAAAACAATGTTTCAACTCTGTTAGTTGAGGACACACATCACAAATAAGTTTCTGAGGATGCTTCTGTCTAGTTTTTATTTGAAGATATTTCCTTTCTCCCCATAGGCCTGAAAGCGCTTGAATTGTCCACTTCCAGATACTACAGAATGAGTGTTTCAAACCTGCTCTATCAAAGTGAATGTTCAATTCTGTGACTTCAATGCAAACATCACAAAGTAGTTCCTGAGAATGCTTCTCTCTAGATTTTATATGTAATCCCGCTTCCAACGAAATCCTCAAAGCCACCCGAATATCCACTTTCTGATTCCACAAAAAGATTGTCTTAAAACTGCTCTGTAAAAACAAAAGTTCAAGTCTGTTAGTTGAATACACACATCACAAACAAGTTTCTGAGAATGCTTCTGTCTAGTTTTTATGGGAAGATATTTCCTTTTTCACCATAGGCCTCACAGCGCTCGAAATGTCCACTTCCAGATAGTGCAGAAAGAGTGTTTCAAACGTGCTCTATAAAAGAGAATATTCAACTGCTGTGACTTGAATGGAAACATCACAAAGCAGTTTCTGAGAATGCCTCCGTCTAGATTTTATATGAAGATATTCCCGTTTCCAACGAAATCTTCAAATCTATCTAAATATCAACTTGCAGATTCTACTAAAGGAATGTTTCCAAAATGCTGTATCCAAGCAATGGTTCAACTCTGTTAATTGAGGACATACAGCACAAAGAAGTTTCTGAGAATGCTTCTGTCTAGATTTTATATGAAGATATCCCGTTTCCAACGAAATCCTCAAAGCTATCCAAATATCCACTTGCAGATTCTACAAAAAGATTGTTTCAAAACTGCTGTGTCAAAAGGAAGGTTCAACTCTGTTACTTGAGTACACACGTCAAAAAGCAGTTTCTGAGAATGCTTGTTTCTGGTTTTTATGAGAAGATATTTCCTTTTTCACCATAGGTCTCAAAGCGCTGCAAATGTCCACTTCCAAATATTACAAAAAGAGTGTTTCAAACCTGCTCTATGAAAGGAAGTTTTCAAATCTGTGAGTGGAATGCAAACATCACAGAGAAGTTTCTGAGAATGCATCTGTCTTGAGCTTCTATGAAGAAATTCCCGTTTCCAACGAAATCTTAAAATCTATCCAAATATCCACCTGCAGATCCTACAAAAGGAGTGTTTCCAAAATGCTGTATCAAAACAAAGGTTCAACTGTGTTCGTTTAGGACACACATCACAAATAAGTTTCTGAGAATCCTTCTGTCTAGTTTTTATTTGAAGATATTTCCTTTCTCCCCGTAGGCCTGAAAGCGCTTGAAATGTCCACTTCCAGATACTACAGAAAGAGTGTTTCAAACCTGCACTCTGAAAAGGAATGTTCAATTACTGTGACTTGAATGCAAACATCAGAAAGAAGTTCCTGAGAATGCTTCTCTCTAGATTTTATACGTAATCCCGCTTCCAACGAAATCCACAAAGCTATCCAATTATCCACTTTCAGATTCCACAAAAAGAGTGTTTTAAAACTGCTCTGTAACAGAAATGTTCAGCTCTGTTAGTTGAATACACACATCACAAACATGTTTCTGACACGGCTTCTGTCTAGTTTTTATGGGAAGATATATCCTTTTAACCATAGGCCTCAAACAGCTCGAAATATCCACTTCCAGGTAGTGCCGAAAGAGTGTTTCAAACCTACTCTATAAAAGGGAATATTCAACTCTGTGACTTGAATGCAACATCACAAAGCAGTTTATGAGAATGCTTCCGTCTAGATTTTCTATGAAGATATTCCCGTTTCCAACGAAATCTTCAAAGCTATCTAAATATCAACTTGCAGATTCTACTAAAGGAATGTCTCCAAAATGCTGTATCCAAACAAAGGTTCAGCTCTGTGAATTGAGGACATACAGCACAAAGAAGTTTCTGAGAATGCTCCTGTCTGGATTTTATAGGAAGATAACCCGTTTCCAACGAAATCCTCAAAGCTATCCAAATATCCACTTGCAGATTCTACCAAAAGAGTGTTTCAAAACTGCTCTGTCAAAAGGAAGGTTCAACACTGTTACTTGAGTACACACAACACAAAGAAGTTTCTGAGAATGCTTCTTTCTGGTTTTTATGAGAAGATATTTCCTTTTTCACCATAGGCCTCAAAGCGCTCGAAATGTCCGCTTCCAGGTAGTGCAGAAAGAGTGTTTCAAACCTGCTCTATGAAAGGAAGTGTTCAACTCTACTGAGTTGAATGCAAACATCACAGAGATGTTTCCGAGAATGCTTCTGTCTTGATTTTATATGAAGATATTCCGGTTTCCAACGAAATCTTCAAAGCTATCCAAATATCCACCTGCAGATTCTACAAAAGGAGTGTTTCCAAAATGCTGTATCAAAACAAAGGTTCAACTCTGTTAGTTGAGGACACACATCACAAATAAGTTTCTGAGAATGCTTCTGTCTAGTTTTTATTTGAAGGTATTTCCTTTCTCTCCATAGGCCTGAAAGCGCTTGAAATGCCCACTTCCAGATACTAGAGAAAGAGTGTTTCAAACCTGCTCTATGAAAGGGAATGTTCAATTCTGTGACTTGAATGCAAACATCACAAAGAAGTTCCTGAGAATGCTTCTCTCTAGATATTATATGTCATCCCGTTTCCAACGAAATCCTCAAAGCTATCCAAATATCCACTTGCAGATTCTACAAAAAGAGTGTTTCAAAACTCCTCTGTCAAAAGGATGGTTCAACACTGTTACATGAGTACACACAACACAAAGAAGTTTCTGAGAATGCTTCTTTCTGGTTTCTATGAGAAGATATTTCCTTTTTCACCATAGGACTCAAAGCGCTCGAAATGTCCTCTTCCAGGTAGTGCAGAAAGAGTGTTTCAAACCTGCTCTATGAAAGGAAGTGTTCAACTCCATGAGCTGAATGCAAACATCACTGAGAAGTTTCTGAGAATGCTTCTGTTTGATTTTATATGAAGAAATTCCCGTTTCCAACGAAATCTTCAAAGCTATCCACATATCCACCTGCAGATTCTACAAAAGGAGTGTTTCCAAAATGCCGTATCAAAACCAAGGTTCAACTCTGTTAGTTGAGGACACACATCACAAATAAGTTTCTGAGAATGCTTCTGTCTAGATTTTATATGAAGATATCCCCTTTCCAACGAATCCCTCTAAGCTATCCAAATATCCACCTGCAGATTCTACAAAAAGAGTGTTTCCAAAATGCTGTATCAAAACAAAGTTTCAACTCTGTTAGTTGAGGACACACATCACAAATAAGTTTCTGAGGATGCTTCTGTCTAGTTTTTATTTGAAGATATTTCCTTTCTCCCCATAGGCCTGAAAGCGCTTGAATTGTCCACTTCCAGATACTACAGAATGAGTGTTTCAAACCTGCTCTATCAAAGTGAATGTTCAATTCTGTGACTTCAATGCAAACCTCACAAAGTAGTTCCTGAGAATGCTTCTCTCTAGATTTTATATGTAATCCCGCTTCCAACGAAATCCTCAAAGCCATCCGAATATCCACTTTCTGATTCCACAAAAGGATTGTCTTAAAACTGCCGTGTAAAAACAAAAGTTCAAGTCTGTTAGTTGAATACACACATTACAAACTAGTTTCTGAGAATGCTTCTGTCTAGTTTTTATGGGAAGATATTTCCTTTTTCAACATAGGCCTCAAAGCGCTCGAAATGTCCACTTCCAGATAGTGCAGAAAGAGTGTTTCAAACGTGCTCTATAAAAGAGAATATTCAACTCTGTGACTTGAATGGAAACATCACAAAGCAGTTTCTGAGAATGCCTCCGTCTAGATTTTATATGAAGATATTCCCGTTTCCAACGAAATCTTCAAATCTATCTAAATATCAACTTGCAGATTCTACTAAAGGAATGTTTCCAAAATGCTGTATCCAAGCAATGGTTCAACTCTGTTAATTGAGGACATACAGCACAAAGAAGTTTCTGAGAATGCTTCTGTCTAGATTTTATATGAAGATATCCCGTTTCCAACGAAATCCTCAAAGCTATCCAAATATCCACTTGCAGATTCTACAAAAAGATTGTTTCAAAACTGCTGTGTCAAAAGGAAGGTTCAACTCTGTTACTTGAGTACACACATCAAAAAGAAGTTTCTGAGAATGCTTGTTTCTGGTTTTTATGAGAAGATATTTCCTTTTTCACCATAGGCCTCAAAGCGCTGCAAATGTCCACTTCCAAATATTACAAAAAGAGTGTTTCAAACCTGCTCTATGAAAGGAAGTTTTCAACTCTATGAGTGGAATGCAAACATCACAGAGAAGTTTCTGAGAATGCATCTGTCTTGAGTTTATATGCAGAAATTCCCGTTTCCAACGAAATCTTAAAATCTATCCAAATATCCACCTGCAGATCCTACAAAAGGAGTGTTTCCAAAATGCTGTATCAAAACAAAGGTTCAACTGTGTTCGTTTAGGACACACATCACAAATAAGTTTCTGAGAATCCTTCTGTCTAGTTTTTATTTGAAGATATTTCCTTTCTCCCCATAAGGCCTGAAAGCGCTTGAAATGTCCACTTCCAGATACTACAGAAAGAGTGTTTCAAACCTGCACTATGAAAAGGAATGTTCAATTCTGTGACTTGAATGCAAACATCAGAAAGAAGTTCCTGAGAATGCTTCTCTCTAGATTTTTTACGTCATCCCGTTTCCAACGGAATCCACAAAGCTACCCAATTATCCACTTTCAGATTCCACAAAAAGAGTGTTTTAAAACTGCTCTGTAACAGAAATCTTCAGCTCTGTTAGTTGAATACACACATCACAAACAAGTTTCTGAGACGGCTTCTGTCTAGTTTTTATGGGAAGATATTTCCTTTTAACCATAGGCCTCAAACAGCTCGAAATATCCACTTCCAGGTAGTGCCGAAAGAGTGTTTCAAACCTACTCTATAAAAGGGAATATTCAAATCTGTGACTTGAATGCAAACATCACAAAGCAGTTTATGTGAATGCTTCCGTCTAGATTTTCTATGAAGATATTCCCGTTTCCAACGAAATCTTCAAAGCTATCTAAATATCAACTTGCAGATTCTACTAAAGGAATGTCTCCAAAACGCTGTATCCAAACAAAGGTTCAGCTCTGTGAATTGAGGACATACAGCACAAAGAAGTTTCTGAGAATGCTCCTGTCTGGATTTTATATGAAGATAACCCGTTTCCAACGAAATCCTCAAAGCTCTCCAAATATCCACTTGCAGATTCTACCAAAAGAGTGTTTCAAAACTGCTCTGTCAAAAGGAAGGTTCAACACTGTTACTTGAGTACACACAACACAAAGAAGTTTCTGAGAATGCTTCTTTCTGGTTTTTATGAGAAGATATTTCCTTTTTCACCATAGGCCTCAAAGCGCTCGAAATGTCCGCTTCCAGGTAGTGCAGAAAGAGTGTTTCAAACCTGCTCTATGAAAGGAAGTGTTCAACTCTACTGAGTTGAATGCAAACATCACAGAGATGTTTCCGAGAATGCTTCTGTCTTGATTTTATATGAAGATATTCCGGTTTCCAACGAAATCTTCAAAGCTATCCAAATATCCACCTGCAGATTCTACAAAAGGAGTGTTTCCAAAATGCTGTATCAAAACAAAGGTTCAACTCTGTTAGTTGAGGACACACATCACAAATAAGTTTCTGAGAATGCTTCTGTCTAGTTTTTATTTGAAGGTATTTCCTTTCTCTCCATAGGCCTGAAAGCGCTTGAAATGCCCACTTCCAGATACTAGAGAAAGAGTGTTTCAAACCTGCTCTATGAAAGGGAATGTTCAATTCTGTGACTTGAATGCAAACATCACAAAGAAGTTCCTGAGAATGCTTCTCTCTAGATATTATATGTCATCCCGTTTCCAACGAAATCCTCAAAGCTATCCAAATATCCACTTGCAGATTCTACAAAAAGAGTGTTTCAAAACTCCTCTGTCAAAAGGATGGTTCAACACTGTTACATGAGTACACACAACACAAAGAAGTTTCTGAGAATGCTTCTTTCTGGTTTCTATGAGAAGATATTTCCTTTTTCACCATAGGACTCAAAGCGCTCGAAATGTCCTCTTCCAGGTAGTGCAGAAAGAGTGTTTCAAACCGGCTCTATGAAAGGAAGTGTTCAACTCCATGAACTGAATGCAAACATCACTGAGAAGTTTCTGAGAATGCTTCTGTTTGATTTTATATGAAGAAATTCCCGTTTCCAACGAAATCTTCAGAGCTATCCACATATCCACCTGCAGATTCTACAAAAGGAGTGTTTCCAAAATGCTGTATCAAAACCAAAGTTCAACTCTGTTAGTTGAGGACACACATCACAAATAAGATTCTGAGAATGCTTCTGTCTAGATTCTATATGAAGATATCCCCTTTCCAACGAATCCCTCTAAGCTATCCAAATATCCACCTGCAGATTCTACAAAAAGAGTGTTTCCAAAATGCTGTATCAAAACAAAGTTTCAACTCTGTTAGTTGAGGACACACATCACAAATAAGTTTGAGGATGCTTCTGTCTAGTTTTTATTCGAAGATATTTCCTTTCTCACCATAGGCCTGAAAGCGCTTGAAATGTCCACTTCCAGATACTACAGAATGAGTGTTTCAAACCTGCTCTATCAAAGTGAATGTTCAATTCTGTGACTTCAATGCAAACATCACAAAGAAGTTCCTGAGAATGCTTCTCTCTAGATTTTATATGTAATCCCGCTTCCAACGAAATCCTCAGAGCCATCCGAATATCCACTTTCTGATTCCACAAAAAGAGTGTTTTAAAACGGCTCTGTAAAAACAAAAGTTCAACTCTGTTAGTTGAATACACACATCACAAACAAGTTTCTGAGAATGCTTCTGTCTAGTTTTTATGGGAAGATATTTCCTTTTTCACCATAGGCCTCAAAGCGCTCGAAATGTCCACTTCCAGATAGCGCAGAAAGAGTGTTTCAAACGTGCTCTATAAAAGGGAATATTCAACTCTGTGACTTGAAAGGAAACATCACAAAGCAGTTTCTGAGAATGCTTCCCTCTAGATTTTATATGGAGATATTCCGTTTTCGAACGAAATCTTCAAATCTATCTAAATATCAACTTGCAGATTCTACTCAAGGAATGTTTCCAAAATGCTGTATGCAAGCAATGGTTCAACTCTGTTAATTGAGGTCATACAGCACAAAGAAGTTTCTGAGAATGCTTCTGTCTAGATTTTATATGAAGATATCCCGTTTCCAACGAAATCCTCAAAGCTATCCAAATATCCACTTGCAGATTCTACAAAAAGATTGTTTCAAAACTGCTGTGTCAAAAGGAAGGTTCAACTCTGTTACTTGAGTACACACATCAAAAAGAAGTTTCTGAGAATGCTTGTTTCTGGTTTTTATGAGAAGATATTTCCTTTTTCACCATAGGCCTCAAAGCGCTGCAAATGTCCACTTCCACATATTACAAAAAGAGTGTTTCAAACCTGCTCTATGAAAGGAAGTTTTCAACTCTATGAGTGGAATGCAAACATCACAGAGAAGTTTCTGAGAATGCATCTGTCTTGAGTTTATATGAAGAAATTCCCGTTTCCAATGAAATCTTAAAATCTATCCAAATATCCACCTGCAGATTCTACAAAAGGAGTGTTTCCAAAATGCTGTATCAAAACAAAGGTTCAACTGTGTTCGTTTAGGACACACATCACAAATAAGTTTCTGAGAATCCTTCTGTCTAGTTTTTATTTCAAGATATTTCCTTTCTCCCCATAGGCTTGAAAGCGCTTGAAATGTCCACTTCCAGATACTACAGAGTGTTTCAAACCTGCACTATGAAAAGGAATGTTCAATTCTGTGACTTGAATGCAAACATCAGAAAGAAGTTCCTGAGAATGCTTCTCTCTAGATTTTTTACGTCATCCCTTTTCCAACGAAATCCACAAAACTACCCAATTATCCACTTTCAGATTCCACAAAAAGAGTGTTTTAAAACTGCTCTGTAACAGAAATGTTCAGCTCTGTTAGTTGAATACACACATCACAAACAAGTTTCTGAGACGGCTTCTGTCTAGTTTTTATGGGAAGATATTTCCTTTTAACCATAGGCCTCAAACAGCTCGAAATATCCACTTCCAGGTAGTGCCGAAAGAGTGTTTCAAACCTACTCTGTAAAAGGGAATATTCAACTCTGTGACTTGAATGCAAACATCACAAAGCAGTTTATGAGAATGCTTCCGTCTAGATTTTCTATGAAGATATTCCCGTTTCCAACGAAATCTTCAAAGCTATCTAAATATCAACTTGCAGATTCTACTAAGGGAATGTCTCCAAAATGCTGTATCCAAACAAAGGTTCAGCTCTGTGAATTGAGGACATACAGCACAAAGAAGTTTCTGAGAATGCTCCTGTCTGGATTTTATATGAAGATAACCCGTTTCCAACGAAATCCTCAAAGCTATCCAAATATCCACTTGCAGATTCTACCAAAAGAGTGTTTCAAAACTGCTCTGTCAAAAGGAAGGTTCAACACTGTTACTTGAGTACACACAACACAAAGAAGTTTCTGAGAATGCTTCTTTCTGGTTTTTATGAGAAGATATTTCCTTTTTCACCATAGGCCTCAAAGAGCTCGAAATGTCCGCTTCCAGGTAGGGCAGAAAGAGTGTTTCAAACCTGCTCTATGAAAGGACGTGTTCAACTCTACTGAGTTGAATGCAAACATCACAGAGATGTTTCCGAGAATGCTTCTGTCTTGATTTTATATGAAGATATTCCGGTTTCCAACGAAATCTTCAAAGCTATCCAAATATCCACCTGCAGATTCTACAAAAGGAGTGTTTCCAAAATGCTGTATCAAAACAAAGGTTCAACTCTGTTAGTTGAGGACACACATCACAAATAAGTTTCTGAGAATGCTTCTGTCTAGTTTTTATTTGAAGGTATTTCCTTTCTCTCCATAGGCCTGAAAGCGCTTGAAATGCCCACTTCCAGATACTAGAGAAAGAGTGTTTCAAACCTGCTCTATGAAAGGGAATGTTCAATTCTGTGACTTGAATGCAAACATCACAAAGAAGTTCCTGAGAATGCTTCTCTCTAGATATTATATGTCATCCCGTTTCCAACGAAATCCTCAAAGCTATCCAAATATCCACTTGCAGATTCTACAAAAAGAGTGTTTCAAAACTGCTCTGTCAAAAGGATGGTTCAACACTGTTACATGAGTACACACAACACAAAGAAGTTTCTGAGAATGCTTCTTTCTGGTTTTTATGAGAAGATATTTCCTTTTTCACCATAGGCCTCAAAGCGCTCGAAATGTCCACTTCCTGGTAGTGCAGAAAGAGTGTTTCAAAGCTGCTCTATGAAAGGAAGTGTTCAACTCCATGAGCTGAATGCAAACATCACAGAGAAGTTTCTGAGAATGCTTCTGTTTGATTTTATATGAAGAAATTCCCGTTTCCAACGAAATCTTCAGAGCTATCCACATATCCACCTGCAGATTCTACAAAAGGAGTGTTTCCAAAATGCTGTATCAAAACCAAGGTTCAACTCTGTTAGTTGAGGACACACATCACAAATAAGTTTCTGAGAATGCTTCTGTCTAGATTTTATATGAAGATATCCCCTTTCCAACGAATCCCTCTAAGCTATCCAAATATCCACCTGCAGATTCTACAAAAAGAGTGTTTCCAAAATGCTGTATCAAAACAAAGTTTCAACTCTGTTAGTTGAGGACACACATCACAAATAAGTTTGAGGATGCTTCTGTCTAGTTTTTATTTGAAGATATTTCCTTTCTCACCATAGGCCTGAAAGCGCTTGAAATGTCCACTTCCAGATACTACAGAATGAGTGTTTCAAACCTGCTCTATCAAAGTGAATGTTCAATTCTGTGAGTTCAATGCAAACATCACAAAGAAGTTCCTGAGAATGCTTCTCTCTAGATTTTATATGTAATCCCGCTTCCAACGAAATCCTCAGAGCCATCCGAATATCCACTTTCTGATTCCACAAAAAGAGTGTTTTAAAACGGCTCTGTAAAAACAAAAGTTCAACTCTGTTAGTTGAATACACACATCACAAACAAGTTTCTGAGAATGCTTCTGTCTAGTTTTTATGGGAAGATATTTCCTTTTTCACCATAGGCCTCACAGCGCTCGAAATGTCCACTTCCAGATAGTGCAGAAAGAGTGTTTCAAACGTGCTCTATAAAAGGGAATATTCAACTCTGTGACTTGAATGGAAACATCACAAAGCAGTTTCTGAGAATGCTTCCCTCTAGATTTTATATGGAGATATTCCGTTTTCGAACGAAATCTTCAAATCTATCTAAATATCAACTTGCAGATTCTACTCAAGGAATGTTTCCAAAATGCTGTATGCAAGCAATGGTTCAACTCTGTTAATTGAGGTCATACAGCACAAAGAAGTTTCTGAGAATGCTTCTGTCTAGATTTTATATGAAGATATCCCGTTTCCAATGAAATCCTCAAAGCTATCCAAATATCCACTTGCAGATTCTACAAAAAGATTGTTTCAAAACTGCTGTGTCAAAAGGAAGGTTCAACTCTCTTACTTGAGTACACACATCAAAAAGAAGTTTCTGAGAATGCTTGTTTCTGGTTTTTATGAGAAGATATTTCCTTTTTCACCATAGGCCTCAAAGCGCTGCAAATGTCCACTTCCAAATATTACAAAAAGAGTGTTTCAAACCTGCTCTATGAAAGGAAGTTTTCAACTCTATGAGTGGAATGCAAACATCACAGAGAAGTTTCTGAGAATGCATCTGTCTTGAGCTTCTATGAAGAAATTCCCGTTTCCAACGAAATCTTAAAATCTATCCAAATATCCACCTGCAGATCCTACAAAAGGAGTGTTTCCAAAATGCTGTATCAAAACAAAGGTTCAACTGTGTTCGTTTAGGACACACATCACAAATAAGTTTCTGAGAATCCTTCTGTCTAGTTTTTATTTGAAGATATTTCCTTTCTCCCCATAGGCCTGAAAGCGCTTGAAATGTCCACTTCCAGATACTACAGAAAGAGTGTTTCAAACCTGCACTATGAAAAGGAATGTTCAATTCTGTGACTTCAATGCAAACATCAGAAAGAAGTTCCTGAGAATGCTTCTCTCTAGATTTTTTACGTCATCCCGTTTCCAACGAAATCCACAAAGCTACCCAATTATCCACTTTCAGATTCCACAAAAAGAGTGTTTTAAAACTGCTCTGTAACAGAAATCTTCAGCTCTGTTAGTTGAATACACACATCACAAACAAGTTTCTGAGACGGCTTCTGTCTAGTTTTTATGGGAAGATATTTCCTTTTAACCATAGGCCTCAAAGAGCTTGAAATATCCACTTCCAGGTAGTGCCGAAAGAGTGTTTCAAACCTACACTATAAAAGGGAATATTCAACTCTGTGACTTGAATGCAAACATCACAAAGCAGTTTATGAGAATGCTTCCGTCTAGATTTTCTATGAAGATATTCCCGTTTCCAACGAAATCTTCAAAGCTATCTAAATATCAACTTGCAGATTCTACTAAAGGAATGTCTCCAAAATGCTGTATCCAAACAAAGGTTCAGCTCTGTGAATTGAGGACATACAGCACAAAGAAGTTTCTGAGAATGCTCCTGTCTGGATTTTATATGAAGATAACCCGTTTCCAACGAAATCCTCAAAGCTATCCAAATATCCACTTGCAGATTCTACCAAAAGAGTGTTTCAAAACTGCTCTGTCAAAAGGAAGGTTCAACACTGTTACTTGAGTACACACAACACAAAGAAGTTTCTGAGAATGCTTCTTTCTGGTTTTTATGAGAAGATATTTCCTTTTTCACCATAGGCCTCAAAGCGCTCGAAATGTCCGCTTCCAGGTAGTGCAGAAAGAGTGTTTCAAACCTGCTCTATGAAAGGAAGTGTTCAACTCTACTGAGTTGAATGCAAACATCACAGAGATGTTTCCGAGAATGCTTCTGTCTTGATTTTATACGAAGATATTCCGGTTTCCAACGAAATCTTCAAAGCTATCCAAATACACACCTGCAGATTCTACAAAAGGAGTGTTTCCAAAATGCTGTATCAAAACAAAGGTTCAACTCTGTTAGTTGAGGACACACATCACAAATAAGTTTCTGATAATGCTTCTGTCTAGTTTTTATTTGAAGGTATTTCCTTTCTCTCCATAGGCCTGAAAGCGCTTGAAATGTCCACTTCCAGATACTAGAGAAAGAGTGTTTCAAACCTGCTCTATGAAAGGGAATGTTCAATTCTGTGACTTGAATGCAAACATCACAAAGAAGTTCCTGAGAATGCTTCTGTCTAGATTTAATATGAATATAACCCGTTTCCAACGAAATCCTCAAAGCTATCCAAATATCCACTTGCAGATTCTACAAAAAGACTGTTTCAAAACTGCTCTGTCAAAAGGATGGTTCAACACTGTTACATGAGTACACACAACACAAAGAAGTTTCTGAGAATGCTTCTTTCTGGTTTCTATGAGAAGATATTTCCTTTTTCACCATAGGACTCAAAGCGCTCGAAATGTCCTCTTCCAGGTAGTGCAGAAAGAGTGTTTCAAACCGGCTCTATGAAGGGAAGTGTTCAACTCCATGAACTGAATGCAAACATCACTGAGAAGTTTCTGAGAATGCTTCTGTTTGATTTTATATGAAGAAATTCCCGTTTCCAACGAAATCTTCAGAGCTATCCACATATCCACCTGCAGATTCTACAAAAGGAGTGTTTCCAAAATGCTGTATCAAAACCAAAGTTCAACTCTGTTAGTTGAGGACACACATCACAAATAAGTTTCTGAGAATGCTTCTGTCTAGATTCTATATGAAGATATCCCCTTTCCAACGAATCCCTCTAAGCTATCCAAATATCCACCTGCAGATTCTACAAAAAGAGTGTTTCCAAAATGCTGTATCAAAACAAAGTTTCAACTCTGTTAGTTGAGGACACACATCACAAATAAGTTTGAGGATGCTTCTGTCTAGTTTTTATTCGAAGATATTTCCTTTCTCACCATAGGCCTGAAAGCGCTTGAAATGTCCACTTCCAGATACTACAGAATGAGTGTTTCAAACCTGCTCTATCAAAGTGAATGTTCAATTCTGTGACTTCAATGCAAACATCACAAAGAAGTTCCTGAGAATGCTTCTCTCTAGATTTTAAATGTAATCCCGCTTCCAACGAAATCCTCAAAGCCATCCGAATATCCACTTTCTGATTCCACAAAAAGATTGTTTTAAAACTGCTCTGTAAAAACAAAAGTTCAAGTCTGTTAGTTGAATACACACATCACAAACAAGTTTCTGAGAATGCTTCTGTCTAGTTTTTATGGGAAGATACTTCCTTTTTCACCATAGGCCTCAAAGCGCTCGAAATGTCCACTTCCAGATAGTGCAGAAAGAGTGTTTCAAACGTGCTCTATAAAAGAGAATATTCAACTCTGTGACTTGAATGGAAACATCACAAAGCAGTTTCTGAGAATGCCTCCCTCTAGGATTTTATATGGAGATATTCCCTTTTCCAACGAAATCTTCAAATCTATCTAAATATCAACTTGCAGATTCTACTCAAGGAATGTTTCCAAAATGCTGTATCCAGGCAATGGTTCAACTCTGTTAATTGAGGACATACAGCACAAAGAAGTTTCTGAGAATGCTTCTGTCTAGATTTTATATGAAGATATCCCGTTTCCAACGAAATCCTCAAAGCTATCCAAATATCCACTTGCAGATTCTACAAAAAGATGGTTTCAAAACTGCTGTGTCAAAAGGAAGGTTCAACTCTGTTACTTGAGTACACACATCAAAAAGAAGTTTCTGAGAATGCTTGTTTCTGGTTTTTATGAGAAGATATTTCCTTTTTCACCATAGGCCTCAAAGCGCTGCAAATGTCCACTTCCACATATTACAAAAAGAGTGTTTCAAACCTGCTCTATGAAAGGAAGTTTTCAACTCTATGAGTGGAATGCAAACATCACAGAGAAGTTTCTGAGAATGCATCTGTCTTGAGTTTCTATGCAGAAATTCCCGTTTCCAACGAAATCTTAAAATCTATCCAAATATCCACCTGCAGATCCTACAAAAGGAGTGTTTCCAAAATGCTGTATCAAAACAAAGGTTCAACTGTGTTCGTTTAGGACACACATCACAAATAAGTTTCTGAGAATCCTTCTGTCTAGTTTTTATTTGAAGATATTTCCTTTCTCCCCGTAGGCCTGAAAGCGCTTGAAATGTCCACTTCCAGATACTACAGAAAGAGTGTTTCAAACCTGCACTCTGAAAAGGAATGTTCAATTCTGTGACTTGAATGCAAACATCAGAAAGAAGTTCCTGAGAATGCTTCTCTCTAGATTTTATACGTCATCCCGTTTCCAACGAAATCCACAAAGCTATCCAATTATCCACTTTCAGATTCCACAGAAAGAGTGTTTTAAAATTGCTCTGTAACAGAAATGTTCAACTCTGGTAGTTGAATACACACATCACAAACAAGTTTCTGAGACGGCTTCTGTCTAGTTTTTATGGGAAGATATTTCCTTTTAACCATAGGCCTCAAAGAGCTCGAAATATCCACTTCCAGGTAGTGCCGAAAGAGTGTTTCAAACCTACTCTATAAAAGGGAATATTCAACTCTGTGACTTGAATGCAAACATCACAAAGCAGTTTCTGAGAATGCTTCCGTCTAGATTTTCTATGAAGATATTCCCGTTTCCAACGAAATCTTCAAAGCTATCTAAATATCAACTTGCAGATTCTACTAAAGGAATGTCTCCAAAATGCTGTATCCAAACAAAGGTTCAGCTCTGTGAATTGAGGACATACAGCACAAAGAAGTTTCTGAGAATGCTCCTGTCTGGATTTTATAGGAAGATAACCCGTTTCCAACGAAATCCTCAAAGCTATCCAAATATCCACTTGCAGATTCTACCAAAAGAGTGTTTCAAAACTGCTCTGTCAAAAGGAAGGTTCAACACTGTTACTTGAGTACACACAACACAAAGAAGTTTCTGAGAATGCTTCTTTCTGGTTTTTATGAGAAGATATTTCCTTTTTCAACATAGGCCTCAAAGCGCTCGAAATGTCCGCTTCCAGATAGTGCAGAAAGAGTGTTTCAAACCTGCTCTATGAAAGGAAGTGTTCAACTCTACTGAGTTGAATGCAAACATCACAGAGATGTTTCCGAGAATGATTCTGTCTTGATTTTATATGAAGATATTCCGGTTTCCAACGAAATCTTCAAAGCTATCCAAATATCCACCTGCAGATTCTACAAAAGGAGTGTTTCCAAAATGCTGTATCAAAACAAAGGTTCAACTCTGTTAGTTGAGGACACACATCACAAATAAGTTTCTGAGAATGCTTCTGTCTAGTTTTTATTTGAAGGTATTTCCTTTCTCTCCATAGGCCTGAAAGCGCTTGAAATGCCCACTTCCAGATACTAGAGAAAGAGTGTTTCAAACCTGCTCTATGAAAGGGAATGTTCAATTCTGTGACTTGAATGCAAACATCACAAAGAAGTTCCTGAGAATGCTTCTCTCTAGATATTATATGTCATCCCGTTTCCAACGAAATCCTCAAAGCTATCCAAATATCCACTTGCAGATTCTACAAAAAGAGTGTTTCAAAACTGCTCTGTCAAAAGGATGGTTCAACACTGTTACATGAGTACACACAACACAAAGAAGTTTCTGAGAATGCTTCTTTCTGGTTTCTATGAGAAGATATTTCCTTTTTCACCATAGGACTCAAAGCGCTCGAAATGTCCTCTTCCAGGTAGTGCAGAAAGAGTGTTTCAAACCGGCTCTATGAAAGGAAGTGTTCAACTCCATGAACTGAATGCAAACATCACTGAGAAGTTTCTGAGAATGCTTCTGTTTGATTTTATATGAAGAAATTCCCGTTTCCAACGAAATCTTCAGAGCTATCCACATATCCACCTGCAGATTCTACAAAAGGAGTGTTTCCAAAATGCTGTATCAAAACCAAAGTTCAACTCTGTTAGTTGAGGACACACATCACAAATAAGTTTCTGAGAATGCTTCTGTCTAGATTCTATATGAAGATATCCCCTTTCCAACGAATCCCTCTAAGCTATCCAAATATCCACCTGCAGATTCTACAAAAAGAGTGTTTCCAAAATGCTGTATCAAAACAAAGTTTCAACTCTGTTAGTTGAGGACACACATCACAAATAAGTTTGAGGATGCTTCTGTCTAGTTTTTATTCGAAGATATTTCCTTTCTCACCATAGGCCTGAAAGCGCTTGAAATGTCCACTTCCAGATACTACAGAATGAGTGTTTCAAACCTGCTCTATCAAAGTGAATGTTCAATTCTGTGACTTCAATGCAAACATCACAAAGAAGTTCCTGAGAATGCTTCTCTCTAGATTTTATATGTAATCCCGCTTCCAACGAAATCCTCAGAGCCATCCGAATATCCACTTTCTGATTCCACAAAAAGAGTGTTTTAAAACGGCTCTGTAAAAACAAAAGTTCAACTCTGTTAGTTGAATACACACATCACAAACAAGTTTCTGAGAATGCTTCTGTCTAGTTTTTATGGGAAGATATTTCCTTTTTCACCATAGGCCTCAAAGCGCTCGAAATGTCCACTTCCAGATAGCGCAGAAAGAGTGTTTCAAACGTGCTCTATAAAAGGGAATATTCAACTCTGTGACTTGAATGGAAACATCACAAAGCAGTTTCTGAGAATGCTTCCCTCTAGATTTTATATGGAGATATTCCGTTTTCGAACGAAATCTTCAAATCTATCTAAATATCAACTTGCAGATTCTACTCAAGGAATGTTTCCAAAATGCTGTATGCAAGCAATGGTTCAACTCTGTTAATTGAGGTCATACAGCACAAAGAAGTTTCTGAGAATGCTTCTGTCTAGATTTTATATGAAGATATCCCGTTTCCAACGAAATCCTCAAAGCTATCCAAATATCCACTTGCAGATTCTACAAAAAGATTGTTTCAAAACTGCTGTGTCAAAAGGAAGGTTCAACTCTGTTACTTGAGTACACACATCAAAAAGAAGTTTCTGAGAATGCTTGTTTCTGGTTTTTATGAGAAGATATTTCCTTTTTCACCATAGGCCTCAAAGCGCTGCAAATGTCCACTTCCAAATATTACAGAAAGAGTGTTTCAAACCTGCTCTATGAAAGGAAGTTTTCAACTCTATGAGTGGAATGCAAACATCACAGAGAAGTTTCTGAGAATGCATCCGTCTTGAGTTTCTATGAAGAAATTCCCGTTTCCAACGAAATCTTAAAATATATCCAAATATCCACCTGCAGATTCTACAAAAGGAGTGTTTCCAAAATGCTGTATCAAAACAAAGGTTCAACTGTGTTCGTTTAGGACACACATCACAAATAAGTTTCTGAGAAGCCTTCTGTCTAGTTTTTATTTGAAGATATTTCCTTTCTCCCCATAGGCCTGAAAGTGCTTGAAATGTCCACTTCCAGATAGTACAGAAAGAGTGTTTCAAACCTGCACTATGAAAAGGAATGTTCAATTCTGTGACTTGAATGGAAACATCAGAAAGAAGTTCCTGAGAATGCTTCTCTCTAGATTTTAAACGTAATCCCGTTTCCAACGAAATCCACAAAGCTATCCAATTATCCACTTTCAGATTCCACAAAAAGAGTGTTTTAAAACTGCTCTGTAAAAGGAAATGTTCAACGCTCTTAGTTGAATACACACATCTCAAACAAGTTTCTGAGAAGGCTTCCGTCTAGTTTTTATGGGAAGATATTTCCTTTTTC
Organism: Homo sapiens; assembly: GCF_000001405.40. Taxonomy (NCBI): domain Eukaryota; kingdom Metazoa; phylum Chordata; class Mammalia; order Primates; family Hominidae; genus Homo; species Homo sapiens. The sequence goes on along the minus strand of NC_000004.12, from coordinate 51,194,379 downwards.
ACCATAGGCCTCAAAGCGCTCGAAATCTCCACTTCCAGGGAGTGCAGAAAGAGTGTTTCAAACCTGCTCTATAAAAGAATATTTAACTCTGTGACTTGAATGCAAACATCACAAAGCAGTTTCTGACAATGCATCCCTCTAGATTTTATATGGAGATATTCCCTTTTCCAACGAAATCTTCAAATCTATCTAAATATCAACTTGCAGATTCTACTCAAGGAATGTTTCCAAAATGCTGTATGCAAGCAATGGTTCAACTCTGTTAATTGAGGTCATACAGCACAAAGAAGTTTCTGAGAATGCTTCTGTCTAGATTTTATATGAAGATATCCCGTTTCCAACGAAATCCTCAAAGCTATCCAAATATCCACTTGCAGATTCTACAAAAAGATTGTTTCAAAACTGCTGTGTCAAAAGGAAGGTTCAACTCTGTTACTTGAGTACACACATCAAAAAGAAGTTTCTGAGAATGCTTGTTTCTGGTTTTTATCAGAAGATATTTCCTTTTTCACCATAGGCCTCAAAGCGCTGCAAATGTCCACTTCCAAATATTACAAAAAGAGTGTTTCAAACCTGCTCTATGAAAGGAAGTTTTCAACTCTATGAGTGGAATGCAAACATCACAGAGAAGTTTCTGAGAATGCATCTGTCTTGAGCTTCTATGAAGAAATTCCCGTTTCCAACGAAATCTTAAAATCTATCCAAATATCCACCTGCAGATCCTACAAAAGGAGTGTTTCCAAAATGCTGTATCAAAACAAAGGTTCAACTGTGTTCGTTTAGGACACACATCACAAATAAGTTTCTGAGAATCCTTCTGTCTAGTTTTTATTTGAAGATATTTCCTTTCTCCCCACAGGCCTGAAAGCGCTTGAAATGTCCACTTCCAGATACTACAGAAAGAGTGTTTCAAACCTGCACTATGAAAAGGAATGTTCAATTCTGTGACTTGAATGCAAACATCAGAAAGAAGTTCCTGAGAATGCTTCTCTCTAGATTTTATACGTCATCCCGTTTCCAACGAAATCCACAAAGCTATCCAATTATCCACTTTCAGATTCCACAAAGAGTGTTTTAAAATTGCTCTGTAACAGAAATGTTCAACTCTGTTAGTTGAATACACACATCACAAACAAGTTTCTGAGACGGCTTCTGTCTAGTTTTTATGGGAAGATATTTCCTTTTAACCATAGGCCTCAAAGAGCTCGAAATATCCACTTCCAGGAAGTGCCGAAAGAGTGTTTCAAACCTACTCTATAAAAGGGAATATTCAACTCTGTGACTTGAATGCAAACATCACAAAGCAGTTTCTGAGAATGCTTCCGTCTAGATTTTTTATGAAGATATTTCCGTTTCCAACGAAATCTTCAAAGCTATCTAAATATCAACTTGCAGATTCTACTAAAGGAATGTTTCCAAAATGCTGTATCCAAACAAAGGTTCAACTCTGTGAATTGAGGACATACAGCACAAAGAAGTTTCTGAGAATGCTCCTGTCTGGATTTTATAGGAAGATAACCCGTTTCCAACGAAATCCTCAAAGCTATCCAAATATCCACTTGCAGATTCTACCAAAAGAGTGTTTCAAAACTACTCTGTCAAAAGGAAGGTTCAACACTGTTACTTGAGTACACACAACACAAAGAAGTTTCTGAGAATGCTTCTTTCTGGTTTTTATGAGAAGATATTTCCTTTTTCACCATAGGCCTCAAAGCGCTCGAAATGTCCGCTTCCAGGTAGTGCAGAAAGAGTGTTTCAAACCTGCTCTATGAAAGGAAGTGTTCAACTCTACTGAGTTGAATGCAAACATCACAGAGATGTTTCCGAGAATGCTTCTGTCTTGATTTTATACGAAGATATTCCGGTTTCCAACGAAATCTTCAAAGCTATCCAAATACACACCTGCAGATTCTACAAAAGGAGTGTTTCCAAAATGCTGTATCAAAACAAAGGTTCAACTCTGTTAGTTGAGGACACACATCACAAATAAGTTTCTGATAATGCTTCTGTCTAGTTTTTATTTGAAGGTATTTCCTTTCTCTCCATAGGCCTGAAAGCGCTTGAAATGCCCACTTCCAGATACTAGAGAAAGAGTGTTTCAAACCTGCTCTATGAAAGGGAATGTTCAATTCTGTGACTTGAATGCAAACATCACAAAGAAGTTCCTGAGAATGCTTCTCTCTAGATATTATATGTCATCCCGTTTCCAACGAAATCCTCAAAGCTATCCAAATATCCACTTGCAGATTCTACAAAAAGAGTGTTTCAAAACTGCTCTGTCAAAAGGATGGTTCAACACTGTTACATGAGTACACACAACACAAAGAAGTTTCTGAGAATGCTTCTTTCTGGTTTCTATGAGAAGATATTTCCTTTTTCACCATAGGACTCAAAGCGCTCGAAATGTCCTCTTCCAGGTAGTGCAGAAAGAGTGTTTCAAACCGGCTCTATGAAAGGAAGTGTTCAACTCCATGAACTGAATGCAAACATCACTGAGAAGTTTCTGAGAATGCTTCTGTTTGATTTTCTATGAAGAAATTCCCGTTTCCAACGAAATCTTCAGAGCTATCCACATATCCACCTGCAGATTCTACAAAAGGAGTGTTTCCAAAATGCTGTATCAAAACCAAAGTTCAACTCTGTTAGTTGAGGACACACATCACAAATAAGTTTCTGAGAATGCTTCTGTCTAGATTCTATATGAAGATATCCCCTTTCCAACGAATCCCTCTAAGCTATCCAAATATCCACCTGCAGATTCTACAAAAAGAGTGTTTCCAAAATGCTGTATCAAAACAAAGTTTCAACTCTGTTAGTTGAGGACACACATCACAAATAAGTTTGAGGATGCTTCTGTCTAGTTTTTATTCGAAGATATTTCCTTTCTCACCATAGGCCTGAAAGCGCTTGAAATGTCCACTTCCAGATCCTACAGAATGAGTGTTTCAAACCTGCTCTATCAAAGTGAATGTTCAATTCTGTGACTTCAATGCAAACATCACAAAGAAAGTTCCTGAGAATGCTTCTCTCTAGATTTTATATGTAATCCCGCTTCCAACGAAATCCTCAGAGCCATCCGAATATCCACTTTCTGATTCCACAAAAAGAGTGTTTTAAAACGGCTCTGTAAAAACAAAAGTTCAACTCTGTTAGTTGAATACACACATCACAAACAAGTTTCTGAGAATGCTTCCGTCTAGTTTTTATGGGAAGATATTTCCTTTTTCACCATAGGCCTCAAAGCGCTCGAAATCGCCACTTCCAGGGAGTGCAGAAAGAGTGTTTCAAACCTGCTCTGTAAAAGAATATTTAACTCTGTGACTTGAATGCAAACATCACAGAGCAGTTTCTGACAATGCTTCCGTCTAGATTTTTTATGAAGATATTCCCGTTTCCAACGAAATCTTCAAAGCTATCTAAATATCAACTTGCAGATTCTACTAAAGGAATGTTTCCAAAATGCTGTATCCAAACAAAGGTTCAACTCTGTGAATTGAGGACATACAGCACAAAGAAGTTTCTGAGAATGCTCCTGTCTGGATTTTATAGGAAGATAACCCGTTTCCAACGAAATCCTCAAAGCTATCCAAATATCCACTTGCAGATTCTACCAAAAGAGTGTTTCAAAACTACTCTGTCAAAAGGAAGGTTCAACACTGTTACTTGAGTACACACAACACAAAGAAGTTTCTGAGAATGCTTCTTTCTGGTTTTTATGAGAAGATATTTCCTTTTTCACCATAGGCCTCAAAGCGCTCGAAATGTCCGCTTCCAGGTAGGGCAGAAAGAGTGTTTCAAACCTGCTCTATGAAAGGAAGTGTTCAACTCTACTGAGTTGAATGCAAACATCACAGAGATGTTTCCGAGAATGCTTCTGTCTTGATTTTATATGAAGATATTCCGGTTTCCAACGAAATCTTCAAAGCTATCCAAATATCCACCTGCAGATTCTACAAAAGGAGTGTTTCCAAAATGCTGTATCAAAACAAAGGTTCAACTCTGTTAGTTGAGGACACACATCACAAATAAGTTTCTGAGAATGCTTCCTGTCTAGTTTTTATTTGAAGGTATTTCCTTTCTCTCCATAGGCCTGAAAGCGCTTGAAATGCCCACTTCCAGATACTAGAGAAAGAGTGTTTCAAACCTGCTCTATGAAAGGGAATGTTCAATTCTGTGACTTGAATGCAAACATCACAAAGAAGTTCCTGAGAATGCTTCTCTCTAGATATTATATGTCATCCCGTTTCCAACGAAATCCTCAAAGCTATCCAAATATCCACTTGCAGATTCTACAAAAAGAGTGTTTCAAAACTCCTCTGTCAAAAGGATGGTTCAACACTGTTACATGAGTACACACAACACAAAGAAGTTTCTGAGAATGCTTCTTTCTGGTTTCTATGAGAAGATATTTCCCTTTTCACCATAGGACTCAAAGCGCTCGAAATGTCCTCTTCCAGGTAGTGCAGAAAGAGTGTTTCAAACCTGCTCTATGAAAGGAAGTGTACAACTCCATGAGCTGAATGCAAACATCACTGAGAAGTTTCTGAGAATGCTTCTGTTTGATTTTATATGAAGAAATTCCCGTTTCCAACGAAATCTTCAGAGCTATCCACATATCCACCTGCAGATTCTACAAAAGGAGTGTTTCCAAAATGCTGTATCAAAACCAAAGTTCAACTCTGTTAGTTGAGGACACACATCACAAATAAGTTTCTGAGAATGCTTCTGTCTAGGATTTTATATGAAGATATCCCCTTTCCAACGAATCCCTCTAAGCTATCCAAATATCCACCTGCAGATTCTACAAAAAGAGTGTTTCCAAAATGCTGTATCAAAACAAAGTTTCAACTCTGTTAGTTGAGGACACACATCACAAATAAGTTTGAGGATGCTTCTGTCTAGTTTTTATTCGAAGATATTTCCTTTCTCACCATAGGCCTGAAAGCGCTTGAAATGTCCACTTCCAGATACTACAGAATGAGTGTTTCAAACCTGCTCTATCAAAGTGAATGTTCAATTCTGTGACTTCAATGCAAACATCACAAAGAAGTTCCTGAGAATGCTTCTCTCTAGATTTTATACGTAATCCCGCTTCCAACGAAATCCTCAGAGCCATCCGAATATCCACTTTCTGATTCCACAAAAAGAGTGTTTTAAAACGGCTCTGTAAAAACAAAAGTTCAACTCTGTTAGTTGAATACACACATCACAAACAAGTTTCTGAGAATGCTTCTGTCTAGTTTTTATGGGAAGATATTTCCTTTTTCACCATAGGCCTCAAAGCGCTCGAAATGTCCGCTTCCAGATAGTGCAGAAAGAGTGTTTCAAACGTGCTCTATAAAAGGGAATATTCAACTCTGTGACTTGAATGGAAACATCACAAAGCAGTTTCTGAGAATGCTTCCCTCTAGATTTTATATGGAGATATTCCGTTTTCGAACGAAATCTTCAAATCTATCTAAATATCAACTTGCAGATTCTACTCAAGGAATGTTTCCAAAATGCTGTATGCAAGCAATGGTTCAACTCTGTTAATTGAGGTCATACAGCACAAAGAAGTTTCTGAGAATGCTTCTGTCTAGATTTTATATGAAGATATCCCGTTTCCAACGAAATCCTCAAAGCTATCCAAATATCCACTTGCAGATTCTACAAAAAGATTGTTTCAAAACTGCTGTGTCAAAAGGGAAGGTTCAACTCTGTTACTTGAGTACACACATCAAAAAGAAGTTTCTGAGAATGCTTGTTTCTGGTTTTTATGAGAAGATATTTCCTTTTTCTCCATAGGCCTCAAAGCGCTGCAAATGTCCACTTCCAAATATTACAAAAAGAGTGTTTCAAACCTGCTCTATGAAAGGAAGTTTTCAACTCTATGAGTGGAATGAAAACATCACAGAGAAGTTTCGGAGAATGCATCTGTCTTGAGTTTATATGAAGAAATTCCCGTTTCCAACGAAATCTTAAAATCTATCCAAATATCCACCTGCAGATTCTACAAAGGGAGTGTTTCCAAAATGCTGTATCAAAACAAAGGTTCAACTGTGTTCGTTTAGGACACAAATCACCAATAAGTTTCTGAAAATCCTTCTGTCTAGTTTTTAATTTGAAGATATTTCCTTTCTCCCCATAGGCCTGAAAGCGCTTGAAATGTCCACTTCCAGATAGTACAGAAAGAGTGTTTCAAACCTGCACTATGAAAAGGAATGTTCAATTCTGTGACTTGAATGCAAACATCAGTAAGAAGTTTCTGAGAATGCTTCTCTCTAGATTTTATACGTAATCCCGTTTCCAAAGAAATCCACAAAGCTATCCAATTATCCACTTTCAGATTCCACAAAAAGAGTGTTTTAAAACTGCTCTGTAAAAAGAAATGTTCAACGCTCTTAGTTGAATACACACATCTCAAACAAGTTTCTGAGAAGGCTTCCGTCTAGTTTTTACGGGAAGATATTTCCTTTTTCACCATAGGCCTCAAAGCGCTCGAAATCTCCACTTCCAGGGAGTGCAGAAAGAGTGTTTCAAACCTGCTCTATAAAAGAATATTTAACTCTGTGAATTGAATGCAAACATCACAAAGCAGTTTCTGACAATGCATCCGTCTAGATTTTTTATGAAGATCTTCCCGTTTCCAACGAAATCTTCAAATCTATCTAAATATCAACTTGCAGATTCTACTAAAGGAATGTTTCCAAAATGCTGTATCCACACAAAGGTTCAACTCTGTGAATTGAGGACATACAGCACAAAGAAGTTTCTGAGAATGCTTCTGTCTAGATTTTATATGAAGATATCCCGTTTCCAACGAAATCCTCAAAGCTATCCAAATATCCACTTGCAGATTCTACAAAAAGATTGTTTCAAAACTGCTGTGTCAAAAGGAAGGTTCACCTCTGTTACTTGAGTACACACATCAAAAAGAAGTTTCTGAGAATGCTTGTTTCTGGTTTTTATGAGAAGATATTTCCTTTTTCACCATAGACCTCAAAGCGCTGCAAATGTCCACTTCCAAATATTACAAAAAGAGTGTTTCAAACCTGCTCTATGAAAGGAAGTTTTCAACTCTATGAGTGGAATGCAAACATCACAGAGAAGTTTCGGAGAATGCATCTGTCTTGAGTTTATATGAAGAAATTCCCGTTTCCAACGAAATCTTAAAATCTATCCAAATATCCACCTGCAGATTCTACAAAGGGAGTGTTTCCAAAATGCTGTATCAAAACAAAGGTTCAACTGTGTTCGTTTAGGACACAAATCACCAATAAGTTTCTGAAAATCCTTCTGTCTAGTTTTTATTTCAAGATATTTCCTTTCTCCCCATAGGCCTGAAAGCGCTTGAAATGTCCACTTCCAGATACTACAGAGTGTTTCAAACCTGCACTATGAAAAGGAATGTTCAATTCTGTGACTTGAATGCAAACATCAGAAAGAAGTTCCTGAGAATGCTTCTCTCTAGATTTTAAACGTAATCCCGTTTCCAACGAAATCCACAAAGCTATCCAATTATCCACTTTCAGATTGCACCAAAAGAGTGTTTTAAAACTGCTCTGTAAAAAGAAATGTTCAACGCTCTTAGTTGAATACACACATCTCAAACAAGTTTCTGAGAAGGCTTCTGTCTAGTTTTTATGGGAAGATATTTCCTTTTAACCATAGGCCTCAAAGAGCTCGAAATATCCACTTCCAGGTAGTGCCGAAAGAGTGTTTCAAACCTACTCTATAAAAGGGAATATTCAACTCTGTGACTTGAATGCAAACATCACAAAGCAGTTTCTGAGAATGCTTCCGTCTAGATTTTCTATGAAGATATTCCCGTTTCCAACGAAATCTTCAAAGCTATCTAAATATCAACTTGCAGATTCTACTAAAGGAATGTCTCCAAAATGCTGTATCCAAACAAAGGTTCAGCTCTGTGAATTGAGGACATACAGCACAAAGAAGTTTCTGAGAATGCTCCTGTCTGGATTTTATAGGAAGATAACCCGTTTCCAACGAAATCCTCAAAGCTCTCCAAATATCCACTTGCAGATTCTACCAAAAGAGTGTTTCAAAACTGCTCTGTCAAAAGGAAGGTTCAACACTGTTACTTGAGTACACACAACACAAAGAAGTTTCTGAGAATGCTTCTTTCTGGTTTTTATGAGAAGATATTTCCTTTTTCACCATAGGCCTCAAAGCGCTCGAAATGTCCGCTTCCAGGTAGTGCAGAAAGAGTGTTTCAAACCTGCTCTATGAAAGGAAGTGTTCAACTCTACTGAGTTGAATGCAAACATCACAGAGATGTTTCCGAGAATGCTTCTGTCTTGATTTTATATGAAGATATTCCGGTTTCCAACGAAATCTTCAAAGCTATCCAAATATCCACCTGCAGATTCTACAAAAGGAGTGTTTCCAAAATGCTGTATCAAAACAAAGGTTCAACTCTGTTAGTTGAGGACACACATCACAAATAAGTTTCTGAGAATGCTTCTGTCTAGTTTTTATTTGAAGGTATTTCCTTTCTCTCCATAGGCCTGAAAGCGCTTGAAATGTCCACTTCCAGATACTAGAGAAAGAGTGTTTCAAACCTGCTCTATGAAAGGGAACGTTCAATTCTGTGACTTGAATGCAAACATCACAAAGAAGTTCCTGAGAATGCTTCTCTCTAGATATTATATGTCATCCCGTTTCCAACGAAATCCTCAAAGCTATCCAAATATCCACTTGCAGATTCTACAAAAAGAGTGTTTCAAAACTGCTCTGTCAAAAGGATGGTTCAACACTGTTACATGAGTACACACAACACAAAGAAGTTTCTGAGAATGCTTCTTTCTGGTTTTTATGAGAAGATATTTCCTTTTTCACCATAGGACTTAAAGCGCTCGAAATGTCCTCTTCCAGGTAGTGCAGAAAGAGTGTTTCAAACCTGCTCTATGAAAGGAAGTGTTCAACTCCATGAGCTGAATGCAAACATCACTGAGAAGTTTCTGAGAATGCTTCTGTTTGATTTTATATGAAGAAATTCCCCTTTCCAACGAAATCTTCAAAGCTATCCACATATCCACCTGCAGATTCTACAAAAGGAGTGTTTCCAAAATGCTGTATCAAAACCAAGGTTCAACTTTGTTAGTTGAGGACACACATCACAAATAAGTTTCTGAGAATGCTTCTGTCTAGATTCTATATGAAGATATCCCCTTTCCAACGAATCCCTCTAAGCTATCCAAATATCCACCTGCAGATTCTACAAAAAGAGTGTTTCCAAAATGCTGTATCAAAACAAAGTTTCAACTCTGTTAGTTGAGGACACACATCACAAATAAGTTTGAGGATGCTTCTGTCTAGTTTTTATTCGAAGATATTTCCTTTCTCACCATAGGCCTGAAAGCGCTTGAAATGTCCACTTCCAGATACTACAGAATGAGTGTTTCAAACCTGCTCTATCAAAGTGAATGTTCAATTCTGTGAGTTCAATGCAAACATCACAAAGAAGTTCCTGAGAATGCTTCTCTCTAGATTTTATATGTAATCCCGCTTCCAACGAAATCCTCAGAGCCATCCGAATATCCACTTTCTGATTCCACAAAAAGAGTGTTTTAAAACGGCTCTGTAAAAACAAAAGTTCAACTCTGTTAGTTGAATACACACATCACAAACAAGTTTCTGAGAATGCTTCTGTCTAGTTTTTATGGGAAGATATTTCCTTTTTCACCATAGGCCTCACAGCGCTCGAAATGTCCACTTCCAGATAGTGCAGAAAGAGTGTTTCAAACGTGCTCTATAAAAGAGAATATTCAACTCTGTGACTTGAATGGAAACATCACAAAGCAGTTTCTGAGAATGCCTCCGTCTAGATTTTATATGAAGATATTCCCGTTTCCAACGAAATCTTCAAATCTATCTAAATATCAACTTGCAGATTCTACTAAAGGAATGTTTCCAAAATGCTGTATCCAAGCAATGGTTCAACTCTGTTAATTGAGGACATACAGCACAAAGAAGTTTCGGAGAATGCTTCTGTCTAGATTTTATATGAAGATATCCCGTTTCCAACGAAATCCTCAAAGCTATCCAAATATCCACTTGCAGATTCTACAAAAAGATTGTTTCAAAACTGCTGTGTCAAAAGGAAGGTTCAACTCTGTTACTTGAGTACACACATCAAAAAGAAGTTTCTGAGAATGCTTGTTTCTGGTTTTTATCAGAAGATATTTCCTTTTTCACCATAGGCCTCAAAGCGCTGCAAATGTCCACTTCCAAATATTACAAAAAGAGTGTTTCAAACCTGCTCTATGAAAGGAAGTTTTCAACTCTATGAGTGGAATGCAAACATCACAGAGAAGTTTCTGAGAATGCATCTGTCTTGAGCGTCTATGAAGAAATTCCCGTTTCCAACGAAATCTTAAAATCTATCCAAATATCCACCTGCAGATCCTACAAAAGGAGTGTTTCCAAAATGCTGTATCAAAACAAAGGTTCAACTGTGTTCGTTTAGGACACACATCACAAATAAGTTTCTGAGAATCCTTCTGTCTAGTTTTTATTTGAAGATATTTCCTTTCTCCCCGTAGGCCTGAAAGCGCTTGAAATGTCCACTTCCAGATACTACAGAAAGAGTGTTTCAAACCTGCACTCTGAAAAGGAATGTTCAATTCTGTGACTTGAATGCAAACATCAGAAAGAAGTTCCTGAGAATGCTTCTCTCTAGATTTTATACGTCATCCCGTTTCCAACGAAATCCACAAAGCTATCCAATTATCCACTTTCAGATTCCACAAAAAGAGTGTTTTAAAATTGCTCTGTAACAGAAATGTTCAACTCTGTTAGTTGAATACACACATCACAAACAAGTTTCTGAGACGGCTTCTGTCTAGTTTTTATGGGAAGATATTTCCTTTTAACCATAGGCCTCAAAGAGCTCGAAATATCCACTTCCAGGTAGTGCCGAAAGAGTGTTTCAAACCTACTCTATAAAAGGGAATATTCAACTCTGTGACTTGAATGCAAACATCACAAAGCAGTTTCTGAGAATGCTTCCGTCTAGGATTTTCTATGAAGATATTCCCGTTTCCATCGAAATCTTCAAAGCTATCTAAATATCAACTTGCAGATTCTACTAAAGGAATGTCTCCAAAATGCTGTATCCAAACAAAGGTTCAGCTCTGTGAATTGAGGACATACAGCACAAAGAAGTTTCTGAGAATGCTCCTGTCTGGATTTTATATGAAGATAACCCGTTTCCAACGAAATCCTCAAAGCTATCCAAATATCCACTTGCAGATTCTACCAAAAGAGTGTTTCAAAACTGCTCTGTCAAAAGGAAGGTTCAACACTGTTACTTGAGTACACACAACACAAAGAAGTTTCTGAGAATGCTTCTTTCTGGTTTTTATGAGAAGATATTTCCTTTTTCACCATAGGCCTCAAAGCGCTCGAAATGTCCGCTTCCAGGTAGTGCAGAAAGAGTGTTTCAAACCTGCTCTATGAAAGGAAGTGTTCAACTCTACTGAGTTGAATGCAAACATCACAGAGATGTTTCCGAGAATGCTTCTGTCTTGATTTTATATGAAGATATTCCGGTTTCCAACGAAATCTTCAAAGCTATCCAAATATCCACCTGCAGATTCTACAAAAGGAGTGTTTCCAAAATGCTGTATCAAAACAAAGGTTCAACTCTGTTAGTTGAGGACACACATCACAAATAAGTTTACTGAGAATGCTTTCTGTCTAGTTTTTATTTGAAGGTATTTCCTTTCTCTCCATAGGCCTGAAAGCGCTTGAAATGCCCACTTCCAGATACTAGAGAAAGAGTGTTTCAAACCTGCTCTATGAAAGGGAATGTTCAATTCTGTGACTTGAATGCAAACATCACAAAGAAGTTCCTGAGAATGCTTCTCTCTAGATATTATATGTCATCCCGTTTCCAACGAAATCCTCAAAGCTATCCAAATATCCACTTGCAGATTCTACAAAAAGAGTGTTTCAAAACTGCTCTGTCAAAAGAATGGTTCAACACTGTTACATGAGTACACACAACACAAAGAAGTTTCTGAGAATGCTTCTTTCTGGTTTCTATGAGAAGATATTTCCTTTTTCACCATAGGACTCAAAGCGCTCGAAATGTCCTCTTCCAGGTAGTGCAGAAAGAGTGTTTCAAACCGGCTCTATGAAAGGAAGTGTTCAACTCCATGAACTGAATGCAAACATCACTGAGAAGTTTCTGAGAATGCTTCTGTTTGATTTTATATGAAGAAATTCCCGTTTCCAACGAAATCTTCAGAGCTATCCACATATCCACCTGCAGATTCTACAAAAGGAGTGTTTCCAAAATGCTGTATCAAAACCAAGGTTCAACTCTGTTAGTTGAGGACACACATCACAAATAAGTTTCTGAGAATGCTTCTGTCTAGATTTTATATGAAGATATCCCCTTTCCAACGAATCCCTCTAAGCTATCCAAATATCCACCTGCAGATTCTACAAAAAGAGTGTTTCCAAAATGCTGTATCAAAACAAAGTTTCAACTCTGTTAGTTGAGGACACACATCACAAATAAGTTTCTGAGGATGCTTCTGTCTAGTTTTTATTCGAAGATATTTCCTTTCTCACCATAGGCCTGAAAGCGCTTGAAATGTCCACTTCCAGATACTACAGAATGAGTGTTTCAAACCTGCTCTATCAAAGTGAATGTTCAATTCTGTGACTTCAATGCAAACATCACAAAGAAGTTCCTGAGAATGCTTCTCTCTAGATTTTATACGTAATCCCGCTTCCAACGAAATCCTCAGAGCCATCCGAATATCCACTTTCTGATTCCACAAAAAGAGTGTTTTAAAACGGCTCTGTAAAAACAAAAGTTCAACTCTGTTAGTTGAATACACACATCACAAACAAGTTTCTGAGAATGCTTCTGTCTAGTTTTTATGGGAAGATATTTCCTTTTTCACCATAGGCCTCAAAGCGCTCGAAATGTCCGCTTCCAGATAGTGCAGAAAGAGTGTTTCAAACGTGCTCTATAAAAGGGAATATTCAACTCTGTGACTTGAATGGAAACATCACAAAGCAGTTTCTGAGAATGCTTCCCTCTAGATTTTATATGGAGATATTCCCTTTTCCAACGAAATCTTCAAATCTATCTAAATATCAACTTGCAGATTCTACTCAAGGAATGTTTCCAAAATGCTGTATCCAAGCAATGGTTCAACTCTGTTAATTGAGGACATACAGCACAAAGAAGTTTCTGAGAATGCTTCTGTCTAGATTTTATATGAAGATATCCCGTTTCCAACGAAATCATCAAAGCTATCCAAATGTCCACTTGCAGATTCTACAAAAAGATTGTTTCAAAACTGCTGTGTCAAAAGGAAGGTTCAACTCTGATATTTGAGTACACACATCAAAAAGAAGTTTCTGAGAATGCTTGTTTCTGGTTTTTATGAGAAGATATTTCCTTTTTCACCATAGGCCTCAAAGCGCTGCAAATGTCCACTTCCAAATATTACAAAAAGAGTGTTTCAAACCTGCTCTATGAAAGGAAGTTTTCAACTCTATGAGTGGAATGCAAACATCACAGAGAAGTTTCTGAGAATGCATCTGTCTTGAGTTTATATGAAGAAATTCCCGTTTCCAACGAAATCTTAAAATCTATCCAAATATCCACCTGCAGATTCTACAAAGGGAGTGTTTCCAAAATGCTGTATCAAAACAAAGGTTCAACTGTGTTCGTTTAGGACACACATCACCAATAAGTTTCTGAGAATCCTTCTCTCTAGTTTTTATTTGAAGATATTTCCTTTCTCCCCGTAGGCCTGAAAGCGCTTGAAATGTCCACTTCCAGATACTACAGAAAGAGTGTTTCAAACCTGCACTCTGAAAAGGAATGTTCAATTCTGTGACTTGAATGCAAACATCAGAAAGAAGTTCCTGAGAATGCTTCTCTCTAGATTTTATACGTCATCCCGTTTCTAACGAAATCCACAAAGCTACCCAAATATCCACTTTCAGATTCCACAAAAAGAGTGTTTTAAAATTGCTCTGTAACAGAAATGTTCAACTCTGTTAGTTGAATACACACATCACAAACAAGTTTCTGAGACGGCTTCTGTCTAGTTTTTATGGGAAGATATTTCCTTTTAACCATAGGCCTCAAAGAGCTCGAAATATCCACTTCCAGGTAGTGCCGAAAGAGTGTTTCAAACCTACTCTATAAAAGAGAATATTCAACTCTGTGACTTGAATGCAAACATCACAAAGCAGTTTCTGAGAATGCTTCCGTCTAGATTTTCTATGAAGATATTCCCGTTTCCAACGAAATCTTCAAAGCTATCTAAATATCAACTTGCAGATTCTACTAAAGGAATGTCTCCAAAATGCTGTATCCAAACAAAGGTTCAGCTCTGTGAATTGAGGACATACAGCACAAAGAAGTTTCTGAGAATGCTTCCTGTCTGGATTTTATATGAAGATAACCCGTTTCCAACGAAATCCTCAAAGCTATCCAAATATCCACTTGCAGATTCTACCAAAAGAGTGTTTCAAAACTGCTCTGTCAAAAGGAAGGTTCAACACTGTTACTTGAGTACACACAACACAAAGAAGTTTCTGAGAATGCTTCTTTCTGGTTTTTATGAGAAGATATTTCCTTTTTCACCATAGGCCTCAAAGCGCTCGAAATGTCCGCTTCCAGGTAGTGCAGAAAGAGTGTTTCAAACCTGCTCTATGAAAGGAAGTGTTCAACTCTACTGAGTTGAATGCAAACATCACAGAGATATTTCCGAGAATGCTTCTGTCTTGATTTTATATGAAGATATTCCGGTTTCCAACGAAATCTTCAAAGCTATCCAAATATCCACCTGCAGATTCTACAAAAGGAGTGTTTCCAAAATGCTGTATCAAAACAAAGGTTCAACTCTGTTAGTTGAGGACACACATCACAAATAAGTTTCTGAGAATGCTTCTGTCTAGTTTTTATTTGAAGGTATTTCCTTTCTCTCCATAGGCCTGAAAGCGCTTGAAATGCCCACTTCCAGATACTAGAGAAAGAGTGTTTCAAACCTGCTCTATGAAAGGGAATGTTCAATTCTGTGACTTGAATGCAAACATCACAAAGCAAGTTCCTGAGAATGCTTCTCTCTAGATATTATATGTCATCCCGTTTCCAACGAAATCCTCAAAGCTATCCAAATATCCACTTGCAGATTCTACAAAAAGAGTGTTTCAAAACTGCTCTGTCAAAAGGATGGTTCAACACTGTTACATGAGTACACACAACACAAAGAAGTTTCTGAGAATGCTTCTTTCTGGTTTCTATGAGAAGATATTTCCTTTTTCACCATAGGACTCAAAGCGCTCGAAATGTCCTCTTCCAGGTAGTGCAGAAAGAGTGTTTCAAACCTGCTCTATGAAAGGAAGTGTACAACTCCATGAGCTGAATGCAAACATCACTGAGAAGTTTCTGAGAATGCTTCTGTTTGATTTTATATGAAGAAATTCCCGTTTCCAACGAAATCTTCAGAGCTATCCACATATCCACCTGCAGATTCTACAAAAGGAGTGTTTCCAAAATGCTGTATCAAAACCAAGGTTCAACTCTGTTAGTTGAGGACACACATCACAAATAAGTTTCTGAGAATGCTTCTGTCTAGATTCTATATGAAGATATCCCCTTTCCAACGAATCCCTCTAAGCTATCCAAATATCCACCTGCAGATTCTACAAAAAGAGTGTTTCCAAAATGCTGTATCAAAACAAAGTTTCAACTCTGTTAGTTGAGGACACACATCACAAATAAGTTTGAGGATGCTTCTGTCTAGTTTTTATTCGAAGATATTTCCTTTCTCACCATAGGCCTGAAAGCGCTTGAAATGTCCACTTCCAGATACTACAGAATGAGTGTTTCAAACCTGCTCTATCAAAGTGAATGTTCAATTCTGTGACTTCAATGCAAACATCACAAAGAAGTTGCCTGAGAATGCTTCTCTCTAGATTTTATACGTAATCCCGCTTCCAACGAAATCCTCAGAGCCATCCGAATATCCACTTTCTGATTCCACAAAAAGAGTGTTTTTAAACGGCTCTGTAAAAACAAAAGTTCAACTCTGTTAGTTGAATACACACATCACAAACAAGTTTCTGAGAATGCTTCTGTCTAGTTTTTATGGGAAGATATTTCCTTTTTCACCATAGGCCTCAAAGCGCTCGAAATGTCCACTTCCAGATAGTGCAGAAAGAGTGTTTCAAACGTGCTCTATAAAAGGGAATATTCAACTCTGTGACTTGAATGGAAACATCACAAAGCAGTTTCTGAGAATGCTTCCCTCTAGATTTTATATGGAGATATTCCCTTTTCCAACGAAATCTTCAAATCTATCTAAATATCAACTTGCAGATTCTACTCAAGGAATGTTTCCAAAATGCTGTATCCAAGCAATGGTTCAACTCTGTTAATTGAGGACATACAGCACAAAGAAGTTTCTGAGAATGCTTCTGTCTAGATTTTATATGAAGATATCCCGTTTCCAACGAAATCCTCAAAGCTATCCAAATATCCACTTGCAGATTCTACAAAAAGATTGTTTCAAAACTGCTGTGTCAAAAGGAAGGTTCAACTCCGTTACTTGAGTACACACATCAAAAAGAAGTTTCTGAGAATGCTTGTTTCTGGTTTTTATGAGAAGATATTTCCTTTTTCACCATAGGCCTCAAAGCGCTGCAAATGTCCACTTCCAAATATTACAAAAAGAGTGTTTCAAACCTGCTCTATGAAAGGAAGTTTTCAACTCTATGAGTGGAATGCAAACATCACAGAGAAGTTTCTGAGAATGCATCTGTCTTGAGTTTATATGAAGAAATTCCCGTTTCCAATGAAATCTTAAAATCTATCCAAATATCCACCTGCAGATTCTACAAAAGGAGTGCTTCCTAAATGCTGTATCAAAACAAAGGTTCAACTGTAATCGTTTAGGACACACATCACAAATAAGTTTCTGAGAATCCTTCTGTCTAGTTTTTATTTGAAGATATTTCCTTCCTCCCCCAGAGGCCTGAAAGCGCTTCAAATGTCCCCTTCCAGATACTACAGAAAGAGTGTTTCAAACCTGCACTATGAAAAGGAATGTTCAATTCTGTGACTTGAATGCAAACATCAGAAAGAAGTTCCTGAGAATGCTTCTCTCTAGATTTTATACGTAATCCCGTTTCCAAAGAAATCCACAAAGCTATCCAATTATCCACTTTCAGATTCCACAAAAAGAGTGTTTTAAAACTGCTCTGTAAAAAGAAATGTTCAACGCTCTTAGTTGAATACACACATCTCAAACAAGTTTCTGAGAAGGCTTCTGTCTAGTTTTTATGGGAAGATATTTCCTTTTAACCATAGGCCTCAAAGAGCTCGAAATATCCACTTCCAGGTAGTGCCGAAAGAGTGTTTCAAACCTACTCTATAAAAGGGAATATTCAACTCTGTGACTTGAATGCAAACATCACAAAGCAGTTTCTGAGAATGCTTCCGTCTAGATTTTCTATGAAGATATTCCCGTTTCCAACGAAATCTTCAAAGCTATCTAAATATCAACTTGCAGATTCTACTAAAGGAATGTCTCCAAAATGCTGTATCCAAACAAAGGTTCAGCTCTGTGAATTGAGGACATACAGCACAAAGAAGTTTCTGAGAATGCTCCTGTCTGGATTTTATATGAAGATAACCCGTTTCCAACGAAATCCTCAAAGCTATCCAAATATCCACTTGCAGATTCTACCAAAAGAGTGTTTCAAAACTGCTCTGTCAAAAGGAAGGTTCAACACTGTTACTTGAGTACACACAACACAAAGAAGTTTCTGAGAATGCTTCTTTCTGGTTTTTATGAGAAGATATTTCCTTTTTCACCATAGGCCTCAAAGCGCTCGAAATGTCCGCTTCCAGATAGTGCAGAAAGAGTGTTTCAAACCTGCTCTATGAAAGGAAGTGTTCAACTCTACTGAGTTGAATGCAAACATCACAGAGATGTTTCCGAGAATGATTCTGTCTTGATTTTATATGAAGATATTCCGGTTTCCAACGAAATCTTCAAAGCTATCCAAATATCCACCTGCAGATTCTACAAAAGGAGTGTTTCCAAAATGCTGTATCAAAACAAAGGTTCAACTCTGTTAGTTGAGGACACACATCACAAATAAGTTTCTGAGAATGCTTCTGTCTAGTTTTTATTTGAAGGTATTTCCTTTCTCTCCATAGGCCTGAAAGCGCTTGAAATGCCCACTTCCAGATACTAGAGAAAGAGTGTTTCAAACCTGCTCTATGAAAGGCAATGTTCAATTCTGTGACTTGAATGCAAACATCACAAAGAAGTTCCTGAGAATGCTTCTCTCTAGATATTATATGTCATCCCGTTTCCAACGAAATCCTCAAAGCTATCCAAATATCCACTTGCAGATTCTACAAAAAGAGTGTTTCAAAACTGCTCTGTCAAAAGGATGGTTCAACACTGTTACATGAGTACACACAACACAAAGAAGTTTCTGAGAATGCTTCTTTCTGGTTTTTATGAGAAGATATTTCCTTTTTCACCATAGGCCTCAAAGCGCTCGAAATGTCCACTTCCTGGTAGTGCAGAAAGAGTGTTTCAAACCTGCTCTATGAAAGGAAGTGTTCAACTCCATGAGCTGAATGCAAACATCACAGAGAAGTTTCTGAGAATGCTTCTGTTTGATTTTATATGAAGAAATTCCCGTTTCCAACGAAATCTTCAAAGCTATCCACATATCCACCTGCAGATTCTTCAAAAGGAGTGTTTCCAAAATGCTGTATCAAAACCAAGGTTCAACTCTGTTAGTTGAGGACACACATCACAAATAAGTTTCTGAGAATGCTTCTGTCTAGATTTTATATGAATTTATCCCCTTTCCAACGAATCCCTCTAAGCTATCCAAGTATCCACCTGCAGATTCTACAAAAAGAGTGTTTCCAAAATGCTGTATCAAAACAAAGTTTCAACTCTGTTAGTTGAGGACACACATCACAAATAAGTTTCTGAGGATGCTTCTGTCTAGTTTTAATTTGAAGATATTTCCTTTCTCCCCATAGGCCTGAAAGCGCTTGAAATGTCCACTTCCAGATACTACAGAATGAGTGTTTCAAACCTGCTCTATCAAAGTGAATGTTCAATTCTGTGACTTCAATGCAAACATCACAAAGAAGTTCCTGAGAATGCTTCTCTCTACATTTTATATGTAATCCCGCTTCCAACGAAATCCTCAAAGCCATCCGAATATCCACTTTCTGATTCCACAAAAAGATTGTTTTAAAACTGCTCTGTAAAAACAAAAGTTCAAGTCTGTTAGTTGAATACACACATCACAAACAAGTTTCTGAGAATGCTTCTGTCTAGTTTTTATGGGAAGATATTTCCTTTTTCACCATAGGCCTCAAAGCGCTCGAAATGTCCACTTCCAGATAGTGCAGAAAGAGTGTTTCAAACGTGCTCTATAAAAGGGAATATTCAACTCTGTGACTTGAATGGAAACATCACAAAGCAGTTTCTGAGAATGATTCCCTCTAGATTTTATATGGAGATATTCCCTTTTCCAACGAAATCTTCAAATCTATCTAAATATCAACTTGCAGATTCTACTCAAGGAATGTTTCCAAAATGCTGTATCCAAGCAATGGTTCAACTCTGTTAATTGAGGACATACAGCACAAAGAAGTTTCTGAGAATGCTTCTGTCTAGATTTTATATGAAGATATCCCGTTTCCAACGAAATCCTCAAAGCTATCCAAATATCCACTTGCAGATTCTACAAAAAGATTGTTTCAAAACTGCTGTGTCAAGAGGAAGGTTCAACTCTGTTACTTGAGTACACACATCAAAAAGAAGTTTCTGAGAATGCTTGTTTCTGGTTTTTATGAGAAGATATTTCCTTTTTCACCATAGGCCTCAAAGCGCTGCAAATGTCCACTTCCAAATATTACAAAAAGAGTGTTTCAAACCTGCTCTATGAAAGGAAGTTTTCAACTCTATGAGTGGAATGCAAACATCACAGAGAAGTTTCTGAGAATGCATCTGTCTTGAGTTTATATGCAGAAATTCCCGTTTCCAACGAAATCTTAAAATCTATCCAAATATCCACCTGCAGATCCTACAAAAGGAGTGTTTCCAAAATGCTGTATCAAAACAAAGGTTCAACTGTGTTCGTTTAGGACACACATCACAAATAAGTTTCTGAGAATCCTTCTGTCTAGTTTTTATTTGAAGATATTTCCTTTCTCCCCATAGGCCTGAAAGCGCTTGAAATGTCCACTTCCAGATACTACAGAAAGAGTGTTTCAAACCTGCACTATGAAAAGGAATGTTCAATTCTGTGACTTGAATGCAAACATCAGAAAGAAGTTCCTGAGAATGCTTCTCTCTAGATTTTATACGTCATCCCGTTTCCAACGAAATCCACAAAGCTATCCAATTATCCACTTTCAGATTCCACAAAAGAGTGTTTTAAAACTGCTCTGTAAAAAGAAATGTTCAACGCTCTTAGTTGAATACACACATCTCAAACAAGTTTCTGAGAAGGCTTCTGTCTAGTTTTTATGGGAAGATATTTCCTTTTAACCATAGGCCTCAAAGAGCTCGAAATATCCACTTCCAGGTAGTGCCGAAAGAGTGTTTCAAACCTACTCTATAAAAGGGAATATTCAACTCTGTGACTTGAATGCAAACATCACAAAGCAGTTTCTGAGAATGCTTCCGTCTAGATTTTCTATGAAGATATTCCCGTTTCCAACGAAATCTTCAAAGCTATCTAAATATCAACTTGCAGATTCTACTAAAGGAATGTCTCCAAAATGCTGTATCCAAACAAAGGTTCAGCTCTGTGAATTGAGGACATACAGCACAAAGAAGTTTCTGAGAATGCTCCTGTCTGGATTTTATATGAAGATAACCCGTTTCCAACGAAATCCTCAAAGCTCTCCAAATATCCACTTGCAGATTCTACCAAAAGAGTGTTTCAAAACTGCTCTGTCAAAAGGAAGGTTCAACACTGTTACTTGAGTACACACAACACAAAGAAGTTTCTGAGAATGCTTCTTTCTGGTTTTTATGAGAAGATATTTCCTTTTTCACCATAGGCCTCAAAGCGCTCGAAATGTCCGCTTCCAGGTAGTGCAGAAAGAGTGTTTCAAACCTGCTCTATGAAAGGAAGTGTTCAAATCTACTGAGTTGAATGCAAACATCACAGAGATGTTTCCGAGAATGCTTCTGTCTTGATTTTATATGAAGATATTCCGGTTTCCAACGAAATCTTCAAAGCTATCCAAATATCCACCTGCAGATTCTACAAAAGGAGTGTTTCCAAAATGCTGTATCAAAACAAAGGTTCAACTCTGTTAGTTGAGGACACACATCACAAATAAGTTTCTGAGAATGCTTCTGTCTAGTTTTTATTTGAAGGTATTTCCTTTCTCTCCATAGGCCTGAAAGCGCTTGAAATGTCCACTTCCAGATACTAGAGAAAGAGTGTTTCAAACCTGCTCTATGAAAGGGAACGTTCAATTCTGTGACTTGAATGCAAACATCACAAAGAAGTTCCTGAGAATGCTTCTCTCTAGATATTATATGTCATCCCGTTTCCAACGAAATCCTCAAAGCTATCCAAATATCCACTTGCAGATTCTACAAAAAGAGTGTTTCAAAACTGCTCTGTCAAAAGGATGGTTCAACACTGTTACATGAGTACACACAACACAAAGAAGTTTCTGAGAATGCTTCTTTCTGGTTTCTATGAGAAGATATTTCCTTTTTCACCATAGGACTCAAAGCGCTCGAAATGTCCTCTTCCAGGTAGTGCAGAAAGAGTGTTTCAAATCGGCTCTATGAAAGGAAGTGTTCAACTCCATGAACTGAATGCAAACATCACTGAGAAGTTTCTGAGAATGCTTCTGTTTGATTTTCTATGAAGAAATTCCCGTTTCCAACGAAATCTTCAGAGCTATCCACATATCCACCTGCAGATTCTACAAAAGGAGTGTTTCCAAAATGCTGTATCAAAACCAAAGTTCAACTCTGTTAGTTGAGGACACACATCACAAATAAGTTTCTGAGAATGCTTCTGTCTAGATTCTATATGAAGATATCCCCTTTCCAACGAATCCCTCTAAGCTATCCAAATATCCACCTGCAGATTCTACAAAAAGAGTGTTTCCAAAATGCTGTATCAAAACAAAGTTTCAACTCTGTTAGTTGAGGACACACATCACAAATAAGTTTGAGGATGCTTCTGTCTAGTTTTTATTCGAAGATATTTCCTTTCTCACCATAGGCCTGAAAGCGCTTGAAATGTCCACTTCCAGATACTACAGAATGAGTGTTTCAAACCTGCTCTATAAAAGTGAATGTTCAATTCTGTGACTTCAATGCAAACATCAGAAAGAAGTTCCTGAGAATGCTTCTCTCTAGATTTTATACGTAATCCCGCTTCCAACGAAATCCTCAGAGCCATCCGAATATCCACTTTCTGATTCCACAAAAAGAGTGTTTTAAAACGGCTCTGTAAAAACAAAAGTTCAACTCTGTTAGTTGAATACACACATCACAAACAAGTTTCTGAGAATGCTTCTGTCTAGTTTTTATGGGAAGATATTTCCTTTTTCACCATAGGCCTCAAAGCGCTCGAAATGTCCGCTTCCAGATAGTGCAGAAAGAGTGTTTCAAACGTGCTCTATAAAAGGGAATATTCAACTCTGTGACTTGAATGGAAACATCACAAAGCAGTTTCTGAGAATGCTTCCCTCTAGATTTTATATGGAGATATTCCCTTTTCCAACCGAAATCTTCAAATCTATCTAAATATCAACTTGCAGATTCTACTCAAGGAATGTTTCCAAAATGCTGTATCCAAGCAATGGTTCAACTCTGTTAATTGAGGACATACAGCACAAAGAAGTTTCTGAGAATGCTTCTGTCTAGATTTTATATGAAGATATCCCGTTTCCAACGAAATCCTCAAAGCTATCCAAATATCCACTTGCAGATTCTACAAAAAGATTGTTTCAAAACTGCTGTGTCAAAAGGAAGGTTCAACTCTGTTACTTGAGTACACACATCAAAAAGAAGTTTCTGAGAATGCTTGTTTCTGGTTTTTATGAGAAGATATTTCCTTTTTCGCCATAGGCCTCAAAGCGCCGCAAATGTCCACTTCCAAATATTACAAAAAGAGTGTTTCAAACCTGCTCTATGAAAGGAAGTTTTCAACTCTATGAGTGGAATGCAAACATCACAGAGAAGTTTCGGAGAATGCATCTGTCTTGAGTTTATATGCAGAAATTCCCGTTTCCAACGAAATCTTAAAATCTATCCAAATATCCACCTGCAGATCCTACAAAAGGAGTGTTTCCAAAATGCTGTATCAAAACAAAGGTTCAACTGTGTTCGTTTAGGACACACATCACAAATAAGTTTCTGAGAATCCTTCTGTCTAGTTTTTATTTGAAGATATTTCCTTTCTCCACGAAGGCCTGAAAGCGCTTGAAATGTCCACTTCCAGATACTACAGAAAGAGTGTTTCAAACCTGCACTCTGAAAAGGAATGTTCAATTCTGTGACTTGAATGCAAACATCAGAAAGAAGTTCCTGAGAATGCTTCTCTCTAGATTTTATACGTCATCCCGTTTCCAACGAAATCCACAAAGCTATCCAATTATCCACTTTCAGATTCCACAGAAAGAGTGTTTTAAAATTGCTCTGTAACAGAAATGTTCAACTCTGGTAGTTGAATACACACATCACAAACAAGTTTCTGAGACGGCTTCTGTCTAGTTTTTATGGGAAGATATTTCCTTTTAACCATAGGCCTCAAAGAGCTCGAAATATCCACTTCCAGGTAGTGCCGAAAGAGTGTTTCAAACCTACTCTATAAAAGGGAATATTCAACTCTGTGACTTGAATGCAAACATCACAAAGCAGTTTCTGAGAATGCTTCCGTCTAGATTTTATATGAAGATATTCCCGTTTCCAACGAAATCTTCAAAGCTATCTAAATATCAACTTGCAGATTCTACTAAAGGAATGTTTCCAAAATGCTGTATCCAAGCAATGGTTCAACTCTGTTAATTGAGGACATACAGCACAAAGAAGTTTCCTGAGAATGCTTACCTGTCTGGATTTTATATGAAGATAACCCGTTTCCAACGAAATCCTCAAAGCTCTCCAGATATCCACTTGCAGATTCTACCAAAAGAGTGTTTCAAAACTGCTCTGTCAAAAGGAAGGTTCAACACTGTTACTTGAGTACACACAACACAAAGAAGTTTCTGAGAATGCTTCTTTCTGGTTTTTATGAGAAGATATTTCCTTTTTCACCATAGGCCTCAAAGCGCTCGAAATGTCCGCTTCCAGGTAGTGCAGAAAGAGTGTTTCAAACCTGCTCTATGAAAGGAAGTGTTCAACTCTACTGAGTTGAATGCAAACATCACAGAGATGTTTCCGAGAATGCTTCTGTCTTGATTTTATATGAAGATATTCCGGTTTCCAACGAAATCTTCAAAGCTATCCAAATATCCACCTGCAGATTCTACAAAAGGAGTGTTTCCAAAATGCTGTATCAAAACAAAGGTTCAACTCTGTTAGTTGAGGACACACATCACAAATAAGTTTCTGAGAATGCTTCTGTCTAGTTTTTATTTGAAGGTATTTCCTTTCTCTCCATAGGCCTGAAAGCGCTTGAAATGCCCACTTCCAGATACTAGAGAAAGAGTGTTTCAAACCTGCTCTATGAAAGGCAATGTTCAATTCTGTGACTTGAATGCAAACATCACAAAGAAGTTCCTGAGAATGCTTCTCTCTAGATATTATATGTCATCCCGTTTCCAACGAAATCCTCAAAGCTATCCAAATATCCACTTGCAGATTCTACAAAAAGAGTGTTTCAAAACTCCTCTGTCAAAAGGATGGTTCAACACTGTTACATGAGTACACACAACACAAAGAAGTTTCTGAGAATGCTTCTTTCTGGTTTTTATGAGAAGATATTTCCTTTTTCACCATAGGCCTCAAAGCGCTCGAAATGTCCACTTCCTGGTAGTGCAGAAAGAGTGTTTCAAAGCTGCTCTATGAAAGGAAGTGTTCAACTCCATGAGCTGAATGCAAACATCACAGAGAAGTTTCTGAGAATGCTTCTGTTTGATTTTATATGAAGAAATTCCCGTTTCCAACGAAATCTTCAAAGCTATCCACATATCCACCTGCAGATTCTACAAAAGGAGTGTTTCCAAAATGCTGTATCAAAACCAAGGTTCCACTCTGTTAGTTGAGGACACACATCACAAATAAGTTTCTGAGAATGCTTCTGTCTAGATTTTATATGAAGATATCCCCTTTCAAACGAATCCCTCTAAGCTATCCAAACATCCACCTGCAGATTCTACAAAAAGAGTGTTTCCAAAATGCTGTATCAAAACAAAGTTTCAACTCTGTTAGTTGAGGACACACATCACAAATAAGTTTCTGAGGATGCTTCTGTCTAGTTTTTATTTGAAGATATTTCCTTTCTCCCCATAGGCCTGAAAGCGCTTGAATTGTCCGCTTCCAGATACTACAGAATGAGTGTTTCAAACCTGCTCTATCAAAGTGAATGTTCAATTCTGTGACTTCAATGCAAACATCACAAAGAAGTTGCTGAGAATGCTTCTCTCTAGATTTTATATGTAATCCCGCTTCCAACGAAGTCCTCAAAGCCATCCGAATATCCACTTTCTGATTCCACAAAAAGATTGTCTTAAAACTGCTCTGTAAAAACAAAAGTTCTAGTCTGTTAGTTGAATACACACATCACAAACAAGTTTCTGAGAATGCTTCTGTCTAGTTTTTATGGGAAGATATTTCCTTTTTCACCATAGGCCTCACAGCGCTCGAAATGTCCACTTCCAGATGGTGCAGAAAGAGTGTTTCAAACGTGCTCTATAAAAGAGAATATTCAACTCTGTGACTTGAATGGAAACATCACAAAGCAGTTTCTGAGAATGCCTCCGTCTAGATTTTATATGAAGATATTCCCGTTTCCAACGAAATCTTCAAATCTATCTAAATATCAACTTGCAGATTCTACTAAAGGAATGTTTCCAAAATGCTGTATCCAAGCAATGGTTCAACTCTGTTAATTGAGGACATACAGCACAAAGAAGTTTCTGAGAATGCTTCCTGTCTAGATTTTATATGAAGATATCCCGTTTCCAACGAAATCCTCAAAGCTATCCAAATATCCACTTGCAGATTCTACAAAAAGATTGTTTCAAAACTGCTGTGTCAAAAGGAAGGTTCAACTCTGTTACTTGAGTACACACATCAAAAAGCAGTTTCTGAGAATGCTTGTTTCTGGTTTTTATGAGAAGATATTTCCTTTTTCACCATAGGCCTCAAAGCGCTGCAAATGTCCACTTCCAAATATTACAAAAAGAGTGTTTCAAACCTGCTCTATGAAAGGAAGTTTTCAACTCTGTGAGTGGAATGCAAACATCACAGAGAAGTTTCTGAGAATGCATCTGTCTTGAGTTTATATGAAGAAATTCCCGTTTCCAATGAAATCTTAAAATCTATCCAAATATCCACCTGCAGATTCTACAAAAGAGTGCTTCCAAAATGCTATATCAAAACAAAGGTTCAACTGTGTTCGTTGAGAACACACATCACAAATAAGTTTCTGAGAATCCTTCTGTCTAGTTTTTATTTGAAGATATTTCCTTTCTCCCCGTAGGCCTGAAAGCGCTTGAAATGTCCACTTCCAGATACTACAGAAAGAGTGTGTTTCAAACCTGCACTCTGAAAAGGAATGTTCAATTCTGTGACTTGAATGCAAACATCAGAAAGAAGTTCCTGAGAATGCTTCTCTCTAGATTTTATACGTCATCCCGTTTCCAACAAAATCCACAAAGCTATCCAATTATCCACTTTCAGATTCCACAAAAAGAGTGTTTTAAAATTGCTCTGTAACAGAAATGTTCAACTCTGGTAGTTGAATACACACATCACAAACAAGTTTCTGAGACGGCTTCTGTCTAGTTTTTATGGGAAGATATTTCCTTTTAACCATAGGCCTCAAAGAGCTCGAAATATCCACTTCCAGGTAGTGCCGAAAGAGTGTTTCAAACCTACTCTATAAAAGGGAATATTCAACTCTGTGACTTGAATGCAAACATCACAAAGCAGTTTCTGAGAATGCTTCCGTCTAGATTTTCTATGAAGATATTCCCGTTTCCAACGAAATCTTCAAAGCTATCTAAATATCAACTTGCAGATTCTACTAAAGGAATGTCTCCAAAATGCTGTATCCAAACAAAGGTTCAGCTCTGTGAATTGAGGACATACAGCACAAAGAAGTTTCTGAGAATGCTCCTGTCTGGATTTTATATGAATATAACCCGTTTCCAACGAAATCCTCAAAGCTCTCCAAATATCCACTTGCAGATTCTACCAAAAGAGTGTTTCAAAACTGCTCTGTCAAAAGGAAGGTTCAACACTGTTACTTGAGTACACACAACACAAAGAAGTTTCTGAGAATGCTTCTTTCTGGTTTTTATGAGAAGATATTTCCTTTTTCACCATAGGCCTCAAAGCGCTCGAAATGTCCGCTTCCAGGTAGTGCAGAAAGAGTGTTTGAAACCTGCTCTATGAAAGGAAGTGTTCAACTCTACTGAGTTGAATGCAAACATCACAGAGATGTTTCCGAGAATGCTTCTGTCTTGATTTTATATGAAGATATTCCGGTTTCCAACGAAATCTTCAAAGCTATCCAAATATCCACCTGCAGATTCTACAAAAGGAGTGTTTCCAAAATGCTGTATCAAAACAAAGGTTCAACTCTGTTAGTTGAGGACACACATCACAAATAAGTTTCTGAGAATGCTTCTGTCTAGTTTTTATTTGAAGGTATTCCCTTTCTCTCCATAGGCCTGAAAGCGCTTGAAATGCCCACTTCCAGATACTAGAGAAAGAGTGTTTCAAACCTGCTCTATGAAAGGGAATGTTCAATTCTGTGACTTGAATGCAAACATCACAAAGAAGTTCCTGAGAATGCTTCTCTCTAGATATTATATGTCATCCCGTTTCCAATGAAATCCTCAAAGCTATCCAAATATCCACTTGCAGATTCTACAAAAAGAGTGTTTCAAAACTGCTCTGTCAAAAGGATGGTTCAACACTGTTACATGAGTACACACAACACAAAGAAGTTTCTGAGAATGCTTCTTTCTGGTTTCTATGAGAAGATATTTCCTTTTTCACCATAGGACTCAAAGCGCTCGAAATGTCCTCTTCCAGGTAGTGCAGAAAGAGTGTTTCAAACCTGCTCTATGAAAGGAAGTGTACAACTCCATGAGCTGAATGCAAACATCACTGAGAAGTTTCTGAGAATGCTTCTGTTTGATTTTATATGAAGAAATTCCCGTTTCCAACGAAATCTTCAGAGCTATCCACATATCCACCTGCAGATTCTACAAAAGGAGTGTTTCCAAAATGCTGTATCAAAACCAAGGTTCAACTCTGTTAGTTGAGGACACACATCACAAATAAGTTTCTGAGAATGCTTCTGTCTAGATTTTATATGAAGATATCCCCTTTCCAACGAATCCCTCTAAGCTATCCAAATATCCACCTGCAGATTCTACAAAAAGAGTGTTTCCAAAATGCTGTATCAAAACAAAGTTTCAACTCTGTTAGTTGAGGACACACATCACAAATAAGTTTCTGAGAATGCTTCTCTCTAGTTTTTATTTGAAGATATTTCCTTTCTCCCCATAGGCCTGAAAGCGCTTGAATTGTCCGCTTCCAGATACTACAGAATGAGTGTTTCAAACCTGCTCTATCAAAGTGAATGTTCAATTCTGTGACTTCAATGCAAACGTCACAAAGTAGTTCCTGAGAATGCTTCTCTCTAGATTTTATATGTAATCCCGCTTCCAACGAAGTCCTCAAAGCCATCCGAATAACCACTTTCTGATTCCACAAAAAGATTGTCTTAAAACTGCTCTGTAAAAACAAAAGTTCAAGTCTGTTAGTTGAATACACACATCATAAACAAGTTTCTGAGAATGCTTCTGTCTAGTTTTTATGGGAAGATATTTCCTTTTTAACCATAGGCCTCACAGCGCTCGAAATGTCCACTAACAGATAGTACAGAAAGAGTGTTTCAAACGTGCTCTACAAAAGAGAATATTCAACTCTGTGACTTGAATGGAAACATCACAAAGCAGTTTCTGAGAATGCCTCCGTCTAGATTTTATATGAAGATATTCCCGTTTCCAACGAAATCTTCAAATATATCTAAATATCAACTTGCAGATTCTACTAAAGGAATGTTTCCAAAATGCTGTATCCAAGCAATGGTTCAACTCTGTTAATTGAGGACATACAGCACAAAGAAGTTTCTGAGAATGCTTCTGTCTAGATTTTATATGAAGATATCCCGTTTCCAACGAAATCCTCAAAGCTATCCAAATATCCACTTGCAGATTCTACAAAAAGATTGTTTCAAAACTGCTGTGTCAAAAGGAAGGTTCAACTCTGTTACTTGAGTACACACATCAAAAAGAAGTTTCTGAGAATGCTTGTTTCTGGTTTTTATGAGAAGATATTTCCTTTTTCACCATAGGCCTCAAAGCGCTGCAAATTTCCACTTCCAAATATTACAAAAAGAGTGTTTCAAACCTGCTCTATGAAAGGAAGTTTTCAACTCTATGAGTGGAATGCAAACATCACAGAGAAGTTTCTGAGAATGCATCTGTCTTGAGTTTATATGAAGAAATTCCCGTTTCCAACGAAATCTTAAAATCTATCCAAATATCCACCTGCAGATTCTACAAAGGGAGTGTTTCCAAAATGCTGTATCAAAACAAAGGTTCAACTGTGTTCGTTTAGGACACACATCACAAATAAGTTTCTGAGAATCCTTCTGTCTAGTTTTTATTTCAAGATATTTCCTTTCTCCCCATAGGCCTGAAAGCGCTGGAAATGTCCACTTCCAGATACTACAGAAAGAGTGTTTCAAACCTGCACTATGAAAAGGAATGTTCAATTCTGTGACTTGAATGCAAACATCAGAAAGAAGTTCCTGAGAATGCTTCTCTCTGGATTTTATACGTCATCCCGTTTCCAACGAAATCCACAAATCTATCCAATTATCCACTTTCAGATTCCACAAAAAGAGTGTTTTAAAACTGCTCTGTAAAAAGAAATGTTCAACACTCTTAGTTGAATACACACATCTCAAACAAGTTTCTGAGAAGGCTTCCGTCTAGTTTTTATGAGAAGATATTTCCTTTTTCACCATAGGCCTCAAAGCGCTCGAAATCTCCACTTCCAGGGAGTGCAGAAAGAGTGTTTCAAACCTGCTCTGTAAAAGAATATTTAACTCTGTGACTTGAATGCAAACATCACAAAGCAGTTTCTGACAGTGCTTCCGTCTAGATTTTTTATGAAGATATTCCCGTTTCCAACGAAATCTTCAAAGCTATCTAAATATCAACTTGCAGATTCTACTAAAGGAATGTTTCCAAAATGCTGTATCCAAACAAAGGTTCAACTCTGTGAATTGAGGACATACAGCACAAAGAAGTTTCTGAGAATGCTTCTGTCTAGATTTAATATGAAGATAACCCGTTTCCAACGAAATCCTCAAAGCTATCCAAATATCCACTTGCAGATTCTACAAAAAGAGTGTTTCAAAACTGCTCTGTCAAAAGGATGGTTCAACACTGTTACATGAGTACACACAACACAAAGAAGTTTCTGAGAGCGCTTCTTTCTGGTTTTTATGAGAGGATATTTCCTTTTTCACCATAGGCCTCAAAGCGCTCGAAATGTCCACTTCCAGGTAGTGCAGAAAGAGTGTTTCAAACCTGCTCTATGAAAGGAAGTGTTCAACTCCATGAGCTGAATGCAAACATCACAGAGAAGTTCCTGAGAATGCTTCTGTTTGATTTTATATGAAGAAATTCCCGTTTCCAACGAAATCTTCAAAGCTATCCACATATCCACCTGCAGATTCTACAAAAGGAGTGTTTCCA
Organism: Homo sapiens; assembly: GCF_000001405.40. Classification (NCBI taxonomy): domain Eukaryota; kingdom Metazoa; phylum Chordata; class Mammalia; order Primates; family Hominidae; genus Homo; species Homo sapiens. Next base: position 51,163,358 of record NC_000004.12, on the reverse strand, counting down.
AAATGCTGTATCAAAACCAAGGTTCCACTCTGTTAGTTGAGGACACACATCACAAATAAGTTTCTGAGAATGCTTCTGTCTAGATTTTATATGAATTTATCCCCTTTCCAACGAATCCCTCTAAGCTATCCAAGTATCCACCTGCAGATTCTACAAAAAGAGTGTTTCCAAAATGCTGTATCAAAACAAAGTTTCAACTCTGTTAGTTGAGGACACACATCACAAATAAGTTTCTGAGGATGCTTCTGTCTAGTTTTTATTCGAAGATATTTCCTTTCTCACCATAGGCCTGAAAGCGCTTGAAAGGTCCACTTCCAGATACTACAGAATGAGTGTTTCAAACCTGCTCTATAAAAGTGAATGTTCAATTCTGTGACGTCAATGCAAACATCACAAAGAAGTTTCTGAGAATGCTTCTCTCTAGATTTTATACGTAATCCCGCTTCCAACGAAATCCTCAGAGCCATCCGAATATCCACTTTCTGATTCCACAAAAAGAGTGTTTTAAAACGGCTCTGTAAAAACAAAAGTTCAACTCTGTTAGTTGAATACACACATCACAAACAAGTTTCTGAGAATGCTTCTGTCTAGTTTTTATGGGAAGATATTTCCTTTTTCACCATAGGCCTCAAAGCGCTCGAAATGTCCGCTTCCAGATAGTGCAGAAAGAGTGTTTCAAACGTGCTCTATAAAAGGGAATATTCAACTCTGTGACTTGAATGGAAACATCACAAAGCAGTTTCTGAGAATGCTTCCCTCTAGATTTTATATGGAGATATTCCCTTTTCCAACGAAATCTTCAAATCTATCTAAATATCAACTTGCAGATTCTACTCAAGGAATGTTTCCAAAATGCTGTATCCAGGCAATGGTTCAACTCTGTTAATTGAGGACATACAGCACAAAGAAGTTTCTGAGAATGCTTCTGTCTAGATTTTATATGAAGATATCCCGTTTCCAACGAAATCCTCAAAGCTATCCAAATATCCACTTGCAGATTCTACAAAAAGATTGTTTCAAAACTGCTGTGTCAAAAGGAAGGTTCAACTCTGTTACTTGAGTACACACATCAAAAAGAAGTTTCTGAGAATGCTTGTTTCTGGTTTTTATGAGAAGATATTTCCTTTTTCACCATAGGCCTCAAAGCGCTGCAAATGTCCACTTCCAAATATTACAAAAAGAGTGTTTCAAACCTGCTCTATGAAAGGAAGTTTTCAACTCTATGAGTGGAATGCAAACATCACAGAGAAGTTTCTGAGAATGCATCTGTCTTGAGTTTATATGAAGAAATTCCCGTTTCCAACGAAATCTTAAAATCTATCCACATATCCACCTGCAGATTCTACAAAGGGAGTGTTTCCAAAATGCTGTATCAAAACAAAGGTTCAACTGTGTTCGTTGAGGACACACATCACCAATAAGTTTCTGAGAATCCTTCTGTCTAGTTTTTATTTCAAGATATTTCCTTTCTCCCCATAGGCTTGAAAGCGCTTGAAATGTCCACTTCCAGATACTACAGAGTGTTTCAAACCTGCACTATGAAAAGGAATGTTCAATTCTGTGACTTGAATGCAAACATCAGAAAGAAGTTCCTGAGAATGCTTCTCTCTAGATTTTATACGTCATCCCGTTTCCAACGAAATCCACAAAGCTATCCAATTATCCACTTTCAGATTCCACAAAAAGAGTGTTTTAAATTGCTCTGTAACAGAAATGTTCAACTCTGTTAGTTGAATACACACATCACAAACAAGTTTCTGAGACGGCTTCTGTCTAGTTTTTATGGGAAGATATTTCCTTTTAACCATAGGCCTCAAAGAGCTCGAAATATCCACTTCCAGGTAGTGCCGAAAGAGTGTTTCAAACCTACTCTATAAAAGGGAATATTCAACTCTGTGACTTGAATGCAAACATCACAAAGCAGTTTCTGAGAATGCTTCCGTCTAGATTTTCTATGAAGATATTCCCGTTTCCAACGAAATCTTCAAAGCTATCTAAATATCAACTTGCAGATTCTACTAAAGGAATGTTTCCAAAATGCTGTATCCAAACAAAGGTTCAGCTCTGTGAATTGAGGACATACAGCACAAAGAAGTTTCTGAGAATGCTTCCTGTCTGGTATTTTATATGAAGATAACCCGTTTCCAACGAAATCCTCAAAGCTATCCAAATATCCACTTGCAGATTCTACCAAAAGAGTGTTTCAAAACTGCTCTGTCAAAAGGAAGGTTCAACACTGTTACTTGAGTACACACAACACAAAGAAGTTTCTGAGAATGCTTCTTTCTGGTTTTTATGAGAAGATATTTCCTTTTTCACCATAGGCCTCAAAGCGCTCGAAATGTCCGCTTCCAGGTAGTGCAGAAAGAGTGTTTCAAACCTGCTCTATGAAAGGAAGTGTTCAACTCTACTGAGTTGAATGCAAACATCACAGAGATGTTTCCGAGAATGCTTTCTGTCTTGATTTTATATGAAGATATTCCGGTTTCCAACGAAATCTTCAAAGCTATCCAAATATCCACCTGCAGATTCTACAAAAGGAGTGTTTCCAAAATGCTGTATCAAAACAAAGGTTCAACTCTGTTAGTTGAGGACACACATCACAAATAAGTTTCTGAGAATGCTTCTGTCTAGTTTTTATTTGAAGATATTTCCTTTCTCACCATAGGCCTGAAAGCGTTTGAAATGTCCGTTTGCAGATACTACAGAAAGAGTGTTTCAAACATGCTCTATGAAAGGGAATGTTCAGTTCTGTGACGTGAATGCAAACATCACAAAGAAGTTCCTGAGAATGCTTCTCTCTAGATATTATATGTCATCCCGTTTCCAACGAAATCCTCAAAGCTATCCAAATATCCACTTGCAGATTCTACAAAAAGAGTGTTTCAAAACTGCTCTGTCAAAAGGATGGTTCAACACTGTTACATGAGTACACACAACACAAAGAAGTTTCTGAGAATGCTTCTTTCTGGTTTCTATGAGAAGATATTTCCTTTTTCACCATAGGACTCAAAGCGCTCGAAATGTCCTCTTCCAAGTAGTGCAGAAAGAGTGTTTCAAACCTGCTCTATGAAAGGAAGTGTACAACTCCATGAGCTGAATGCAAACATCACTGAGAAGTTTCTGAGAATGCTTCTGTTTGATTTTATATGAAGAAATTCCCGTTTCCAACGAAATCTTCAGAGCTATCCACATATCCACATGCAGATTCTACAAAAGGAGTGTTTCCAAAATGCTGTATCAAAACCAAGGTTCAACTCTGTTAGTTGAGGACACACATCACAAATAAGTTTCTGAGAATGCTTCTGTCTAGATTTTATATGAAGATATCCCCTTTCCAACGAATCCCTCTAAGCTATCAAAATATCCACCTGCAGATTCTACAAAAAGAGTGTTTCCAAAATGCTGTATCAAAACAAAGTTTCAACTCTGTTAGTTGAGGACACACATCACAAATAAGTTTCTGAGGATGCTTCTGTCTAGTTTTTATTCGAAGATATTTCCTTTCTCACCATAGGCCTGAAAGCGCTTGAAATGTCCACTTCCAGATACTACAGAATGAGTGTTTCAAACCTGCTCTATAAAAGTGAATGTTCAATTCCGTGACTTCAATGCAAACATCAGAAAGAAGTTCCTGAGAATGCTTCTCTCTAGATTTTATACGTAATCCCGCTTCCAACGAAATCCTCAGAGCCATCCGAATATCCACTTTCTGATTCCACAAAAAGAGTGTTTTAAAACGGCTCTGTAAAAACAAAAGTTCAACTCTGTTAGTTGAATACACACATCACAAACAAGTTTCTGAGAATGCTTCTGTCTAGTTTTTATGGGAAGATATTTCCTTTTTCACCATAGGCCTCAAAGCGCTCGAAATGTCCACTTCCAGATAGTGCAGAAAGAGTGTTTCAAACGTGCTCTATAAAAGAGAATATTCAACTCTGTGACTTGAATGGAAACATCACAAAGCAGTTTCTGAGAATGCCTCGGTCTAAATTTTATATGAAGATATTCCCGTTTCCAACGAAATCTTCAAATCTATCTAAATATCAACTTGCAGATTCTACTAAAGGAATGTTTCCAAAATGCTGTATCCAAGCAATGGTTCAACTCTGTTAATTGAGGACATACAGCACAAAGAAGTTTCTGAGAATGCTTCTGTCTAGATTTTATATGAAGATATCCCGTTTCCAACGAAATCCTCAAAGCTATCCAAATATCCACTTGCAGATTCTACAAAAAGATTGTTTCAAAACTACTGTGTCAAAAGGAAGGTTCAACTCTGTTACTTGAGTACACACATCAAAAAGCAGTTTCTGAGAATGCTTGTTTCTGGTTTTTATGAGAAGATATTTCCTTTTTCACCATAGGCCTCAAAGCGCTGCAAATGTCCACTTCCAAATATTACAAAAAGAGTGTTTCAAACCTGCTCTATGAAAGGAAGTTTTCAACTGTATGAGTGGAATGCAAACATCACAGAGAAGTTTCTGAGAATGCATCTGTCTTGAGTTTCTATGCAGAAATTCCCGTTTCCAACGAAATCTTAAAATCTATCCAAATATCCACCTGCAGATCCTACAAAAGGAGTGTTTCCAAAATGCTGTATCAAAACAAAGGTTCAACTGTGTTCGTTTAGGACACACATCACAAATAAGTTTCTGAGAATCCTTCTGTCTAGTTTTTATTTGAAGATATTTCCTTTCTCCCCATAGGCCTGAAAGCGCTTGAAATGTCCACTTCCAGATACTACAGAAAGAGTGTTTCAAACCTGCACTATGAAAAGGAATGTTCAATTCTGTGACTTGAATGCAAACATCAGAAAGAAGTTCCTGAGAATGCTTCTCTCTAGATTTTATACATAATCCTGTTTCCAACGAAATCCACAAAGCTATCCAATTATCCACTTTCAGATTCCACAAAAAGAGTGTTTTAAAATTGCTCTGTAACAGAAATGTTCAACTCTGTCAGTTGAATACACACATCACAAACAAGATTCTGAGACGGCTTCTGTCTAGTTTTTATGGGAAGATATATCCTTTTAACCATAGGCCTCAAAGAGCTCGAAATATCCACTTCCAGGTAGTGCCGAAAGAGTGTTTCAAACCTACTCTATAAAAGGGAATATTCAACTCTGTGACTTGAATGCAAACACCACAAAGCAGTTTGTGAGAATGCCTCCGTCTAGATTTTCTATGAAGATATTCCCGTTTCCAACGAAATCTTCAACGCTATCTAAATATCAACTTGCAGATTCTACTAAAGGAATGTTTCCAAAATGCTGTATCCAAACAAAGGTTCAGCTCTGTGAATTGAGGACATACAGCACAAAGAAGTTTCTGAGAATTCTCCTGTCTGGATTTTATATGAAGATAACCCGTTTCCAACGAAATCCTCAAAGCTATCCAAATATCCACTTGCAGATTCTACCAAAAGAGTGTTTCAAAACTGCTCTGTCAAAAGGAAGGTTCAACACTGTTACTTGAGTACACACAACACAAAGAAGTTTCTGAGAATGCTTCTTTCTGGTTTTTATGAGAAGATATTTCCTTTTTCACCATAGGCCTCAAAGCGCTCGAAATGTCCACTTCCAGGTAGTGCAGAAAGAGTGTTTCAAACCTGCTCTATGAAAGGAAGTGTTCAACTCTACTGAGTTGAATGCAAACATCACAGAGATGTTTCCGAGAATGTTTCTGTCTTGATTTTATATGAAGATATTCCGGTTTCCAACGAAATCTTCAAAGCTATCCAAATATCCACCTGCAGATTCTACAAAAGGAGTGTTTCCAAAATGCTGTATCAAAACAAAGGTTCAACTCTGTTAGTTGAGGACACACATCACAAATAAGTTTCTGAGAATGCTTCTGTCTAGTTTTTATTTGAAGGTATTTCCTTTCTCTCCATAGGCCTGAAAGCGCTTGAAATGCCCACTTCCAGATACTAGAGAAAGAGTGTTTCAAACCTGCTCTATGAAAGGGAATGTTCAATTCTGTGACTTGAATGCAAACATCACAAAGAAGTTCCTGAGAATGCTTCTCTCTAGATATTATATGTCATCCCGTTTCCAACGAAATCCTCAAAGCTATCCAAATATCCACTTGCAGATTCTACAAAAAGAGTGTTTCAAAACTCCTCTGTCAAAAGGATGGTTCAACACTGTTACATGAGTACACACAACACAAAGAAGTTTCTGAGAATGCTTCTTTCTGGTTTCTATGAGAAGATATTTCCTTTTTCACCATAGGACTCAAAGCGCTCGAAATGTCCTCTTCCAGGTAGTGCAGAAAGAGTGTTTCAAACCGGCTCTATGAAAGGAAGTGTTCAACTCCATGAACTGAATGCAAACATCACTGAGAAGTTTCTGAGAATGCTTCTGTTTGATTTTATATGAAGAAATTCCCGTTTCCAACGAAATCTTCAGAGCTATCCACATATCCACATGCAGATTCTACAAAAGGAGTGTTTCCAAAATGCTGTATCAAAACCAAGGTTCAACTCTGTTAGTTGAGGACACACATCACAAATAAGTTTCTGAGAATGCTTCTGTCTAGATTTTATATGAGGATATCCCCTTTCCAACGAATCCCTCTAAGCTATCCAAATATCCACCTGCAGATTCTACAAAAAGAGTGTTTCCAAAATGCTGTATCAAAACAAAGTTTCAACTCTGTTAGTTTAGGACACACATCACAAATAAGTTTCTGAGGATGCTTCTGTCTAGTTTTAATTTGAAGATATTTCCTTTCTCACCATAGGCCTGAAAGCGCTTGAAATGTCCACTTCCAGATAATACAGAATGAGTGTTTCAAACCTGCTCTATCAAAGTGAATGTTCAATTCTGTGACTTCAATGCAAACATCACAAAGTAGTTCCTGAGAATGCTTCTCTCTAGATTTTAAATGTAATCCCGCTTCCAACGAAATCCTCAAATCCATCCGAATATCCACTTTCTGATTCCACAAAAAGATTGTTTTAAAACTGCTCTGTAAAAACAAAAGTTCAAGTCTGTTAGTTGAATACACACATCACAAACAAGTTTCTGAGAATGCTTCCGTCTAGTTTTTATGGGAAGATATTTCCTTTTTCACCATAGGCCTCAAAGCACTCGAAATCTCCACTTCCAGGGAGTGCAGAAAGAGTGTTTCAAACCTGCTCTGTAAAAGAATATTTAACTCTGTGACTTGAATGCAAACATCACAAAGCAGTTTCTGACAATGCTTCCGTCTAGATTTTTTATGAAGATATTCCCGTTTCCAACGAAATCTTCAAAGCTATCTAAATATCAACTTGCAGATTCTACTAAAGGAATGTTTCCAAAATGCTGTATCCAAGCAATGGTTCAACTCTGTTAATTGAGGACATACAGCACAAAGAAGTTTCTGAGAATGCTCCTGTCTGGATTTTATAGGAAGATAACCCGTTTCCAACGAAATCCTCAAAGCTATCCAAATATCCACTTGCAGATTCTACCAAAAGAGTGTTTCAAAACTGCTCTGTCAAAAGGAAGGTTCAACACTGTTACTTGAGTACACACAACACAAAGAAGTTTCTGAGAATGCTTGTTTCTGGTTTTTATGAGAAGATATTTCCTTTTTCACCATAGGCCTCAAAGAGCTCGAAATGTCCGCTTCCAGGTAGTGCAGAAAGAGTGTTTCAAACCTGCTCTATGAAAGGAAGTGTTCAACTCTACTGAGTTGAATGCAAACATCACAGAGATGTTTCCGAGAATGCTTCTGTCTTGATTTTATATGAAGATATTCCGGTTTCCAACGAAATCTTCAAAGCTATCCAAATATCCACCTGCAGATTCTACAAAAGGAGTGTTTCCAAAATGCTGTATCAAAACAAAGGTTCAACTCTGTTAGTTGAGGACACACATCACAAATAAGTTTCTGAGAATGCTTCTGTCTAGTTTTTATTTGAAGGTATTTCCTTTCTCTCCATAGGCCTGAAAGAGCTTGAAATGCCCACTTCCAGATACTAGAGAAAGAGTGTTTCAAACCTGCTCTATGAAAGGGAATGTTCAATCCTGTGACTTGAATGCAAACATCACAAAGAAGTTCCTGAGAATGCTTCTCTCTAGATATTATATGTCATCCCGTTTCCAACGAAATCCTCAAAGCTATCCAAATATCCACTTGCAGATTCTACAAAAAGAGTGTTTCAAAACTCCTCTGTCAAAAGGATGGTTCAACACTGTTACATGAGTACACACAACACAAAGAAGTTTCTGAGAATGCTTCTTTCTGGTTTCTATGAGAAGATATTTCCTTTTTCACCATAGGACTCAAAGCGCTCGAAATGTCCTCTTCCAGGTAGTGCAGAAAGAGTGTTTCAAACCTGCTCTATGAAAGGAAGTGTACAACTCCATGAGCTGAATGCAAACATCACTGAGAAGTTTCTGAGAATGCTTCTGTTTGATTTTATATGAAGAAATTCCCGTTTCCAACGAAATCTTCAGAGCTATCCACATATCCACCTGCAGATTCTACAAAAGGAGTGTTTCCAAAATGCTGTATCAAAACCAAGGTTCAACTCTGTTAGTTGAGGACACACATCACAAATAAGTTTCTGAGAATGCTTCTGTCTAGATTTTATATGAAGATATCCCCTTTCCAACGAATCCCTCTAAGCTATCCAAATATCCACCTGCAGATTCTACAAAAAGAGTGTTTCCAAAATGCTGTATCAAAACAAAGTTTCAACTCTGTTAGTTGAGGACACACATCACAAATAAGTTTGAGGATGCTTCTGTCTAGTTTTTATTTGAAGATATTTCCTTTCTCACCATAGGCCTGAAAGCGCTTGAAATGTCCACTTCCAGATACTACAGAATGAGTGTTTCAAACCTGCTCTATCAAAGTGAATGTTCAATTCTGTGAGTTCAATGCAAACATCACAAAGAAGTTCCTGAGAATGCTTCTCTCTAGATTTTATATGTAATCCCGCTTCCAACGAAATCCTCAGAGCCATCCGAATATCCACTTTCTGATTCCACAAAAAGAGTGTTTTAAAACGGCTCTGTAAAAACAAAAGTTCAACTCTGTTAGTTGAATACACACATCACAAACAAGTTTCTGAGAATGCTTCCGTCTAGTTTTTATGGGAAGATATTTCCTTTTTCACCACAGGCCTCAAAGCGCTCGAAATCTCCACTTCCAGGGAGTGCAGAAAGAGTGTTTCAAACCTGCTCTGTAAAAGAATATTTAACTCTGTGACTTGAATGCAAACATCACAAAGCAGTTTCTGACAATGCTTCCGTCTAGATTTTTTATGAAGATATTCCCGTTTCCAACGAAATCTTCAAAGCTATCTAAATATCAACTTGCAGATTCTACTAAAGGAATGTTTCCAAAATGCTGTATCCAAACAAAGGTTCAACTCTGTGAATTGAGGACATACAGCACAAAGAAGTTTCTGAGAATGCTCCTGTCTGGATTTTATATGAAGATAACCCGTTTCCAACGAAATCCTCAAAGCTCTCCAAATATCCACTTGCAGATTCTACCAAAAGAGTGTTTCAAAACTGCTCTGTCAAAAGGAAGGTTCAACACTGTTACTTGAGTACACACAAGACAAAGAAGTTTCTGAGAATGCTTCTTTCTGGTTTTTATGAGAAGATATTTCCTTTTTCACCATAGGCCTCAAAGCGCTCGAAATGTCCCCTTCCAGGTAGTGCAGAAAGAGTGTTTCAAACCTGCTCTATGAAAGGAAGTGTTCAACTCTACTGAGTTGAATGCAAACATCACTGAGATGTTTCCGAGAATGCTTCTGTCTTGATTTTATATGAAGATATTCCGGTTTCCAACGAAATCTTCAAAGCTATCCACATATCCACCTGCAGATTCTACAAAAGGAGTGTTTCCAAAATGCTGTATCAAAACAAAGGTTCAACTCTGTTAGTTGAGGACACACATCACAAATAAGTTTCTGAGAATGCTTCTGTCTAGTTTTTATTTGAAGGTATTTCCTTTCTCTCCATAGGCCTGAAAGCGCTTGAAATGCCCACTTCCAGATACTAGAGAAAGAGTGTTTCAAACCTGCTCTATGAAAGGGAATGTTCAATTCTGTGACTTGAATGCAAACATCACAAAGAAGTTCCTGAGAATGCTTCTGTCTAGATTTAATATGAAGATAACCCGTTTCCAACGAAATCCTCAAAGCTATCCAAATATCCACTTGCAGATTCTACAAAAAGAGTGTTTCAAAACTGCTCTGTCAAAAGGATGGTTCAACACTGTTACATGAGTACACACAACACAAAGAAGTTTCTGAGAACGCTTCTTTCTGGTTTTTATGAGAAGGATATTTCCTTTTTCACCATAGGCCTCAAAGCGCTCGAAATGTCCACTTCCTGGTAGTGCAGAAAGAGTGTTTCAAAGCTGCTCTATGAAAGGAAGTGTTCAACTCCATGAGCTGAATGCAAACATCACAGAGAAGTTTCTGAGAATGCTTCTGTTTGATTTTATATGAAGAAATTCCCGTTTCCAACGAAATCTTCAGAAGCTATCCACATATCCACCTGCAGATTCTACAAAAGGAGTGTTTCCAAAATGCTGTATCAAAACCAAAGTTCAACTCTGTTAGTTGAGGACACACATCACAAATAAGTTTCTGAGAATGCTTCTGTCTAGTTTTTATTCGAAGATATTTCCTTTCTCACCATAGGCCTGAAAGCGCTTGAAATGTCCACTTCCAGATACTACAGAATGAGTGTTTCAAACCTGCTCTATAAAAGTGAATGTTCAATTCCGTGACTTCAATGCAAACATCAGAAAGAAGTTCCTGAGAATGCTTCTCTCTAGATTTTATACGTAATCCCGCTTCCAACGAAATCCTCAGAGCCATCCGAATATCCACTTTCTGATTCCACAAAAAGAGTGTTTTAAAACGGCTCTGTAAAAACAAAAGTTCAACTCTGTTAGTTGAATACACACATCACAAACAAGTTTCTGAGAATGCTTCTGTCTAGTTTTTATGGGAAGATATTTCCTTTTTCACCATAGGCCTCAAAGCGCTCGAAATGTCCACTTCCAGATAGTGCAGAAAGAGTGTTTCAATCGTGCTCTATAAAAGAGAATATTCAACTCTGTGACTTGAATGGAAACATCACAAAGCAGTTTCTGAGAATGCTTCCGTCTAGATTTTCTATGAAGATATTCCCGTTTCCAACGAAATCTTCAAAGCTATCTAAATATCAACTTGCAGATTCTACTCAAGGAATGTTTCCAAAATGCTGTATCCAAGCAATGGTTCAACTCTGTTAATTGAGGACATACAGCACAAAGAAGTTTCTGAGAATGCTTCTGTCTAGATTTTATATGAAGATATCCCGTTTCCAACGAAATCCTCAAAGCTATCCAAATATCCACTTGCAGATTCTACAAAAAGATTGTTTCAAAACTGCTGTGTCAAAAGGAAGGTTCAACTCTGTTACTTGAGTACACACATCAAAAAGAAGTTTCTGAGAATGCTTGTTTCTGGTTTTTATGAGAAGATATTTCCTTTTTCACCATAGGCCTCAAAGCGCTGCAAATGTCCACTTCCAAATATTACAAAAAGAGTGTTTCAAACCTGCTCTATGAAAGGAAGTTTTCAACTCTATGAGTGGAATGCAAACATCACAGAGAAGTTTCTGAGAATGCATCTGTCTTGAGTTTCTATGCAGAAATTCCCGTTTCCAACGAAATCTTAAAATCTATCCAAATATCCACCTGCAGATCCTACAAAAGGAGTGTTTCCAAAATGCTGTATCAAAACAAAGGTTCAACTGTGTTCGTTTAGGACACACATCACAAATAAGTTTCTGAGAATCCTTCTGTCTAGTTTTTATTTGAAGATATTTCCTTTCTCCCCATAAGGCCTGAAAGCGCTTGAAATGTCCACTTCCAGATACTACAGAAAGAGTGTTTCAAACCTGCACTATGAAAAGGAATGTTCAATTCTGTGACTTGAATGCAAACATCAGAAAGAAGTTCCTGAGAATGCTTCTCTCTAGATTTTATACGTCATCCCGTTTCCAACGAAATCCACAAAGCTATCCAATTATCCACTTTCAGATTCCACAAAAAGAGTGTTTTGAATTGCTCTGTAACAGAAATGTTCAACTCTGTTAGTTGAATACACACATCACAAACAAGTTTCTGAGACGGCTTCTGTCTAGTTTTTATGGGAAGATATTTCCTTTTAACCATAGGCCTCAAAGAGCTCGAAATATCCACTTCCAGGTAGTGCCGAAAGAGTGTTTCAAACCTACTCTATAAAAGGGAATATTCAACTCTGTGACTTGAATGCAAACATCACAAAGCAGTTTCTGAGAATGCTTCCGTCTAGATTTTCTATGAAGATATTCCCGTTTCCAACGAAATCTTCAAAGCTATCTAAATATCAACTTGCAGATTCTACTAAAGGAATGTCTCCAAAATGCTGTATCCAAACAAAGGTTCAGCTCTGTGAATTGAGGACATACAGCACAAAGAAGTTTCTGAGAATGCTCCTGTCTGGATTTTATAGGAAGATAACCCGTTCCCAACGAAATCCTCAAAGCTATCCAAATATCCACTTGCAGATTCTACCAAAAGAGTGTTTCAAAACTACTCTGTCAAAAGGAAGGTTCAACACTGTTACTTGAGTACACACAACACAAAGAAGTTTCTGAGAATGCTTCTTTCTGGTTTTTATGAGAAGATATTTCCTTTTTCACCATAGGCCTCAAAGCGCTGCAAATGTCCACTTCGAAATATTACAAAAAGAGTGTTTCAAACCTGCTCTATGAAAGGAAGTTTTCAACTCTATGAGTGGAATGCAAACATCACAGAGAAGTTTCTGAGAATGCATCTGTCTTGGGTTTATATGAAGAAATTCCCGTTTCCAACGAAATCTTAAAATCTATCCAAATATCCACCTGCAGATCCTACAAAAGGAGTGTTTCCAAAATGCTGTATCAAAACAAAGTTTCAACTGTGTTCGTTTAGGACACACATCACAAATAAGTTTCTGAGAATCCTTCTGTCTAGTTTTTATTTGAAGATATTTCCTTTCTCCCCGTAGGCCTGAAAGCGCTTGAAATGTCCACTTCCAGATACTACAGAAAGAGTGTTTCAAACCTGCACTCTGAAAAGGAATGTTCAATTCTGTGACTTGAATGCAAACATCAGAAAGAAGTTCCTGAGAATGCTTCTCTCTAGATTTTATACGTCATCCCGTTTCCAACGAAATCCACAAAGCTATCCAATTATCCACTTTCAGATTCCACAGAAAGAGTGTTTTAAAATTGCTCTGTAACAGAAATGTTCAACTCTGGTAGTTGAATACACACATCACAAACAAGTTTCTGAGACGGGCTTCTGTCTAGTTTTTATGGGAAGATATTTCCTTTTAACCATAGGCCTCAAAGAGCTCGAAATATCCACTTCCAGGTAGTGCCGAAAGAGTGTTTCAAACCTACTCTATAAAAGGGAATATTCAACTCTGTGACTTGAATGCAAACATCACAAAGCAGTTTCTGAGAATGCTTCCGTCTAGATTTTCTATGAAGATATTCCCGTTTCCAACGAAATCTTCAAAGCTATCTAAATATCAACTTGCAGATTCTACTAAAGGAATGTCTCCAAAATGCTGTATCCAAACAAAGGTTCAGCTCTGTGAATTGAGGACATACAGCACAAAGAAGTTTCTGAGAATGCTCCTGTCTGGATTTTATATGAAGATAACCCGTTTCCAACGAAATCCTCAAAGCTATCCAAATATCCACTTGCAGATTCTACCAAAAGAGTGTTTCAAAACTGCTCTGTCAAAAGGAAGGTTCAACACTGTTACTTGAGTACACACAACACAAAGAAGTTTCTGAGAATGCTTCTTTCTGGTTTTTATGAGAAGATATTTCCTTTTTCACCATAGGCCTCAAAGCGCTCGAAATGTCCGCTTCCAGGTAGTGCAGAAAGAGTGTTTCAAACCTGCTCTATGAAAGGAAGTGTTCAACTCTACTGAGTTGAATGCAAACATCACAGAGATGTTTCCGAGAATGCTTCTGTCCTGATTTTATATGAAGATATTCCGGTTTCCAACGAAATCTTCAAAGCTATCCAAATATCCACCTGCAGATTCTACAAAAGGAGTGTTTCCAAAATGCTGTATCAAAACCAAGGTTCAACTCTGTTAGTTGAGGACACACATCACAAATAAGTTTCTGAGAATGCTTCTGTCTAGATTTTATATGAAGATATCCCCTTTCCAACGAATCCCTCTAAGCTATCCAAATATCCACCTGCAGATTCTACAAAAAGAGTGTTTACAAAATGCTGTATCAAAACAAAGTTTCAACTCTGTTAGTTGAGGACACACATCACAAATAAGTTTCTGAGGATGCCTTCTCTCTAGATATTATATGTCATCCCGTTTCCAACGAAATCCTCAAAGCTATCCAAATATCCACTTGCAGATTCTACCAAAAGAGTGTTTCAAAACTACTCTGTCAAAAGGAAGGTTCAACACTGTTACTTGAGTACACACAACACAAAGAAGTTTCTGAGAATGCTTCTTTCTGGTTTTTATGAGAAGATATTTCCTTTTTCACCATAGGCCTCAAAGCGCTCGAAATGTCCGCTTCCAGGTAGTGCAGAAAGAGTGTTTCAAACCTGCTCTATGAAAGGAAGTGTTCAACTCTACTGAGTTGAATGCAAACATCACAGAGATGTTTCCGAGAATGCTTCTGTCTTGATTTTATATGAAGATATTCCGGTTTCCAACGAAATCTTCAAAGCTATCCACATATCCACCTGCAGATTCTACAAAAGGAGTGTTTCCAAAATGCTGTATCAAAACAAAGGTTCAACTCTGTTAGTTGAGGACACACATCACAAATAAGTTTCTGAGAATGCTTCTGTCTAGTTTTTATTTGAAGGTATTTCCTTTCTCTCCATAGGCCTGAAAGCGCTTGAAATGCCCACTTCCAGATACTAGAGAAAGAGTGTTTCAAACCTGCTCTATGAAAGGGAATGTTCAATTCTGTGACTTGAATGCAAACATCACAAAGAAGTTCCTGAGAATTCTTCTCTCTAGATATTATATGTCATCCCGTTTCCAACGAAATCCTCAAAGCTATCCAAATATCCACTTGCAGATTCTACAAAAAGAGTGTTTCAAAACTGCTCTGTCAAAAGGATGGTTCAACACTGTTACATGAGTACACACAACACAAAGAAGTTTCTGAGAATGCTTCTTTCTGGTTTTTATGAGAAGATATTTCCTTTTTCACCATAGGCCTCAAAGCGCTCGAAATGTCCACTTCCTGGTAGTGCAGAAAGAGTGTTTCAAACCTGCTCTATGAAAGGAAGTGTTCAACTCCATGAGCTGAATGCAAACATCACAGAGAAGTTTCTGAGAATGCTTCTGTTTGATTTTATATGAAGAAATTCCCGTTTCCAACGAAATCTTCAAAGCTATCCACATATCCACCTGCAGATTCTACAAAAGGAGTGTTTCCAAAATGCTGTATCAAAACCAAGGTTCCACTCTGTTAGTTGAGGACACACATCACAAATAAGTTTCTGAGAATGCTTCTGTCTAGATTTTATATGAAGATATCCCCTTTCCAACGAATCCCTCTAAGCTATCAAAATATCCACCTGCAGATTCTACAAAAAGAGTGTTTCCAAAATGCTGTATCAAAACAAAGTTTTAACTCTGTTAGTTGAGGACACACATCACAAATAAGTTTCTGAGGATGCTTCTGTCTAGTTTTTATTCGAAGATATTTCCTTTCTCACCATAGGCCTGAAAGCGCTTGAAATGTCCACTTCCAGATACTACAGAATGAGTGTTTCAAACCTGCTCTATCAAAGTGAATGTTCAATTCTGTGACTTCAAAGCAAACATCACAAAGAAGTTCCTGAGAATGCTTCTCTCTAGATTTTATACGTAATCCCGCTTCCAACGAAATCCTCAGAGCCATCCGAATATCCACTTTCTGATTCCACAAAAAGAGTGTTTTAAAACGGCTCTGTAAAAACAAAAGTTCAACTCTGTTAGTTGAATACACACATCACAAACAAGTTTCTGAGAATGCTTCTGTCTAGTTTTTATGGGAAGATATTTCCTTTTTCACCATAGGCCTCAAAGCGCTCGAAATGTCCGCTTCCAGATAGTGCAGAAAGAGTGTTTCAAACGTGCTCTATAAAAGGGAATATTCAACTCTGTGACTTGAATGGAAACATCACAAAGCAGTTTCTGAGAATGCTTCCCTCTAGATTTTATATGGAGATATTCCCTTTTCCAACGAAATCTTCAAATCTATCTAAATATCAACTTGCAGATTCTACTCAAGGAATGTTTCCAAAATGCTGTATCCAGGCAATGGTTCAACTCTGTTAATTGAGGACATACAGCACAAAGAAGTTTCTGAGAATGCTTCTGTCTAGATTTTATATGAAGATATCCCGTTTCCAACGAAATCCTCAAAGCTATCCAAATATCCACTTGCAGATTCTACAAAAAGATTGTTTCAAAACTGCTGTGTCAAGAGGAAGGTTCAACTCTGTTACTTGAGTACACACATCAAAAAGAAGTTTCTGAGAATGCTTTGTTTCTGGTTTTTATGAGAAGATATTTCCTTTTTCACCATAGGCCTCAAAGCGCTGCAAATTTCCACTTCCAAATATTACAAAAAGAGTGTTTCAAACGTGCTCTATGAAAGGAAGTTTTCAACTCTATGAGTGGAATGCAAACATCACAGAGAAGTTTCGGAGAATGCATCTGTCTTGAGTTTATATGAAGAAATTCCCGTTTCCAACGAAATCTTAAAATCTATCCAAATATCCACCTGCAGATTCTACAAAGGGAGTGTTTCCAAAATGCTGTATCAAAACAAAGGTTCAACTGTGTTCGTTTAGGACACACATCACCAATAAGTTTCTGAGAATCCTTCTCTCTAGTTTTTATTTGAAGATATTTCCTTTCTCCCCGTAGGCCTGAAAGCGCTTGAAATGTCCACTT
The DNA here is from genome assembly GCF_000001405.40 of Homo sapiens. Lineage (NCBI taxonomy): Eukaryota > Metazoa > Chordata > Mammalia > Primates > Hominidae > Homo > Homo sapiens. Next base: position 51,146,372 of record NC_000004.12, on the reverse strand, counting down.
CCAGATACTACAGAAAGAGTGTTTCAAACCTGCACTCTGAAAAGGAATGTTCAATTCTGTGACTTGAATGCAAACATCAGAAAGAAGTTCCTGAGAATGCTTCTCTCTAGATTTTATACGTCATCCCGCTTCCAACGAAATCCACAAAGCTATCCAATTATCCACTTTCAGATTCCACAAAGAGTGTTTTAAAATTGCTCTGTAACAGAAATGTTCAACTCTGTTAGTTGAATACACACATCACAAACAAGTTTCTGAGACGGCTTCTGTCTAGTTTTTATGGGAAGATATTTCCTTTTAACCATAGGCCTCAAAGAGCTCGAAATATCCACTTCCAGGTAGTGCCGAAAGAGTGTTTCAAACCTACTCTATAAAAGGGAATATTCAACTCTGTGACTTGAATGCAAACATCACAAAGCAGTTTCTGAGAATGCTTCCGTCTAGATTTTCTATGAAGATATTCCCGTTTCCAACGAAATCTTCAAAGCTATCTAAATATCAACTTGCAGATTCTACTAAAGGAATGTCTCCAAAATGCTGTATCCAAACAAAGGTTCAGCTCTGTGAATTGAGGACATACAGCACAAAGAAGTTTCTGAGAATGCTCCTGTCTGGATTTTATAGGAAGATAACCCGTTTCCAACGAAATCCTCAAAGCTCTCCAAATATCCACTTGCAGATTCTACCAAAAGAGTGTTTCAAAACTGCTCTGTCAAAAGGAAGGTTCAACACTGTTACTTGAGTACACACAACACAAAGAAGTTTCTGAGAATGCTTCTTTCTGGTTTTTATGAGAAGATATTTCCTTTTTCACCATAGGCCTCAAAGCGCTCGAAATGTCCGCTTCCAGGTAGTGCAGAAAGAGTGTTTCAAACCTGCTCTATGAAAGGAAGTGTTCAACTCTACTGAGTTGAATGCAAACATCACAGAGATGTTTCCGAGAATGCTTCTGTCTTGATTTTATATGAAGATATTCCGGTTTCCAACGAAATCTTCAAAGCTATCCAAATATCCACCTGCAGATTCTACAAAAGGAGTGTTTCCAAAATGCTGTATGAAAACAAAGGTTCAACTCTGTTAGTTGAGGACACACATCACAAATAAGTTTCTGAGAATGCTTCTGTCTAGTTTTTATTTGAAGGTATTTCCTTTCTCTCCATAGGCCTGAAAGCGCTTGAAATGCCCACTTCCAGATACTAGAGAAAGAGTGTTTCAAACCTGCTCTATGAAAGGGAATGTTCAATTCTGTGACTTGAATGCAAACATCACAAAGAAGTTCCTGAGAATGCTTCTCTCTAGATATTATATGTCATCCCGTTTCCAACGAAATCCTCAAAGCTATCCAAATATCCACTTGCAGATTCTACAAAAAGAGTGTTTCAAAACTGCTCTGTCAAAAGGATGGTTCAACACTGTTACATGAGTACACACAACACAAAGAAGTTTCTGTGAATGCTTCTTTCTGGTTTCTATGAGAAGATATTTCCTTTTTCACCATAGGACTCAAAGCGCTCGAAATGTCCTCTTCCAGGTAGTGCAGAAAGAGTGTTTCAAACCGGCTCTATGAAGGGAAGTGTTCAACTCCATGAACTGAATGCAAACATCACTGAGAAGTTTCTGAGAATGCTTCTGTTTGATTTTATATGAAGAAATTCCCGTTTCCAACGAAATCTTCAGAGCTATCCACATATCCACCTGCAGATTCTACAAAAGGAGTGTTTCCAAAATGCTGTATCAAAACCAAGGTTCAACTCTGTTAGTTGAGGACACACATCACAAATAAGTTTCTGAGAATGCTTCTGTCTAGATTTTATATGAAGATATCCCCTTTCCAACGAATCCCTCTAAGCTATCCAAATATCCACCTGCAGATTCTACAAAAAGAGTGTTTCCAAAATGCTGTATCAAAACCAAGGTTCAACTCTGTTAGTTGAGGACACACATCACAAATAAGTTTCTGAGGATGCTTCTGTCTAGTTTTTATTCGAAGATATTTCCTTTCTCACCATAGGCCTGAAAGCGCTTGAAATGCCCACTTCCAGATACTACAGAATGAGTGTTTCAAACCTGCTCTATAAAAGTGAATGTTCAATTCCGTGACTTCAATGCAAACATCAGAAAGAAGTTCCTGAGAATGCTTCTCTCTAGATTTTATACGTAATCCCGCTTCCAACGAAATCCTCAGAGCCATCCGAATATCCACTTTCTGATTCCACAAAAAGAGTGTTTTAAAACGGCTCTGTAAAAACAAAAGTTCAACTCTGTTAGTTGAATACACACATCACAAACAAGTTTCTGAGAATGCTTCCGTCTAGTTTTTATGGGAAGATATTTCCTTTTTCACCATAGGCCTCAAAGCGCTCGAAATCTCCACTTCCAGGGAGTGCAGAAAGAGTGTTTCAAACCTGCTCTATAAAAGAATATTTAACTCTGTGACTTGAATGCAAACATCACAAAGCAGTTTCTGACAATGCTTCCGTCTAGATTTTTTATGAAGATATTCCCGTTTCCAAAGAAATCTTCAAAGCTATCTAAATATCAACTTGCAGATTCTACTAAAGGAATGTTTCCAAAATGCTGTATCCAAACAAAGGTTCAACTCTGTGAATTGAGGACATACAGCACAAAGAAGTTTCTGAGAATGCTTCTGTCTAGATTTAATATGAAGATAACCCGTTTCCAACGAAATCCTCAAAGCTATCCAAATATCCACTTGCAGATTCTACAAAAAGAGTGTTTCAAAACTGCTCTGTCAAAAGGATGGTTCAACACTGTTACATGAGTACACACAACACAAAGAAGTTTCTGAGAATGCTTCTTTCTGGTTTTTATGAGAAGATATTTCCTTTTTCACCATAGGCCTCAAAGCGCTCGAAATGTCCACTTCCAGGTAGTGCAGAAAGAGTGTTTCAAACCTGCTCTATGAAAGGAAGTGTTCAACTCCATGAGCTGAATGCAAACATCACAGAGAAGTTTCTGAGAATGCTTCTGTTTGATTTTATATGAAGAAATTCCCGATTCCAACGAAATCTTCAAAGCTATCCACATATCCACCTGCAGATTCTACAAAAGGAGTGTTTCCAAAATGCTGTATCAAAACCAAGGTTCAACTCTGTTAGTTGAGGGCACACATCACAAATAAGTTTCTGAGAATGCTTCTGTCTAGATTTTATGTGAAGATATCCCCTTTCCAACGAATCCCTCTAAGCTATCCAAATAGCCACCTGCAGATTCTACGAAAGGAGTTTTTCCAAAAGGCTGTATCAAAACAAAGTTTCAACTCTGTTAGTTGAGGACACACATCACAAATAAGTTTCTGAGGATGCTTCTGTCTAGTTTTTATTTGAAGATATCTCCTTTCTCACCATAGGCCTGAAAGCGCTTGAAATGTCCACTTCCAGATACTACAGAATGAGTGTTTCAACCCTGCTCTATAAAAGTGAATGTTCAATTCTGTGACTTCAATGCAAACATCACAAAGAAGTTCCTGAGAATGCTTCTCTCTAGATTTTATATGTAATCCCGCTTCCAACGAAATCCTCAATGCCATCCGAATATCCACTTTCTGATTCCACAAAAAGAGTGTTTTAAAACGGCTCTGTAAAAACAAAAGTTCAACTCTGTTAGTTGAATACACCCATCACAAACAAGTTTCTGAGAATGCTTCTGTCTAGTTTTTATGGGAAGATATTTCCTTTTTCACCATAGGCCTCAAAGCGCTCGAAATGTCCACTTCCAGATAGTGCAGAAAGAGTGTTTCAAACGTGCTCTATAAAAGAGAATATTCAACTCCGTGACTTGAATGGGAACGTCACAAAGCGGTTTCTGAGAATGCTTCCGTCTAGATTTTATATGAAGATATTCCCGTTTCCAACGAAATCTTCAAAGCTATCTACATATCAACTTGCAGATTCTACTCAAGGAATGTTTCCAAAATGCTATATCCAAGCCATGGTTCAACTCTGTTAATTGAGGACATACAGCACAAAGAAGTTTCTGAGAATGCTTCTGTCTAGATTTTATATGAAGATATCCCGTTTCCAATGAAATCCTCAAAACTATCCAAATATCCACTTGCAGATTCTACAAAAAGATTGTTTCAAAACTGCTGTGTCAAAAGGAAGGTTCAACTCTGTTACTTGAGTACACACATCAAAAAGAAGTTTCTGAGAATGCTTGTTTCTGGTTTTTATGAGAAGATATTTCCTTTTTCACCATAGGCCTCAAAGCGCTGCAAATGTCCACTTCCAAATATTACAGAAAGAGTGTTTCAAACCTGCTCTATGAAAGGAAGTTTTCAACTCTATGAGTGGAATGCAAACATCACAGAGAAGTTTCTGAGAATGCATCCGTCTTGAGTTTCTATGAAGAAATTCCCGTTTCCAACGAAATCTTAAAATCTATCCAAATATCCACCTGCAGATTCTACAAAAGGAGTGTTTCCAAAATGGTGTATCAAAACAAAGGTTCAACTGTGTTCATTTAGGACACACATCACAAATAAGTTTCTGAGAAGCCTTCTGTCTAGTTTTTATTTGAAGATATTTCCTTCCTCCCCAGAGGCCTGAAAGCGCTTGAAATGTCCCCTTCCAGATACTACAGAAAGAGTGTTTCAAACCTGCACTATGAAAAGGAATGTTCAATTCTGTGACTTGAATGCAAACATCAGAAAGAAGTTCCTGAGAATGCTTTCTCTCTAGTATTTATACGTCATCCCGTTTCCAACGAAATCCACAAAGCTATCCAATTATCCACTTTCAGATTCCACAAAAAGAGTGTTTTAAAATTGCTCTGTAACAGAAATGTTCAACTCTGGTAGTTGAATACACACATCACAAACAAGTTTCTGAGACGGCTTCTGTCTAGTTTTTATGGGAAGATATTTCCTTTTAACCATAGGCCTCAAAGAGCTCGAAATATCCACTTCCAGGTAGTGCCGAAAGAGTGTTTCAAACCTACTCTATAAAAGGGAATATTCAACTCTGTGACTTGAATGCAAACATCACAAAGCAGTTTCTGAGAATGCTTCCGTCTAGATTTTCTATGAAGATATTCCCGTTTCCAACGAAATCTTCAAAGCTATCTAAATATCAACTTGCAGATTCTACTAAAGGAATGTCTCCAAAATGCTGTATCCAAACAAAGGTTCAGCTCTGTGAATTGAGGACATACAGCACAAAGAAGTTTCTGAGAATGCTCCTGTCTGGATTTTATAGGAAGATAACCCGTTTCCAACGAAATCCTCAAAGCTCTCCAAATATCCACTTGCAGATTCTACCAAAAGAGTGTTTCAAAACTGCTCTGTCAAAAGGAAGGTTCAACACTGTTATTTGAGTACACACAACACAAAGAAGTTTCTGAGAATGCTTCTTTCTGGTTTTTATGAGAAGATATTTCCTTTTTCACCATAGGCCTCAAAGCGCCCGAAATGTCTGCTTCCAGGTAGTGCAGAAAGAGTGTTTCAAACCTGCTCTGTGAAAGGAAGTGTTCAACTCTAATGAGTTGAATGCAAACATCACAGAGATGTTTCCGAGAATGTTTCTGTCTTGATTTTATATGAAGATATTCCGGTTTCCAACGAAATCTTCAAAGCTATCCAAATATCCACCTGCAGATTCTACAAAAGGAGTGTTTCCAAAATGCTGTATCAAAACAAAGGTTCAACTCTGTTAGTTGAGGACACACATCACAAATAAGTTTCTGAGAATGCTTCTGTCTAGTTTTTATTTGAAGGTATTTCCTTTCTCTCCATAGGCCTGAAAGCGCTTGAAATGCCCACTTCCAGATACTAGAGAAAGAGTGTTTCAAACCTGCTCTATGAAAGGGAATGTTCAATTCTGTGACTTGAATGCAAACATCACAAAGAAGTTCCTGAGAATGCTTCTCTCTAGATATTATATGTCATCCCGTTTCCAACGAAATCCTCAAAGCTATCCAAATATCCACTTGCAGATTCTACAAAAAGAGTGTTTCAAAACTCCTCTGTCAAAAGGATGGTTCAACACTGTTACATGAGTACACACAACACAAAGAAGTTTCTGAGAATGCTTCTTTCTGGTTTCTATGAGAAGATATTTCCTTTTTCACCATAGGACTCAAAGCGCTCGAAAAGTCCTCTTCCAGGTAGTGCAGAAAGAGTGTTTCAAACCTGCTCTATGAAAGGAAGTGTTCAACTCCATGAGCTGAATGCAAACATCACTGAGAAGTTTCTGAGAATGCTTCTGTTTGATTTTATATGAAGAAATTCCCGTTTCCAACGAAATCTTCAGAGCTATCCACATATCCACCTGCAGATTCTACAAAAGGAGTGTTTCCAAAATGCTGTATCAAAACCAAGGTTCAACTCTGTTAGTTGAGGACACACATCACAAATAAGTTTCTGAGAATGCTTCTGTCTAGATTTTATATGAAGATATCCCCTTTCCAACGAATCCCTCTAAGCTATCAAAATATCCACCTGCAGATTCTACAAAAAGAGTGTTTCCAAAATGCTGTATCAAAACAAAGTTTTAACTCTGTTAGTTGAGGACACACATCACAAATAAGTTTCTGAGGATGCTTCTGTCTAGTTTTTATTCGAAGATATTTCCTTTCCCACCATAGGCCTGAAAGCGCTTGAAATGTCCACTTCCAGATACTACAGAATGAGTGTTTCAAACCTGCTCTATCAAAGTGAATGTTCAATTCTGTGACTTCAATGCAAACATCACAAAGAAGTTCCTGAGAATGCTTCTCTCTAGATTTTATATGTAATCCCGCTTCCAACGAAATCCTCAGAGCCATCCGAATATCCACTTTCTGATTCCACAAAAAGGGTGTTTTAAAACGGCTCTGTAAAAACAAAAGTTCTACTCTGTTAGTTGAATACACACATCACAAACAAGTTTCTGAGAATGCTTCTGTCTAGTTTTTATGGGAAGATATTTCCTTTTTCACCATAGGCCTCAAAGCGCTCGAAATGTCCACTTCCACATAGTGCAGAAAGATTGTTTCAAACGTGCTCTATAAAAGGGAATATTCAACTCTGTGACTTGAAGGGAAACATCATAAAGCAGTTTCTGAGAATGCTTCCCTCTTGATTTTATATGGAGATATTCCCTTTTCCAACGAAATCTTCAAATCTATCTAAATATCAACTTGCAGATGCTACTCAAGGAATGTTTCCAAAATGCTGTATCCAAGCAATGGTTCAACTCTGTTAATTGAGGACATACAGCACAAAGAAGTTCCTGAGAATGCTTCTGTCTAGATTTTATATGAAGATATCCCGTTTCCAACGAAATCCTCAAATCTATCCAAATATCCACTTGCAGATTCTACAAAAAGATTGTTTCAAAACTGCTGTGTCAAAAGGAAGGTTCAACTCTGTTACTTGAGTACACACATCAAAAAGAAGTTTCTGAGAATGCTTGTTTCTGGTTTTTATGAGAAGATATTTCCTTTTTCACCATAGGCCTCAAAGCGCTGCAAATGTCCACTTCCAAATATTACAAAAAGAGTGTTTCAAACCTGCTCTATGAAAGGAAGTTTTCAACTCTATGAGTGGAATGCAAACATCAAAGAGAAGTTTCTGAGATTGAATCTGTCTTGAGTTTCTATGAAGAAATTCCCGTTTCCAACGAAATCTTAAAATCTATCCAAATATCCACCTGCAGATTCTACAAAGGGAGTGTTTCCAAAATGCTGTATCAAAACAAAGGTTCAACTGTGTTCGTTTAGGACACACATCACCTATAAGTTTCTGAGAATCCTTCTGTCTAGTTTTTATTTCAAGATATTTCCTTTCTCCCCATAGGCTTGAAAGCGCTTGAAATGTCCACTTCCAGATACTACAGAGTGTTTCAAACCTGCACTATGAAAAGGAATGTTCAATTCTGTGACTTGAATGCAAACATCAGAAAGAAGTTCCTGAGAATGCTTCTCTCTAGATTTTAAACGTCATCCCGTTTCCAACGAAATACACAAAGCTATCCAATTATCCACTTTCAGATTCCACCAAAAGAGTGTTTTAAAACTGCTCTGTAAAAAGAAATGTTCAACGCTCTTAGTTGAATACACACATCTCAAACAAGTTTCTAAGAAGGCTTCCGTCTAGTTTTTATGGGAAGATATTTCCTTTTTCACCATAGGCCTCAAAGCGCTCGAAATCTCCATTTCCAGGGAGTGCAGAAAGAGTGTTTCAAACCTGCTCTGTAAAAGAATATTTAACTCTGTGACTTGAATGCAAACATCACAAAGCAGTTTCTGACAATGCTTCCGTCTAGATTTTCTATGAAGATATTCCCGTTTCCAACGAAATCTTCAAAGCTATCTAAATATCAACTTGCAGATTCTACTAAAGGAATGTCTCCAAAATGCTGTATCCAAACAAAGGTTCAGCTCTGTGAATTGAGGACATACAGCACAAAGAAGTTTCTGAGAATGCTCCTGTCTGGATTTTATAGGAAGATAACCCGTTTCCAACGAAATCCTCAAAGCTATCCAAATATCCACTTGCAGATTCTACCAAAAGAGTGTTTCAAAACTACTCTGTCAAAAGGAAGGTTCAACACTGTTACTTGAGTACACACAACACAAAGAAGTTTCTGAGAATGCTTCTTTCTGGTTTTTATGAGAAGATATTTCCTTTTTCACCATAGGCCTCAAAGCGCTCGAAATGTCCGCTTCCAGGTAGTGCAGAAAGAGTGTTTCAAACCTGCTCTATGAAAGGAAGTGTTCAACTCTACTGAGTTGAATGCAAACATCACAGAGATGTTTCCGAGAATGCTTCTGTCTTGATTTTATATGAAGATATTCCGGTTTCCAACGAAATCTTCAAAGCTATCCAAATATCCACCTGCAGATTCTACAAAAGGAGTGTTTCCAAAATGCTGTATCAAAACAAAGGTTCAACTCTGTTAGTTGAGGACACACATCACAAATAAGTTTCTGAGAATGCTTCTGTCTAGTTTTTATTTGAAGGTATTTCCTTTCTCTCCATAGGCCTGAAAGCGCTTGAAATGCCCACTTCCAGATACTAGAGAAAGAGTGTTTCAAACCTGCTCTATGAAAGGGAATGTTCAATTCTGTGACTTGAATGCAAACATCACAAAGAAGTTCCTGAGAATGCTTCTCTCTAGATATTATATGTCATCCCGTTTCCAACGAAATCCTCAAAGCTATCCAAATATCCACTTGCAGATTCTACAAAAAGAGTGTTTCAAAACTGCTCTGTCAAAAGGATGGTTCAACACTGTTACATGAGTACACACAACACAAAGAAGTTTCTGAGAATGCTTCTTTCTGGTTTCTATGAGAAGATATTTCCTTTTTCACCATAGGACTCAAAGCGCTCGAAATGTCCTCTTCCAGGTAGTGCAGAAAGAGTGTTTCAAACCGGCTCTATGAAAGGAAGTGTTCAACTCCATGAACTGAATGCAAACATCACTGAGAAGTTTCTGAGAATGCTTCTGTTTGATTTTATATGAAGAAATTCCCGTTTCCAACGAAATCTTCAGAGCTATCCACATATCCACCTGCAGATTCTACAAAAGGAGTGTTTCCAAAATGCTGTATCAAAACCAAAGTTCAACTCTGTTAGTTGAGGACACACATCACAAATAAGTTTCTGAGAATGCTTCTGTCTAGATTCTATATGAAGATATCCCCTTTCCAACGAATCCCTCTAAGCTATCCAAATATCCACCTGCAGATTCTACAAAAAGAGTGTTTCCAAAATGCTGTATCAAAACAAAGTTTCAACTCTGTTAGTTGAGGACACACATCACAAATAAGTTTGAGGATGCTTCTGTCTAGTTTTTATTCGAAGATATTTCCTTTCTCACCATAGGCCTGAAAGCGCTTGAAATGTCCACTTCCAGATACTACAGAATGAGTGTTTCAAACCTGCTCTATAAAAGTGAATGTTCAATTCTGTGACTTCAATGCAAACATCACAAAGAAGTTCCTGAGAATGCTTCTCTCTAGATTTTATACGTAATTCCGCTTCCAACGAAATCCTCAGAGCCATCCGAATATCCACTTTCTGATTCCACAAAAAGAGTGTTTTAAAACGGCTCTGTAAAAACAAAAGTTCAACTCTGTTAGTTGAATACACACATCACAAACAAGTTTCTGAGAATGCTTCTGTCTAGTTTTTATGGGAAGATATTTCCTTTTTCACCATAGGCCTCAAAGCGCTCGAAATGTCCGCTTCCAGATAGTGCAGAAAGAGTGTTTCAAACGTGCTCTATAAAAGGGAATATTCAACTCTGTGACTTGAATGGAAACATCACAAAGCAGTTTCTGAGAATGCTTCCGTCTAGATTTTATATGAAGATATTCCCGTTTCCAACGAATTCTTCAAATCTATCTAAATATCAACTTGCAGATTCTACTAAAGGAATGTTTCCAAAATGCTGTATCCAAGCAATGGTTCAACTCTGTTAATTGAGGACATACAGCACAAAGAAGTTTCTGAGAATGCTTCTGTCTAGATTTTATATGAAGATATCCCGTTTCCAACGAAATCCTCAAAGCTATCCAAATATCCACTTGCAGATTCTACAGAAAGATTGTTTCAAAACTGCTGTGTCAAAAGGAAGGTTCAACTCTGTTACTTGAGTACACACATCAAAAAGCAGTTTCTCAGAATGCTTGTTTCTGGTTTTTATGAGAAGATATTTCCTTTTTCACCATAGGCCTCAAAGCGCTGCAAATGTCCACTTCCAAATATTACAAAAAGAGTGTTTCAAACCTGCTCTATGAAAGGAAGTTTTCAACTCTATGAGTGGAATGCAAACATCACAGAGAAGTTTCTGAGAATGCATCTGTCTTGAGCTTCTATGAAGAAATTCCCGTTTCCAACGAAATCTTAAAATCTATCCAAATATCCACCTGCAGATCCTACAAAAGGAGTGTTTCCAAAATGCTGTATCAAAACAAAGGTTCAACTGTGTTCGTTTAGGACACACATCACAAATAAGTTTCTGAGAATCCTTCTGTCTAGTTTTTATTTGAAGATATTTCCTTTCTCCCCGTAGGCCTGAAAGCGCTTGAAATGTCCACTTCCAGATACTACAGAAAGAGTGTTTCAAACCTGCACTCTGAAAAGGAATGTTCAATTCTGTGACTTGAATGCAAACATCAGAAAGAAGTTCCTGAGAATGCTTCTCTCTAGATTTTATACGTCATCCCGTTTCCAACGAAATCCACAAAGCTATCCAATTATCCACTTTCAGATTCCACAAAAAGAGTGTTTTAAATTGCTCTGTAACAGAAATGTTCAACTCTGTTAGTTGAATACACACATCACAAACAAGTTTCTGAGACGGCTTCTGTCTAGTTTTTATGGGAAGATATTTCCTTTTAACCATAGGCCTCAAAGAGCTCGAAATATCCACTTCCAGGTAGTGCCGAAAGAGTGTTTCAAACCTACTCTATAAAAGGGAATATTCAACTCTGTGACTTGAATGCAAACATCACAAAGCAGTTTCTGAGAATGCTTCCGTCTAGATTTTCTATGAAGATATTCCCGTTTCCAACGAAATCTTCAAAGCTATCTAAATATCAACTTGCAGATTCTACTAAAGGAATGTCTCCAAAATGCTGTATCCAAACAAAGGTTCAGCTCTGTGAATTGAGGACATACAGCACAAAGAAGTTTCTGAGAATGCTCCTGTCTGGATTTTATATGAAGATAACCCGTTTCCAACGAAATCCTCAAAGCTATCCAAATATCCACTTGCAGATTCTACCAAAAGAGTGTTTCAAAACTGCTCTGTCAAAAGGAAGGTTCAACACTGTTACTTGAGTACACACAACACAAAGAAGTTTCTGAGAATGCTTCTTTCTGGTTTTTATGAGAAGATATTTCCTTTTTCACCATAGGCCTCAAAGCGCTCGAAATGTCCGCTTCCAGGTAGGGCAGAAAGAGTGTTTCAAACCTGCTCTATGAAAGGACGTGTTCAACTCTACTGAGTTGAATGCAAACATCACAGAGATGTTTCCGAGAATGCTTCTGTCTTGATTTTATATGAAGATATTCCGGTTTCCAACGAAATCTTCAAAGCTATCCACATATCCACCTGCAGATTCTACAAAAGGAGTGTTTCCAAAATGCTGTATCAAAACAAAGGTTCAACTCTGTTAGTTGAGGACACACATCACAAATAAGTTTCTGAGAATGCTTCTGTCTAGTTTTTATTTGAAGGTATTTCCTTTCTCTCCATAGGCCTGAAAGCGCTTGAAATGCCCACTTCCAGATACTAGAGAAAGAGTGTTTCAAACCTGCTCTATGAAAGGGAATGTTCAATTCTGTGACTTGAATGCAAACATCACAAAGAAGTTCCTGAGAATGCTTCTCTCTAGATATTATATGTCATCCCGTTTCCAACGAAATCCTCAAAGCTATCCAAATATCCATTTGCAGATTCTACAAAAAGAGTGTTTCAAAACTGCTCTGTCAAAAGGATGGTTCAACACTGTTACATGAGTACACACAACACAAAGAAGTTTCTGAGAATGCCTCTTTCTGGTTTCTATGAGAAGATATTTCCTTTTTCACCATAGGACTCAAAGCGCTCGAAATGTCCTCTTCCAGGTAGTGCAGAAAGAGTGTTTCAAACCGGCTCTATGAAGGGAAGTGTTCAACTCCATGAACTGAATGCAAACATCACTGAGAAGTTTCTGAGAATGCTTCTGTTTGATTTTATATGAAGAAATTCCCGTTTCCAACGAAATCTTCAGAGCTATCCACATATCCACCTGCAGATTCTACAAAAGGAGTGTTTCCAAAATGCTGTATCAAAACCAAGGTTCAACTCTGTTAGTTGAGGACACACATCACAAATAAGTTTCTGAGAATGCTTCTGTCTAGATTTTATATGAAGATATCCCCTTTCCAACGAATCCCTCTAAGCTATCCAAATATCCACCTGCAGATTCTACAAAAAGAGTGTTTCCAAAATGCTGTATCAAAACAAAGTTTCAACTCTGTTAGTTGAGGACACACATCACAAATAAGTTTCTGAGGATGCTTCTGTCTAGTTTTTATTCGAAGATATTTCCTTTCTCACCATAGGCCTGAAAGCGCTTGAAATGTCCACTTCCAGATACTACAGAATGAGTGTTTCAAACCTGCTCTATAAAAGTGAATGTTCAATTCCGTGACTTCAATGCAAACATCACAAAGAAGTTCCTAAGAATGCTTCTCTCTAGATTTTATACGTAATCCCGCTTCCAACGAAATCCTCAGAGCCATCCGAATATCCACTTTCTGATTCCACAAAAAGAGTGTTTTAAAACGGCTCTGTAAAAACAAAAGTTCAACTCTGTTAGTTGAATACACACATCACAAACAAGTTTCTGAGAATGCTTCTGTCTAGTTTTTATGGGAAGATATTTCCTTTTTCACCATAGGCCTCAAAGCGCTCGAAATGTCCACTTCCAGATAGTGCAGAAAGAGTGTTTCAAACGTGCTCTATAAAAGAGAATATTCAACTCTGTGACTTGAATGGAAACATCACAAAGCAGTTTCTGAGAATGCCTCCGTCTAGATTTTATATGAAGATATTCCCGTTTCCAACGAAATCTTCAAATCTATCTAAATATCAACTTGCAGATTCTACTAAAGGAATGTTTCCAAAATGCTGTATCCAAGCAATGGTTCAACTCTGTTAATTGAGGACATACAGCACAAAGAAGTTTCTGAGAATGCTTCCTGTCTAGATTTTATATGAAGATATCCCGTTTCCAACGAAATCCTCAAAGCTATCCAAATATCCACTTGCAGATTCTACAAAAAGATTGTTTCAAAACTGCTGTGTCAAAAGGAAGGTTCAACTCTGTTACTTGAGTACACACATCAAAAAGCAGTTTCTGAGAATGCTTGTTTCTGGTTTTTATGAGAAGATATTTCCTTTTTCACCATAGGCCTCAAAGCGCTGCAAATGTCCACTTCCAAATATTACAAAAAGAGTGTTTCAAACCTGCTCTATGAAAGGAAGTTTTCAACTCTATGAGTGGAATGCAAACATCACAGAGAAGTTTCTGAGAATGCATCTGTCTTGAGCTTCTATGAAGAAATTCCCGTTTCCAACGAAATCTTAAAATCTATCCAAATATCCACCTGCAGATCCTACAAAAGGAGTGTTTCCAAAATGCTGTATCAAAACAAAGGTTCAACTGTGTTCGTTTAGGACACACATCACAAATAAGTTTCTGAGAATCCTTCTGTCTAGTTTTTATTTGAAGATATTTCCTTTCTCCCCGTAGGCCTGAAAGCGCTTGAAATGTCCACTTCCAGATACTACAGAAAGAGTGTTTCAAACCTGCACTATGAAAAGGAATGTTCAATTCTGTGACTTGAATGCAAACATCAGAAAGAAGTTCCTGAGAATGCTTCTCTCTAGATTTTATACGTCATCCCGTTTCCAACGAAATCCACAAAGCTATCCAATTATACACTTTCAGATTCCACAAAAAGAGTGTTTTAAATTGCTGTGTAACAGAAATGTTCAACTCTGTTAGTTGAATACACACATCACAAACAAGTTTCTGAGACGGCTTCTGTCTAGTTTTTATGGGAAGATATTTCCTTTTAACCATAGGCCTCAAAGAGCTCGAAATATCCACTTCCAGGTAGTGCCGAAAGAGTGTTTCAAACCTACTCTATAAAAGGGAATATTCAACTCTGTGACTTGAATGCAAACATCACAAAGCAGTTTCTGAGAATGCTTCCGTCTAGATTTTTTATGAAGATATTCCCGTTTCCAACGAAATCTTCAAAGCTATCTAAATATCAACTTGCAGATTCTACTAAAGGAATGTTTCCAAAATGCTGTATCCAAACAAAGGTTCAGCTCTGTGAATTGAGGACATACAGCACAAAGAAGTTTCTGAGAATGCTCCTGTCTGGATTTTATAGGAAGATAACCCGTTTCCAACGAAATCCTCAAAGCTATCCAAATATCCACTTGCAGATTCTACCAAAAGAGTGTTTCAAAACTGCTCTGTCAAAAGGAAGGTTCAACACTGTTACTTGAGTACACACAACACAAAGAAGTTTCTGAGAATGCTTCTTTCTGGTTTTTATGAGAAGATATTTCCTTTTTCACCATAGGCCTCAAAGCGCTCGAAATGTCCGCTTCCAGGTAGTGCAGAAAGAGTGTTTCAAACCTGCTCTATGAAAGGAAGTGTTCAACTCTACTGAGTTGAATGCAAACATCACAGAGATGATTCCGAGAATGCTTCTGTCTTGATTTTATATGAAGATATTCCGGTTTCCAACGAAATCTTCAAAGCTATCCAAATATCCACCTGCAGATTCTACAAAAGGAGTGTTTCCAAAATGCTGTATCAAAACAAAGGTTCAACTCTGTTAGTTGAGGACACACATCACAAATAAGTTTCTGAGAATGCTTCTGTCTAGTTTTTATTTGAAGGTATTTCCTTTCTCTCCATAGGCCTGAAAGCGCTTGAAATGCCCACTTCCAGATACTAGAGAAAGAGTGTTTCAAACCTGCTCTATGAAAGGGAATGTTGAATTCTGTGACTTGAATGCAAACATCACAAAGAAGTTCCTGAGAATGCTTCTCTCTAGATATTATATGTCATCCCGTTTCCAACGAAATCCTCAAAGCTATCCAAATATCCACTTGCAGATTCTACAAAAAGAGTGTTTCAAAACTGCTCTGTCAAAAGGATGGTTCAACACTGTTACATGAGTACACACAACACAAAGAAGTTTCTGAGAATGCTTCTTTCTGGTTTCTATGAGAAGATATTTCCTTTTTCACCATAGGACTCAAAGCGCTCGAAATGTCCTCTTCCAGGTAGTGCAGAAAGAGTGTTTCAAACCTGCTCTATGAAAGGAAGTGTACAACTCCATGAGCTGAATGCAAACATCACTGAGAAGTTTCTGAGAATGCTTCTGTTTGTTTTTATATGAAGAAATTCCCGTTTCCAACGAAATCTTCAGAGCTATCCACATATCCACCTGCAGATTCTACAAAAGGAGTGTTTCCAAAATGCTGTATCAAAACCAAGGTTCAACTCTGTTAGTTGAGGACACACATCACAAATAAGTTTCTGAGAATGCTTCTGTCTAGATTTTATATGAAGATATCCCCTTTCCAACGAATCCCTCTAAGCTATCCAAATATCCACCTGCAGATTCTACAAAAAGAGTGTTTCCAAAATGCTGTATCAAAACAAAGTTTCAACTCTGTTAGTTGAGGACACACATCACAAATAAGTTTGAGGATGCTTCTGTCTAGTTTTTATTCGAAGATATTTCCTTTCTCACCATAGGCCTGAAAGCGCTTGAAATGTCCACTTCCAGGTACTACAGAATGAGTGTTTCAATCCTGCTCTATCAAAGTGAATGTTCAATTCTGTGACTTCAATGCAAACATCACAAAGAAGTTCCTGAGAATGCTTCTCTCTAGATTTTATACGTAATCCCGCTTCCAACGAAATCCTCAGAGCCATCCGAATATCCACTTTCTGATTCCACAAAAAGAGTGTTTTAAAACGGCTCTGTAAAAACAAAAGTTCAACTCTGTTAGTTGAATACACACATCACAAACAAGTTTCTGAGAATGCTTCTGTCTAGTTTTTATGGGAAGATATTTCCTTTTTCACCATAGGCCTCAAAGCGCTCGAAATGTCCACTTCCAGATAGTGCAGAAAGAGTGTTTCAAACGTGCTCTATAAAAGAGAATATTCAACTCTGTGACTTGAATGGAAACATCACAAAGCAGTTTCTGAGAATGCCTCCGTCTAGATTTTATATGAAGATATTCCCGTTTCCAACGAAATCTTCAAATCTATCTAAATATCAACTTGCAGATTCTACTAAAGGAATGTTTCCAAAATGCTGTATCCAAGCAATGGTTCAACTCTGTTAATTGAGGACATACAGCACAAAGAAGTTTCTGAGAATGCTTCTGTCTAGATTTTATATGAAGATATCCCGTTTCCAACGAAATCCTCAAAGCTATCCAAATATCCACTTGCAGATTCTACAAAAAGATTGTTTCAAAACTGCTGTGTCAAAAGGAAGGTTCAACTCTGTTACTTGAGTACACACATCAAAAAGCAGTTTCTGAGAATGCTTGTTTCTGGTTTTTATGAGAAGATATTTCCTTTTTCACCATAGGCCTCAAAGCGCTGCAAATGTCCACTTCCACATATTACAAAAAGAGTGTTTCAAACCTGCTCTATGAAAGGAAGTTTTCAACTCTATGAGTGGAATGCAAACATCACAGAGAAGTTTCTGAGAATGCATCTGTCTTGAGTTTATATGCAGAAATTCCCGTTTCCAACGAAATCTTAAAATCTATCCAAATATCCACCTGCAGATCCTACAAAAGGAGTGTTTCCAAAATGCTGTATCAAAACAAAGGTTCAACTGTGTTCGTTTAGGACACACATCACAAATAAGTTTCTGAGAATCCTTCTGTCTAGTTTTTATTTGAAGATATTTCCTTTCTCCCCGTAGGCCTGAAAGCGCTTGAAATGTCCACTTCCAGATACTACAGAAAGAGTGTTTCAAACCTGCACTCTGAAAAGGAATGTTCAATTCTGTGACTTGAATGCAAACATCAGAAAGAAGTTCCTGAGAATGCTTCTCTCTAGATTTTATACGTCATCCCGTTTCCAACGAAATCCACAAAGCTATCCAATTATCCACTTTCAGATTCCACAAAGAGTGTTTTAAAATTGCTCTGTAACAGAAATGTTCAACTCTGTTAGTTGAATACACACATCACAAACAAGTTTCTGAGACGGCTTCTGTCTAGTTTTTATGGGAAGATATTTCCTTTTAACCATAGGCCTCAAAGAGCTCGAAATATCCACTTCCAGGTAGTGCCGAAAGAGTGTTTCAAGCCTACTCTATAAAAGGGAATATTCAACTCTGTGACTTGAATGCAAACATCACAAAGCAGTTTCTGAGAATGCTTCCGTCTAGATTTTCTATGAAGATATTCCCGTTTCCAACGAAATCTTCAAAGCTATCTAAATATCAACTTGCAGATTCTACTAAAGGAATGTCTCCAAAATGCTGTATCCAAACAAAGGTTCAGCTCTGTGAATTGAGGACATACAGCACAAAGAAGTTTCTGAGAATGCTTCTGTCTGGATTTAATATGAAGATAACCCGTTTCCAACGAAATCCTCAAAGCTATCCAAATATCCACTTGCAGATTCTACAAAAAGAGTGTTTCAAAACTGCTCTGTCAAAAGGATGGTTCAACACTGTTACATGAGTACACACAACACAAAGAAGTTTCTGAGAACGCTTCTTTCTGGTTTTTATGAGAGGATATTTCCTTTTTCACCGTAGGCCTCAAAGCGGCTCGAAATGTCCACTTCCAGGTAGTGCAGAAAGAGTGTTTCAAACCTGCTCTATGAAAGGAAGTGTTCAACTCCATGAGCTGAATGCAAACATCACAGAGAAGTTCCTGAGAATGCTTCTGTTTGATTTTATATGAAGAAATTCCCGTTTCCAACGAAATCTTCAAAGCTATCCACATATCCACCTGCAGATTCTTCAAAAGGAGTGTTTCCAAAATGCTGTATCAAAACCAAGGTTCAACTCTGTTAGTTGAGGACACACATCACAAATAAGTTTCTGAGAATGCTTCTGTCTAGATTTTATATGAAGATATCCCCTTTCCAACGAATCCCTCTAAGCTATCCAAATATCCACCTGCAGATTCTACAAAGAGTGTTTCCAAAATGCTGTATCAAAACAAAGTTTCAACTCTGTTAGTTGAGGACACACATCACAAATAAGTTTCTGAGGATGCTTCTGTCTAGTTTTTATTCGAAGATATTTCCTTTCTCACCATAGGCCTGAAAGCGCTTGAAATGTCCACTTCCAGATACTACAGAATGAGTGTTTCAAACCTGCTCTATCAAAGTGAATGTTCAATTCTGTGACTTGAATGCAAACATCACAAAGAAGTTCCTGAGAATGCTTCTCTCTAGAATTTTATACGTAATCCCGCTTCCAACGAAATCCTCAGAGCCATCCGAATATCCACTTTCTGATTCCACAAAAAGAGTGTTTTAAAACGGCTCTGTAAAAACAAAAGTTCAACTCTGTTAGTTGAATACACACATCACAAACAAGTTTCTGAGAATGCTTCTGTCTAGTTTTTATGGGAAGATATTTCCTTTTTCACCATAGGCCTCAAAGCGCTCGAAATGTCCGCTTCCAGATAGTGCAGAAAGAGTGTTTCAAACGTGCTCTATAAAAGGGAATATTCAACTCTGTGACTTGAATGGAAACATCACAAAGCAGTTTCTGAGAATGCTTCCCTCTAGATTTTATATGGAGATATTCCCTTTTCCAACGAAATCTTCAAATCTATCTAAATATCAACTTGCAGATTCTACTCAAGGAATGTTTCCAAAATGCTGTATGCAAGCAATGGTTCAACTCTGGTAATTGAGGTCATACAGCACAAAGAAGTTTCTGAGAATGCTTCTGTCTAGATTTTATATGAAGATATCCCGTTTCCAACGAAATCCTCAAAGCTATCCAAATATCCACTTGCAGATTCTACAAAAAGATTGTTTCAAAACTGCTGTGTCAAAAGGAAGGTTCAACTCTGTTACTTGAGTACACACATCAAAAAGAAGTTTCTGAGAATGCTTGTTTCTGGTTTTTATCACAAGATATTTCCTTTTTCACCATAGGCCTCAAAGCGCTGCAAATGTCCACTTCGAAATATTACAAAAAGAGTGTTTCAAACCTGCTCTATGAAAGGAAGTTTTCAACTCTATGAGTGGAATGCAAACATCACAGAGAAGTTTCTGAGAATGCATCTGTCTTGAGTTTCTATGAAGAAATTCCCGTTTCCAACGAAATCTTAAAATCTATCCAAATATCCACCTGCAGATTCTACAAAAGGAGTGTTTCCAAAAGGCTGTATCAAAACAAAGGTTCAACTGTGTTCGTTTAGGACACACATCACCAATAAGTTTCTGAGAATCCTTCTGTCTGGTTTTTATTTGAAGAGATTTCCTTTCTCCCCGTAGGCCTGAAAGCGCTTGAAATGTCCACTTCCAGATACTACAGAAAGAGTGTTTCAAACCTGCACTCTGAAAAGGAATGTTCAATTCTGTGACTTGAATGCAAACATCAGAAAGAAGTTCCTGAGAATGCTTCTCTCTAGATTTTATACGTCATCCCGTTTCCAACGAAATCCACAAAGCTATCCAATTATCCACTTTCAGATTCCACAAAAAGAGTGTTTTAAAATTGCTCTGTAACACAAATGTTCCACTCTGGTAGTTGAATACACACATCACAAACAAGTTTCTGAGACGGCTTCTGTCTAGTTTTTATGGGAAGATATTTCCTTTTAACCATAGGCCTCAAAGAGCTCGAAATATCCACTTCCAGGTAGTGCCGAAAGAGTGTTTCAAACCTACTCTATAAAAGGGAATATTCAACTCTGTGACTTGAATGCAAACATCACAAAGCAGTTTCTGAGAATGCTTCCGTCTAGATTTTCTATGAAGATATTCCCGTTTCCAACGAAATCTTCAAAGCTATCTAAATATCAACTTGCAGATTCTACTAAAGGAATGTCTCCAAAATGCTGTATCCAAACAAAGGTTCAGCTCTGTGAATTGAGGACATACAGCACAAAGAAGTTTCTGAGAATGCTCCTGTCTGGATTTTATATGAAGATAACCCGTTTCCAACGAAATCCTCAAAGCTCTCCAAATATCCACTTGCAGATTCTACCAAAAGAGTGTTTCAAAACTGCTCTGTCAAAAGGAAGGTTCAACACTGTTACTTGAGTACACACAACACAAAGAAGTTTCTGAGAATGCTTCTTTCTGGTTTTTATGAGAAGATATTTCCTTTTTCACCATAGGCCTCAAATCGCTCGAAATGTCCTCTTCCAGGTAGTGCAGAAAGAGTGTTTCAAACCTGCTCTATGAAAGGAAGTGTTCAACTCTACTGAGTTGAATGCAAACATCACAGAGATGTTTCCGAGAATGCTTCTGTCTTGATTTTATATGAAGATATTCCGGTTTCCAACGAAATCTTCAAAGGTATCCAAATATCCACCTGCAGATTCTACAAAAGGAGTGTTTCCAAAATGCTGTATCAAAACAAAGGTTCAACTCTGTTAGTTGAGGACACACATCACAAATAAGTTTCTGAGAATGCTTCTGTCTAGTTTTTATTTGAAGGTATTTCCTTTCTCTCCATAGGCCTGAAAGCGCTTGAAATGCCCACTTCCAGATACTAGAGAAAGAGTGTTTCAAACCTGCTCTATGAAAGGGAATGTTCAATTCTGTGACTTGAATGCAAACATCACAAAGAAGTTCCTGAGAATGCTTCTGTCTAGATTTAATATGAAGATAACCTGTTTCCAACGAAATCCTCAAAGCTATCCAAATATCCACTTGCAGATTCTACAAAAAAAGTGTTTCAAAACTGCTCTGTCAAAAGGATGGTTCAACACTGTTACATGAGTACACACAACACAAAGAAGTTTCTGAGAACTCTTCCTTCTGGTTTTTATGAGAAGATATTTCCTTTTTCACCATAGGCCTCAAAGCGCTCGAAATGTCCACTTCCAGGTAGTGCAGAAAGAGTGTTTCAAACCTGCTCTATGAAAGGAAGTGTTCAACTCCATGAGCTGAAGGCAAACATCACAGAGAAGTTTCTGAGAATGCTTCTGTTTGATTTTATATGAAGAAATTCCCGATTCCAACGAAATCTTCAAAGCTATCCACATATCCACCTGCAGATTCTACAAAAGGAGTGTTTCCAAAATGCTGTATCAAAACCAAGGTTCAACTCTGTTAGTTGAGGACACACATCACAAATAAGTTTCTGAGAATGCTTCTGTCTAGATTTTATATGAAGATATCCCCTTTCCAACGAATCCCTCTAAGCTATCCAAATAGCCACCTGCAGATTCTACAAAAGGAGTGTTTCCAAAAGGCGGTATCAAAACAAAGTTTCAACTCTGTTAGTTGAGGACACACATCACAAATAAGTTTCTGAGGATGCTTCTGTCTAGTTTTTATTTGAAGATATCTCCTTTCTCACCATAGGCCTGAAAGCGCTTGAAATGTCCACTTCCAGATACTACAGAATGAGTGTTTCAACCCTGCTCTATAAAAGTGAATGTTCAATTCTGTGACTTCAATGCAAACATCACAAAGAAGTTCCTGAGAATGCTTCTCTCTAGATTTTATATGTAATCCCGCTTCCAACGAAATCCTCAATGCCATCCGAATATCCACTTTCTGATTCCACAAAAAGAGTGTTTTAAAACGGCTCTGTAAAAACAAATTTCAACTCTGTTAGTTGAATACACCCATCACAAACAAGTTTCTGAGAATGCTTCTGTCTAGTTTTTATGGGAAGATATTTCCTTTTTCACCATAGGCCTCAAAGCGCTCGAAATGTCCACTTCCAGATAGTGCAGAAAGAGTGTTTCAAACGTGCTCTATAAAAGAGAATATTCAACTCCGTGACTTGAATGGGAACGTCACAAAGCAGTTTCTGAGAATGCTTTCCGTCTAGATTTTATATGAAGATATTCCCGTTTCCAACGAAATCTTCAAAGCTATCTACATATCAACTTGCAGATTCTACTCAAGGAATGTTTCCAAAATGCTGTATCCAAGCCATGGTTCAACTCTGTTAATTGAGGACATACAGCACAAAGAAGTTTCTGAGAATGCTTCTGTCTAGATTTTATATGAAGATATCCCGTTTCCAATGAAATCCTCAAAGCTATCCAAATATCCACTTGCAGATTCTACAAAAAGATTGTTTCAAAACTGCTGTGTCAAAAGGAAGGTTCAACTCTGTTACTTGAGTACACACATCAAAAAGAAGTTTCTGAGAATGCTTGTTTCTGGTTTTTATGAGAAGATATTTCCTTTTTCACCATAGGCCTCAAAGCGCTGCAAAGGTCCACTTCCAAATATTACAAAAAGAGTGTTTCAAACCTGCTCTATGAAAGGAAGTTTTCAACTCTATGAGTGGAATGCAAACATCACAGAGAAGTTTCTGAGAATGCATCTGTCTTGAGTTTCTATGCAGAAATTCCCGTTTCCAACGAAATCTTAAAATCTATCCAAATATCCACCTGCAGATCCTACAAAAGGAGTGTTTCCAAAATGCTGTATCAAAACAAAGGTTCAACTGTGTTCGTTTAGGACACACATCACAAATAAGTTTCTGAGAACCCTTCTCTCTAGTTTTTATTTGAAGATATTTCCTTTCTCCCCGTAGGCCTGAAAGCGCTTGAAATGTCCACTTCCAGATACTACAGAAAGAGTGTTTCAAACCTGCACTCTGAAAAGGAATGTTCAATTCTGTGACTTGAATGCAAACATCAGAAAGAAGTTCCTGAGAATGCTTCTCTCTAGATTTTATACGTCATCCCGTTTCCAACGAAATCCACAAAGCTATCCAATTATCCACTTTCAGATTCCACAAAAAGAGTGTTTTAAAATTGCTCTGTAACAGAAATGTTCAACTCTGTTAGTTGAATACACACATCACAAACAAGTTTCTGAGACGGCTTCTGTCTAGTTTTTATGGGAAGATATTTCCTTTTAACCATAGGCCTCAAAGAGCTCGAAATATCCACTTCCAGGTAGTGCCGAAAGAGTGTTTCAAACCTACTCTATAAAAGGGAATATTCAACTCTGTGACTTGAATGCAAACA
The DNA here is from genome assembly GCF_000001405.40 of Homo sapiens. Lineage (NCBI taxonomy): Eukaryota > Metazoa > Chordata > Mammalia > Primates > Hominidae > Homo > Homo sapiens. Next base: position 51,122,667 of record NC_000004.12, on the reverse strand, counting down.
TCACAAAGCAGTTTCTGAGAATGCTTCCGTCTAGATTTTCTATGAAGATATTCCCGTTTCCAACGAAATCTTCAAAGCTATCTAAATATCAACTTGCAGATTCTACTAAAGGAATGTCTCCAAAATGCTGTATCCAAACAAAGGTTCAGCTCTGTGAATTGAGGACATACAGCACAAAGAAGTTTCTGAGAATGCTCCTGTCTGGATTTTATAGGAAGATAACCCGTTTCCAACGAAATCCTCAAAGCTCTCCAAATATCCACTTGCAGATTCTACCAAAAGAGTGTTTCAAAACTGCTCTGTCAAAAGGAAGGTTCAACACTGTTACTTGAGTACACACAACACAAAGAAGTTTCTGAGAATGCTTCTTTCTGGTTTTTATGAGAAGATATTTCCTTTTTCACCATAGGCCTCAAAGCGCTCGAAATGTCCGCTTCCAGGTAGTGCAGAAAGAGTGTTTCAAACCTCCTCTATGAAAGGAAGTGTTCAACTCTACTGAGTTGAATGCAAACATCACAGAGATGTTTCCGAGAATGCTTCTGTCTTGATTTTATATGAAGATATTCCGGTTTCCAACGAAATCTTCAAAGCTATCCAAATATCCACCTGCAGATTCTACAAAAGGAGTGTTTCCAAAATGCTGTATCAAAACAAAGGTTCAACTCTGTTAATTGAGGACACACATCACAAATAAGTTTCTGAGAATGCTTCTGTCTAGTTTTTATTTGAAGGTATTTCCTTTCTCTCCATAGGCCTGAAAGCGCTTGAAATGCCCACTTCCAGATACTAGAGAAAGAGTGTTTCAAACCTGCTCTATGAAAGGGAATGTTCAATTCTGTGACTTGAATGCAAACATCACAAAGAAGTTCCTGAGAATGCTTCTCTCTAGATATTATATGTCATCCCGTTTCCAACGAAATCCTCAAAGCTATCCAAATATCCACTTGCAGATTCTACAAAAAGAGTGTTTCAAAACTCCTCTGTCAAAAGGATGGTTCAACACTGTTACATGAGTACACACAACACAAAGAAGTTTCTGAGAATGCTTCTTTCTGGTTTCTATGAGAAGATATTTCCTTTTTCACCATAGGACTCAAAGCGCTCGAAATGTCCTCTTCCAGGTAGTGCAGAAAGAGTGTTTCAAACCTGCTCTATGAAAGGAAGTGTACAACTCCATGAGCTCAATGCAAACATCACTGAGAAGTTTCTGAGAATGCTTCTGTTTGATTTTATATGAAGAAATTCCCGTTTCCAACGAAATCTTCAGAGCTATCCACATATCCACCTGCAGATTCTACAAAAGGAGTGTTTCCAAAATGCTGTATCAAAACCAAGGTTCAACTCTGTTAGTTGAGGACACACATCACAAATAAGTTTCTGAGAATGCTTCTGTCTAGCATTTTATATGAAGATATCCCCTTTCCAACGAATCCCTCTAAGCTATCCAAATATCCACCTGCAGATTCTACAAAAAGAGTGTTTCCAAAATGCTGTATCAAAACAAAGTTTCAACTCTGTTAGTTGAGGACACACATCACAAATAAGTTTCTGAGGATGCTTCTGTCTAGTTTTTATTCGAAGATATTTCCTTTCTCACCATAGGCCTGAAAGCGCTTGAAATGTCCACTTCCAGATCCTACAGAATGAGTGTTTCAAACCTGCTCTATCAAAGTGAATGTTCAATTCTGTGACTTCAATGCAAACATCACAAAGAAGTTCCTGAGAATGCTTCTCTCTAGATTTTATACGTAATCCCGCTTCCAACGAAATCCTCAGAGCCATCCGAATATCCACTTTCTGATTCCACAAAAAGAGTGTTTTAAAACGGCTCTGTAAAAACAAAAGTTCAACTCTGTTAGTTGAATACACACATCACAAACAAGTTTCTGAGAATGCTTTTGTCTAGTTTTTATGGGAAGATATTTCCTTTTTCACCATAGGCCTCAAAGTGCTCGAAATGTCCGCTTCCAGATAGTGCAGAAAGAGTGTTTCAAACGTGCTCTATAAAAGGGAATATTCAACTCTGTGACTTGAATGGAAACATCACAAAGCAGTTTCTGAGAATGCTTCCCTCTAGATTTTATATGGAGATATTCCCTTTTCCAACGAAATCTTCAAATCTATCTAAATATCAACTTGCAGATTCTACTCAAGGAATGTTTCCAAAATGCTGTATCCAGGCAATGGTTCAACTCTGTTAATTGAGGACATACAGCACAAAGAAGTTTCTGAGAATGCTTCTGTCTAGATTTTATATGAAGATATCCCGTTTCCAACGAAATCCTCAAATCTATCCAAATATCCACTTGCAGATTCTACAAAAAGATTGTTTCAAAACTGCTGTGTCAAAAGGAAGGTTCAACTCTGTTACTCGAGTACACACATCAAAAAGAAGTTTCTGAGAATGCTTGTTTCTGGTTTTTATGAGAAGATATTTCCTTTTTCACCATAGGCCTCAAAGCGCTGCAAATGTCCACTTCCAAATATTACAAAAAGAGTGTTTCAAACCTGCTCTATGAAAGGAAGTTTTCAGCTCTATGAGTGGAATGCAAACATCACAGAGTAGTTTCGGAGAATGCATCTGTCTTGAGTTTTTACGAAGAAATTCCCGTTTCCAACGAAATCTTAAAATCTATCCAAATATCCACCTGCAGATTCTACAAAGGGAGTGTTTCCAAAATGCTGTATCAAAACAAAGGTTCAACTGTGTTCGTTTAGGACACACATCACCAATAAGTTTCTGAGAATCCTTCTGTCTAGTTTTTATTTGAAGATATTTCCTTTCTCCCCATAGGCCTGAAAGCGCTTGAAATGTCCACTTCCAGATACTACAGAAAGAGTGTTTCAAACCTGCACTCTGAAAAGGAATGTCAATTCTGTGACTTGAATGCAAACATCAGAAAGAAGTTCCTGAGAATGCTTCTCTCTAGATTTTATACGTCATCCCGTTTCCAACGAAATCCACAAAGCTACCCAATTATCCACTTTCAGATTCCACAAAAAGAGTGTTTTAAAATTGCTGTGTAACAGAAATGTTCAACTCTGTTAGTTGAATACACACATCACAAACAAGTTTCTGAGACGGCTTCTGTCTAGTTTTTATGGGAAGATATTTCCTTTTAACCATAGGCCTCAAAGAGCTCGAAATATCCACTTCCAGGTAGTGCCGAAAGAGTGTTTCAAACCTACTCTATAAAAGGGAATATTCAACTCTGTGACTTGAATGCAAACATCACAAAGCAGTTTCTGAGAATGCTTCCGTCTAGATTTTCTATGAAGATATTCCCGTTTCCAACGAAATCTTCAAAGCTATCTAAATATCAACTTGCAGATTCTACTAAAGGAATGTCTCCAAAATGCTGTATCCAAACAAAGGTTCAGCTCTGTGAATTGAGGACATACAGCACAAAGAAGTTTCTGAGAATGCTCCTGTCTGGATTTTATATGAAGATAACCCGTTTCCAACGAAATCCTCAAAGCTCTCCAAATATCCACTTGCAGATTCTACCAAAAGAGTGTTTCAAAACTGCTCTGTCAAAAGGAAGGTTCAACACTGTTACTTGAGTACACACAACACAAAGAAGTTTCTGAGAATGCTTCTTTCTGGTTTTTATGAGAAGATATTTCCTTTTTCACCATAGGCCTCAAAGCGCCCGAAATGTCCGCTTCCAGGTAGTGCAGAAAGAGTGTTTCAAACCTGCTCTATGAAAGAAAGTGTTCAAAACTACTGAGTTGAATGCAAACATCACAGAGATGTTTCCGAGAATGCTTCTGTCTTGGTTTTATATGAAGATATTCCGGTTTCCAACGAAATCTTCAAAGCTATCCACATATCCACCTGCAGATTCTACAAAAGGAGTGTTTCCAAAATGCTGTATCAAAACAAAGGTTCAACTCTTTTAGTTGAGGACACACATCACAAATAAGTTTCTGAGGATGCTTCTGTCTAGTTTTTATTTGAAGGTATTTCCTTTCTCACCATAGGCCTGAAAGCGCTTGAAATGTCCACTTCCAGATACTACAGAATGAGTGTTTCAAACCTGCTCTATAAAAGTGAATGTTCAATTCTGTGACTTCAATGCAAACATCACAAAGAAGTTCCTGAGAATGCTTCTCTCTAGATTTTATATGTAATCCCGCTTCCAACGAAATCCTCAGAGCCATCCGAATATCCACTTTCTGATTCCACAAAAAGAGTGTTTTAAAACTGCTCTGTAGAAACAAAAGTTCAACTCTGTTAGTTGAATACACACATCACAAACAAGTTTCTGAGAATGCTTCTGTCTAGTTTTTATGGGAGGATATTTCCTTTTTCACCATAGGCCTCAAAGCGCTCGAAATGTCCACTTCCAGATAGTGCAGAAAGAGTGTTTCAAACGTGCTCTATAAAAGAGAATATTCAACTCTGTGACTTGAATGGAAACATCACAAAGCAGTTTCTGAGAATGCTTCCGTCTAGATTTTATATGAAGATATTCCCGTTTCCAACGAAATCTTCAAATCTATCTAAATATCAACTTGCAGATTCTACTAAAGGAATGTTTCCAAAATGCTGTATGCAAGCAATGGTTCAACTCTGTTAATTGAGGACATACAGCACAAAGAAGTTTCTGAGAATGCTTCTGCTAGATTTCATATGAAGATATCCCGTTTCCAACGAAATCCTCAAAGCTATCCAAATATCCACTTGCAGATTCTACAAAAAGATTGTTTCAAAACTGCTGTGTCAAAAGAAAGGTTCAACTCTGTTACTTGAGTACACACATCAAAAAGAAGTTTCTGAGAATGCTTGTTTCTGGTTTTTATGAGAAGATATATCCTTTTTCACCATAGGCCTCAAAGTGCTGCAAATGTCCACTTCCAAATATTACAAAAAGAGTGTTTCAAACCTGCTCTATGAAAGGAAGTTTTCAACTCTATGAGTGGAATGCAAACATCACAGAGAAGTTGCTGAGAATGCATCTGTCTTGAGTTTATATGAAGAAATTCCCGTTTCCAACGAAATCTTAAAATCTATCCAAATATCCACCTGCAGATTCTACAAAGGGAGTGTTTCCAAAATGCTGTATCAAAACAAAGGTTCAACTGTGTTCGTTTAGGACACACATCACCAATAAGTTTCTGAGAATCCTTCTGTCTAGTTTTTAATTTGAAGATATTTCCTTTCTCCCCATAGGCCTGAAAGCGCTTGAAATGTCCACTTCCAGATAGTACAGAAAGAGTGTTTCAAACCTGCACTATGAAAAGGAATGTTCAATTCTGTGACTTGAATGCAAACATCAGAAAGAAGTTTCTGAGAATGCTTCTCTCTAGATTTTATACGTAATCCCGTTTCCAAAGAAATCCACAAAGCTATCCAATTATCCACTTTCAGATTCCACAAAAAGAGTGTTTTAAAACTGCTCTGTAAAAAGAAATGTTCAACGCTCTTAGTTGAATACACACATCTCAAACAAGTTTCTGAGAAGGCTTCCGTCTAGTTTTTATGGGAAGATATTTCCTTTTTCACCATAGGCCTCAAAGCGCTCGAAATCTCCACTTCCAGGGAGTGCAGAAAGACTGTTTCAAACCTGCTCTGTAAAAGAATATTTAACTCTGTGACTTGAATGCAAACCTCACAAAGCAGTTTCTGACAATGCTTCCGTCTAGATTTTTTATGAAGATATTCCCGTTTCCAACGAAATCTTCAAAGCTATCTAAATATCAACTTGCAGATTCTACTAAAGGAATGTTTCCAAAATGCTGTATCCAAGCAAAGGTTCAACTCTGTGAATTGAGGACATACAGCACAAAGAAGTTTCTGAGAATGCTTCTGTCTAGATTTAATATGAAGATAACCCGTTTCCAACGAAATCCTCAAAGCTATCCAAATATCCACTTGCAGATTCTACAAAAAGAGTGTTTCAAAACTGCTCTGTCAAAAGGATGGTTCAACACTGTTACATGAGTACACACAACACAAAGAAGTTTCTGAGAACGCTTCTGTCTAGTTTTTATGGGAAGATATTTCCTTTTTCACCATAGGCCTCAAAGCGCTCGAAATGTCCGCTTCCAGATAGTGCAGAAAGAGTGTTTCAAACGTGCTCTATGAAAGGAAGTTTTCAACTCTATGAGTGGAATGCAAACATCACAGAGAAGTTTCTGAGAATGCATCTGTCTTGAGCTTCTATGAAGAAATTCCCGTTTCCAACGAAATCTTAAAATCTATCCAAATATCCACCTGCAGATCCTACAAAAGGAGTGTTTCCAAAATGCTGTATCAAAACAAAGGTTCAACTGTGTTCGTTTAGGACACACATCACAAATAAGTTTCTGAGAATCCTTCTGTCTAGTTTTTATTTGAAGATATTTCCTTTCTCCCCGTAGGCCTGAAAGCGCTTGAAATGTCCACTTCCAGATACTAAAGAAAGAGTGTTTCAAACCTGCACTCTGAAAAGGAATGTTCAATTCTGTGACTTGAATGCAAACATCAGAAAGAAGTTCCTGAGAATGCTTCTCTCTAGATTTTATACGTCATCCCGTTTCCAACGAAATCCACAAAGCTATCCAATTATCCACTTTCAGATTCCACAAAGAGTGTTTTAAAATTGCTCTGTAACAGAAATGTTCAACTCTGTTAGTTGAATACACACATCACAAACAAGTTTCTGAGACGGCTTCTGTCTAGTTTTTATGGGAAGATATTTCCTTTTAACCATAGGCCTCAAAGAGCTCGAAATATCCACTTCCAGGTAGTGCCGAAAGAGTGTTTCAAACCTACTCTATAAAAGGGAATATTCAACTCTGTGACTTGAATGCAAACATCACAAAGCAGTTTCTGAGAATGCTTCCGTCTAGATTTTCTATGAAGATATTCCCGTTTCCAACGAAATCTTCAAAGCTATCTAAATATCAACTTGCAGATTCTACTAAAGGAATGTCTCCAAAATGCTGTATCCAAACAAAGGTTCAGCTCTGTGAATTGAGGACATACAGCACAAAGAAGTTTCTGAGAATGCTCCTGTCTGGATTTTATATGAAGATAACCCGTTTCCAACGAAATCCTCAAAGCTATCCAAATATCCACTTGCAGATTCTACCAAAAGAGTGTTTCAAAACTGCTCTGTCAAAAGGAAGGTTCAACACTGTTACTTGAGTACACACAACACAAAGAAGTTTCTGAGAATGCTTCTTTCTGGTTTTTATGAGAAGATATTTCCTTTTTCACCATAGGCCTCAAAGAGCTCGAAATGTCCGCTTCCAGGTAGGGCAGAAAGAGTGTTTCAAACCTGCTCTATGAAAGGAAGTGTTCAACTCTACTGAGTTGAATGCAAACATCACAGAGATGTTTCCGAGAATGCTTCTGTCTTGATTTTATATGAAGATATTCCGGTTTCCAACGAAATCTTCAAAGCTATCCAAATATCCACCTGCAGATTCTACAAAAGGAGTGTTTCCAAAATGCTGTATCAAAACAAAGGTTCAACTCTGTTAGTTGAGGACACACATCACAAATAAGTTTCTGAGAATGCTTCTGTCTAGTTTTTATTTGAAGGTATTTCCTTTCTCTCCATAGGCCTGAAAGCGCTTGAAATGCCCACTTCCAGATACTAGAGAAAAAGTGTTTCAAACCTGCTCTATGAAAGGGAATGTTCAATTCTGTGACTTGAATGCAAACATCACAAAGAAGTTCCTGAGAATGCTTCCCTCTAGATATTATATGTCATCCCGTTTCCAACGAAATCCTCAAAGCTATCCAAATATCCACTTGCAGATTCTACAAAAAGAGTGTTTCAAAACTGCTCTGTCAAAAGGATGGTTCAACACTGTTACATGAGTACACACAACACAAAGAAGTTTCTGAGAATGCTTCTTTCTGGTTTCTATGAGAAGATATTTCCTTTTTCACCATAGGACTCAAAGCGCTCGAAATGTCCTCTTCCAGGTAGTGCAGAAAGAGTGTTTCAAACCGGCTCTATGAAAGGAAGTGTTCAACTCCATGAACTGAATGCAAACATCACTGAGAAGTTTCTGAGAATGCTTCTGTTTGATTTTATATGAAGAAATTCCCGTTTCCAACGAAATCTTCAGAGCTATCCACATATCCACCTGCAGATTCTACAAAAGGAGTGTTTCCAAAATGCTGTATCAAAACCAAAGTTCAACTCTGTTAGTTGAGGACACACATCACAAATAAGTTTCTGAGAATGCTTCTGTCTAGATTCTATATGAAGATATCCCCTTTCCAACGAATCCCTCTAAGCTATCCAAATATCCACCTGCAGATTCTACAAAAAGAGTGTTTCCAAAATGCTGTATCAAAACAAAGTTTCAACTCTGTTAGTTGAGGACACACATCACAAATAAGTTTGAGGATGCTTCTGTCTAGTTTTTATTCGAAGATATTTCCTTTCTCACCATAGGCCTGAAAGCGCTTGAAATGTCCACTTCCAGATACTACAGAATGAGTGTTTCAAACCTGCTCTATCAAAGTGAATGTTCAATTCTGTGACTTCAATGCAAACATCACAAAGAAGTTCCTGAGAATGCTTCTCTCTAGATTTTATACGTAATCCCGCTTCCAACGAAATCCTCAGTAGCCATCCGAATATCCACTTTCTGATTCCACAAAAAGAGTGTTTTAAAACGGCTCTGTAAAAACAAAAGTTCAACTCTGTTAGTTGAATACACACATCACAAACAAGTTTCTGAGAATGCTTCTGTCTAGTTTTTATGGGAAGATATTTCCTTTTTCACCATAGGCCTCAAAGCGCTCGAAATGTCCACTTCCAGATAGTGCAGAAAGAGTGTTTCAAACGTGCTCTATAAAAGGGAATATTCAACTCTGTGACTTGAATGGAAACATCACAAAGCAGTTTCTGAGAATGCTTCCCTCTAGATTTTATATGGAGATATTCCCTTTTCCAACGAAATCTTCAAATCTATCTAAATATCAACTTGCAGATTCTACTCAAGGAATGTTTCCAAAATGCTGTATCCAAGCAATGGTTCAACTCTGTTAATTGAGGACATACAGCACAAAGAAGTTTCTGAGAATGCTTCTTTCTAGATTTTATATGAAGATATCCCGTTTCCAACGAAATCCTCAAAGCTATCCAAATATCCACTTGCAGATTCTACAGAAAGATTGTTTCAAAACTGCTGTGTCAAAAGGAAGGTTCAACTCTGTTACTTGAGTACACACATCAAAAAGCAGTTTCTGAGAATGCTTGTTTCTGGTTTTTATGAGAAGATATTTCCTTTTTCACCATAGGCCTCAAAGCGCTGCAAATGTCCACTTCCAAATATTACAAAAAGAGTGTTTCAAACCTGCTCTATGAAAGGAAGTTTTCAACTCTATGAGTGGAATGCAAACATCACAGAGAAGTTTCTGAGAATGCATCTGTCTTGAGCTTCTATGAAGAAATTCCCGTTTCCAACGAAATCTTAAAATCTATCCAAATATCCACCTGCAGATCCTACAAAAGGAGTGTTTCCAAAATGCTGTATCAAAACAAAGGTTCAACTGTGTTCGTTTAGGACACACATCACAAATAAGTTTCTGAGAATCCTTCTGTCTAGTTTTTATTTGAAGATATTTCCTTTCTCCCCATAGGCCTGAAAGCGCTTGAAATGTCCACTTCCAGATACTACAGAAAGAGTGTTTCAAACCTGCACTATGAAAAGGAATGTTCAATTCTGTGACTTGAATGCAAACATCAGAAAGAAGTTCCTGAGAATGCTTCTCTCTAGATTTTATACGTCATCCCGTTTCCAACGAAATCCACGAAGCTATCCAATTATCCACTTTCAGATTCCACAAAAGAGTGTTTTAAAACTGCTCTGTAAAAAGAAATGTTCAACACTCTTAGTTGAATACACACATCTCAAACAAGTTTCTGAGAAGGCTTCCGTCTAGTATTTATGGGAAGATATTTCCTTTTTCACCATAGGCCTCAAAGCGCTCGAAATCTCCACTTCCAGGGAGTGCAGAAAGAGTGTTTCAAACCTGCTCTGTAAAAGAATATTTAACTCTGTGACTTGAATGCAAACATCACAAAGCAGTTTCTGACAATGCTTCCGTCTAGATTTTTTATGAAGATATTCCCGTTTCCAACGAAATCTTCAAAGCTATCTAAATATCAACTTGCAGATTCTACTAAAGGAATGTTTCCAAAATGCTGTATCCAAACAAAGGTTCAACTCTGTGAATTGAGGACATACAGCACAAAGAAGTTTCTGAGAATGCTTCTGTCTAGATTTAATATGAAGATAACCCGTTTCCAACGAAATCCTTAAAGCTATCCAAATATCCACTTGCAGATTCTACAAAAAGACTGTTTCAAAACTGCTCTGTCAAAAGGAAGGTTCAACACTGTTACATGAGTACACACAACACAAAGAAGTTTCTGAGAACGCTTCTTTCTGGTTTTTATGAGAAGATATTTCCTTTTTCACCATAGGCCTCAAAGCGCTCGAAATGTCCACTTCCAGTTAGTGCAGAAAGAGTGTTTCAAACCTGCTCTATGAAAGGAAGTGTTCAACTCCATGAGCTGAATGCAAACATCACAGAGAAGTTTCTGAGAATGCTTCTGTCTTGATTTTATATGAAGATATTCCGGTTTCCAACGAAATCTTCAAAGCTATCCAAATATCCACCTGCAGATTCTACAAAAGGAGTGTTTCCAAAATGCTGTATCAAAACAAAGGTTCAACTCTGTTAGTTGAGGACACACATCACAAATAAGTTTCTGAGAATGCTTCTGTCTAGTTTTTATTTGAAGGTATTTCCTTTCTCTCCATAGGCCTGAAAGCGCTTGAAATGCCCACTTCCAGATACTAGAGAAAGAGTGTTTCAAACCTGCTCTATGAAAGGGAATGTTCAATTCTGTGACTTGAATGCAAACATCACAAAGAAGTTCCTGAGAATGCTTCTCTCTAGATATTATATGTCATCCCGTTTCCAACGAAATCCTCAAAGCTATCCAAATATCCACTTGCAGATTCTACAAAAAGAGTGTTTCAAAACTGCTCTGTCAAAAGGATGGTTCAACACTGTTACATGAGTACACACAACACAAAGAAGTTTCTGAGAATGCTTCTTTCTGGTTTCTATGAGAAGATATTTCCTTTTTCACCATAGGACTCAAAGCGCTCGAAATGTCCTCTTCCAGGTAGTGCAGAAAGAGTGTTTCAAACCGGCTCTATGAAAGGAAGTGTTCAACTCCATGAACTGAATGCAAACATCACTGAGAAGTTTCTGAGAATGCTTCTGTTTGATTTTATATGAAGAAATTCCCGTTTCCAACGAAATCTTCAGAGCTATCCACATATCCACCTGCAGATTCTACAAAAGGAGTGTTTCCAAAATGCTGTATCAAAACCAAAGTTCAACTCTGTTAGTTGAGGACACACATCACAAATAAGTTTCTGAGAATGCTTCTGTCTAGATTCTATATGAAGATATCCCCTTTCCAACGAATCCCTCTAAGCTATCCAAATATCCACCTGCAGATTCTACAAAAAGAGTGTTTCCAAAATGCTGTATCAAAACAAAGTTTCAACTCTGTTAGTTGAGGACACACATCACAAATAAGTTTGAGGATGCTTCTGTCTAGTTTTTATTCGAAGATATTTCCTTTCTCACCATAGGCCTGAAAGCGCTTGAAATGTCCACTTCCAGATACTACAGAATGAGTGTTTCAAACCTGCTCTATCAAAGTGAATGTTCAATTCTGTGACTTCAATGCAAACATCACAAAGAAGTTCCTGAGAATGCTTCTCTCTAGATTTTATATGTAATCCCGCTTCCAACGAAATCCTCAGAGCCATCCGAATATCCACTTTCTGATTCCACAAAAAGAGTGTTTTAAAACGGCTCTGTAAAAACAAAAGTTCAACTCTGTTAGTTGAATACACACATCACAAACAAGTTTCTGAGAATGCTTCTGTCTAGTTTTTATGGGAAGATATTTCCTTTTTCACCATAGGCCTCAAAGCGCTCGAAATGTCCACTTCCAGATAGCGCAGAAAGAGTGTTTCAAACGTGCTCTATAAAAGGGAATATTCAACTCTGTGACTTGAATGGAAACATCACAAAGCAGTTTCTGAGAATGCTTCCCTCTAGATTTTATATGGAGATATTCCGTTTTCGAACGAAATCTTCAAATCTATCTAAATATCAACTTGCAGATTCTACTCAAGGAATGTTTCCAAAATGCTGTATGCAAGCAATGGTTCAACTCTGTTAATTGAGGTCATACAGCACAAAGAAGTTTCTGAGAATGCTTCTGTCTAGATTTTATATGAAGATATCCCGTTTCCAACGAAATCCTCAAAGCTATCCAAATATCCACTTGCAGATTCTACAAAAAGATTGTTTCAAAACTGCTGTGTCAAAAGGAAGGTTCAACTCTGTTACTTGAGTACACACATCAAAAAGAAGTTTCTGAGAATGCTTGTTTCTGGTTTTTATGAGAAGATATTTCCTTTTTCACCATAGGCCTCACAGTGCTGCAAATGTCCACTTCCAAATATTACAAAAAGAGTGTTTCAAACCTGCTCTATGAAAGGAAGTTTTCAACTCTATGAGTGGAATGCAAACATCACAGAGAAGTTTCTGAGAATGCATCTGTCTTGAGTTTATATGCAGAAATTCCCGTTTCCAACGAAATCTTAAAATCTATCCAAATATCCACCTGCAGATCCTACAAAAGGAGTGTTTCCAAAATGCTGTATCAAAACAAAGGTTCAACTGTGTTCGTTTAGGACACACATCACAAATAAGTTTCTGAGAATCCTTCTGTCTAGTTTTTATTTGAAGATATTTCCTTTCTCCCCACAGGCCTGAAAGCGCTTGAAATGTCCACTTCCAGATACTACAGAAAGAGTGTTTCAAACCTGCACTATGAAAAGGAATGTTCAATTCTGTGACTTGAATGCAAACATCAGAAAGAAGTTCCTGAGAATGCTTCTCTCTAGATTTTATACGTCATCCCGTTTCCAACGAAATCCACAAAGCTATCCAATTATCCACTTTCAGATTCCACAAAAAGAGTGTTTTGAATTGCTCTGTAACAGAAATGTTCAACTCTGTTAGTTGAATACACACATCACAAACAAGTTTCTGAGACGGCTTCTGTCTAGTTTTTATGGGAAGATATTTCCTTTTAACCATAGGCCTCAAAGAGCTCGAAATATCCACTTCCAGGTAGTGCCGAAAGAGTGTTTCAAACCTACTCTATAAAAGGGAATATTCAACTCTGTGACTTGAATGCAAACATCACAAAGCAGTTTCTGAGAATGCTTCCGTCTAGATTTTCTATGAAGATATTCCCGTTTCCAACGAAATCTTCAAAGCTATCTAAATATCAACTTGCAGATTCTACTAAAGGAATGTCTCCAAAATGCTGTATCCAAACAAAGGTTCAGCTCTGTGAATTGAGGACATACAGCACAAAGAAGTTTCTGAGAATGCTCCTGTCTGGATTTTATAGGAAGATAACCCGTTTCCAACGAAATCCTCAAAGCTATCCAAATATCCACTTGCAGATTCTACCAAAAGAGTGTTTCAAAACTCCTCTGTCAAAAGGATGGTTCAACACTGTTACATGAGTACACACAACACAAAGAAGTTTCTGAGAATGCTTCTTTCTGGTTTCTATGAGAAGATATTTCCTTTTTCACCATAGGACTCAAAGCGCTCGAAATGTCCTCTTCCAGGTAGTGCAGAAAGAGTGTTTCAAACCTGCTCTATGAAAGGAAGTGTACAACTCCATGAGCTGAATGCAAACATCACTGAGAAGTTTCTGAGAATGCTTCTGTTTGATTTTATATGAAGAAATTCCCGTTTCCAACGAAATCTTCAGAGCTATCCACATATCCACCTGCAGATTCTACAAAAGGAGTGTTTCCAAAATGCTGTATCAAAACCAAGGTTCAACTCTGTTAGTTGAGGACACACATCACAAATAAGTTTCTGAGAATGCTCTGTCTAGATTTTATATGAAGATATCCCCTTTCCAACGAATCCCTCTAAGCTATCCAAATATCCACCTGCAGATTCTACAAAAAGAGTGTTTCCAAAATGCTGTATCAAAACAAAGTTTCAACTCTGTTAGTTGAGGACACACATCACAAATAAGTTTCTGAGGATGCTTTCTGTCTAGTTTTTATTCGAAGATATTTCCTTTCTCACCATAGGCCTGAAAGCGCTTGAAATGTCCACTTCCAGATACTACAGAATGAGTGTTTCAAACCTGCTCTATAAAAGTGAATGTTCAATTCCGTGACTTCAATGCAAACATCAGAAAGAAGTTCCTGAGAATGCTTCTCTCTAGATTTTATACGTAATCCCGCTTCCAACGAAATCCTCAGAGCCATCCGAATATCCACTTTCTGATTCCACAAAAAGAGTGTTTTAAAACGTTTCTGTAAAAACAAAAGTTCAACTCTGTTAGTTGAATACACACATCACAAACAAGTTTCTGAGAATGCTTCTGTCTAGTTTTTATGGGAAGATATTTCCTTTTTCACCATAGGCCTCAAAGCGCTCGAAATGTCCGCTTCCAGATAGTGCAGAAAGAGTGTTTCAAACGTGCTCTATAAAAGGGAATATTCAACTCTGTGACTTGAATGGAAACATCACAAAGCAGTTTCTGAGAATGCTTCCCTCTAGATTTTATATGGAGATATTCCCTTTTCCAACGAAATCTTCAAATCTATCTAAATATCAACTTGCAGATTCTACTCAAGGAATGTTTCCAAAATGCTGTATCCAGGCAATGGTTCAACTCTGTTAATTGAGGACATACAGCACAAAGAAGTTTCTGAGAATGCTTCTGTCTAGATTTTATATGAAGATACCCCGTTTCCAACGAAATCCTCAAAGCTATCCAAATATCCACTTGCAGATTCTACAAAAAGATTGTTTCAAAACTGCTGTGTCAAGAGGAAGGTTCAACTCTGTTACTTGAGTACACACATCAAAAAGAAGTTTCTGAGAATGCT